>NC_000006.12:29756969-30060000 GCF_000001405.40 Homo sapiens
AATTTGCTTTGACTCTAAGTGTAGAACAAGGAACTGTTCCTGAAGCAGAAAACTAAGGGTTGGTGACCTGCACTGTCACCCCTCTCCATGGTGCTCTGATGCAATAAAATTGTGAGCCAACAAATCCATGGATAGGTAAACAGTAAACCATTTCAGCAAATGTTTCAGATGCTCCTTCGTGCCTAGCAATGTGCTAGCTTTACCCCAGCCTTAACATTCTAAAGTTTATATTTTCCTTGGTGTTGTTTTTAAAATAATTCATGTATATTTATTACCATGGGTTTGTTGCTGTAAACTCCTGGGAATGAACTGTAGAATTAAGTTAAGTAAATAAATGTGTGATTCTCCATTGACTTATTGCTAACACCATCTTAAATATTTGACCCCAAATCCAATCACTTCTCACTCCTCTACTACTTTACCCCAGAGCCAATCCTCTCTAGGATAGTAAATCAGATGGGCCTTCCAGCTGGGCTGCCTGCTGCTTCTCACACCTGCTGTCCATCACCCATGCAACAGGCAGAGCGAGCCTTTCAAATGGGAATTACGGCACATCCTCACCATCACATCCCACAGACACTCCATCCTCTTCCTTTCTTAGTGCAATGAAATCCCAGTCTCCCACCATTTCCTACTAGCCCCTCAACACAGGGCATCTGTGGCCTCATCCCACTACTCTCAATAGAGCTTGCTGGTCTCCATTCACACCAGCCTCTTGTCACTGCTCTGTTCTTGTCTCTGGCTTAGAGCTACTTCCTGCTATGGTCCTTGGACTTGTGATGTGCAAGAAGTTCTCAGGTATGGGAGGGACTAGAATGATGGCTTTGCCCCATCTCACATGTAGGGATCCCGCTGCTCTTGGGGGATTTGCTGAGTCACTTCTCCCTGTTTCTGCTGGGGCTGGGGATGGTTAACCCAGTCAAGCCACACACCCTGAGAGGAAACCAGGTAGACAGGCTGACTGACAAGGAGGGCACTGCCTGTCAAGTGGCCAATGACCCCAGTCAGAAGAGGTGAAGGGTGAGAGAGGAGGCTGCTGGGAACCAGAAGCTTGGCAGCCAGGAAGACTGAGAACAATCAGGCTGACAGTAGAGGCCAGAGGTTGCAGACCCTGGGAGTCAGCTGTGCTGTTCACTCTAAGCCCCAGGGTGTGGGGGAGGGTCCTTTACACCAGGGAGCTTCAGGTCTCGTGACTGTTTCTGGGCTCTGTACTCTCCTGATCCTCCATGAGGATTTTAAACAGTGAGATAAGGTATCCAGGGCCCCAGAAATCTGAATTACCTTTACCAAAGAGATCATCCTTCCATTTCATTTCTTATAAGATATGAAATATTAAATCAAACTAATACAGGATTAATGTGAAGCTAGCAGGTGTTTTGTGGATGGATTCCCCTGGCTGTTTATACTGGGGGAAGAAACAGGCCTGGCCCCATTCACAGATGAGAACAATAGGGTAGCCATACTCAGAGGACCTCAATACTGGGTGCTCCCAACCCTGCAGGAAAGACCCTCCCTGCAAACAGATGTACAGGAGGGTGACTGCAGGATCCCATGCTGTCTCTTTCTCCTCTCCTGAATCCTGGGTTTACCTTCCTAATTTCAGCTAAGTAGCTATATTAACCAGTTATTTAAGACTCACAGGGCCCCTCTCTACCATGGCACCTAACAGGGTCTTCCCTCCTCAAAAGAACTTCAGGAGGGGTCTACTCAATAAAAAGCAGCATGGAAAGGGCGGTAGGGGCAGCTCATCTCTAACTCCTGAAATAGACAGGATGGAGCCACCGTCTCATTCCTCACTTATCCCATGGTCCTGCCTCAAATACAGTCTCCTCCTGCAGGCTCTGCTGGGTCTTTTTATTATCATTCTCCAGGTGGTGACCGGGTCCCTGATGCTGATGTGGTGCTCACAGCTTCCTGAAATATGACCCTTGGGGCCCAACACCAACAGGAGTTGAGGCCGGGGAGCAGCTTCAAGCTGTAGGGGATCTTTGGATTTGAAAGTAGGGGTTGGTCATGGGCTGTCTGTAATGCTCAGGGTGTCAAGGCTGAGAGTGGCTGAGCTGAATCTGCTCATTAGCATGTTCTCCACTGTTTGAGAGCTGCCTTGTGCAGACCAGCAAGACACAGATTGTTCACAGCTCCCCTTGTCTCTTGGAAGACCCTGACTTCTCTTTCCCCAGCTGTGCAGCTGATGAGCTCTATCTCCTCCCAAGCATAGCAAGGGGAGGATGGTGGGAGTGAGGCCCACTCCTCTGATGCCCCAGAACCCCTTCCACATAATCTCAATATCCAGGCCTGGTGTATCTCCCTGGACCATCATTTCTTTTCTGGGAATGAAAGGGTTATAATATCTGCCTCCTAGATTTCCCTTGTCACTCACTCACCCTGAATAGACTTCTTACTCTATTAGTTATTGTTCTCATATCATTTCTTTGAAGCTGTGGTAAAATATTATCAGCCATTAATAAAACATGGAGGTTAGGTTCTCTTTTTGGATTCTGAGGATCTGCTGTGCTGGGGCAGGGGCAGGTGGGGAGAGAAGGGCGGGTGGAGGGCCAGGTGCTGAGTGGTGTGTGGCCTCGCTCTGTGCTCAACAAAGCTCCTGCTGTGGTCATTTCCTGTTTATTTGTCTGGATCTCTCCTTGCATTGTGATTGGTGCCTGGTCTTTAGGGGTGGGTGCTGCTCCAGGTCGGAGGCCTCACACAACTCCAGGCTGAGCCTTTCTTCAAGTCCATGGAGGTCAAGGGCAGATACTGGCAGCTCTCCATCCTGCCCTCGCCTCCACTTTATCTGGCATATTTTTATATGTTGATCTGATCCTCCTCATAAGGGATGTATATGAGCATTATTTTGTAGGAGAGCCGCTATGTCCCACAGTGGCCATGCTCTGTCCCTGACACCAGGATCCTGTGTGCTTTGTTGTTGTCGTCCCCTAAAGACCCAGGACAGCCTCTGCACATGGGGCTTCTCAGATGACACAGATTGATCGTTCCCACCTCTGCCTTCTTTCCTGTTCCATTTCCAGAATGCTTCTATTGTTTCCCTTTTATTGTAGTAAGTCAAATTTTTGAATTAAGGCCTGGGCACACTCACTCACGCCTGTAATCTTAGCACTTTGGGAAGGCTAAGGCAAAGGGATTGCTTGAGGCCAGTAGTTAAAGACCAACCTCGGCAACATAACAAGACCCAGTCTCTTCCAAAACAAATTGAATTCGCATTGTGAATAGATATGTTATTGCCATGTCATAAATAAATTCTTGTCCCTTTTTCTGTGGGAGCACCCTGTGGTCTGGGTCCTGGCAGGAAAGAGATGGCACAGAAGGAAGACACGTTTTAAAGAGGTTCTGGCAGGGCTAAGAAAGTCACAAGGGGCACTGAAGCTCCCTGGGATGATCTGTAGCAGGAAATGGTTTGCATTTCTGAGCTTGAAAGAGCAAGGAAGGGAGCAGTTTCTAGAACTCCGGCAAATCTGTAGCTTTCACTAGGGGCAGCCCGGCATGCCTATGGCTGTGGATAGAGGCCTGAAGTGATTACAGAATCACAGAGCTGCCCAGAGTAAGAGAGGGAAATGAAAACCCTGAGTTACTCCTCCTCCCACACTCCCATCTCCTGCAGGTGCCTGTTATCATCCACACCCAAGCACAAGCCAGATGGTGAAGGAGCACAGGCCATGTCGTCTGTCTGTCATAGTTGCCTCCCAGTGTAGGGGGCAGGATGGAAGAGAGTGGATGATGGCTCTGTGAGGAGATGGAAGCTGAGAATAATGCACTTGCTTACAGTGTTCACATTCTTCATGGAATTTACTTAAATACACTAGCATTTGCTCTAATCCAAAATTATACCTTTAAAAAGCAACGTTTCGGCCAGGCATGATGACTCACGCCTGTAATCCCAGTACTTTGGGAGGCCGAGGCGGGTGGATCACCTGAGGTCAGGAGTTCGAGACTAGCCTGGCCAAAGTGGTGAAACCCTGTCTCCACTAAAAATGCAAAAATTAGCTGGGCATGATGGTGGGTGCCTGTAACCTCAGCTACTTGAGAGGCTGAGGTAAGAGAATTGCTTCAACCCAGGAGGCAGAGGCTGCAGTGAGCCAAAATCATGCCACTGCACTCCAGCCTGAGTGACAGAGTGAGACTCCGTCTCAAAAAAAAAAAAAAAAAAAATCATGTATATATGCTTAGCAGGTAGTAACATTGAAGAGTACCTAACTCTCCTTCCCTATCTCCACATGGGACGTATAACTCATAAATAAATAACTTAAATTATTTGAGTATAAGCCATAAAAGCAGAGTCTGGCTCATATAAGCAAAAGGAAGTTGCTGGGCAGCTGTGGGTGAGGTTCACAGAATCATAGATGCTTCCAAAGTACCAGGACAGCACCAAGGAGCAGGCAGCAAGCCCTGACCAGTCTCACTGGACTCACCTGTGGAGTGGGAGAATTGTCACTGTTTCCTGATATCTTGTCATTGCTGAGCTTTAAATTCTGGAATAGTTTACTTAAATGGCTTAGTTTGGATCTCATAAATTTCTTATTTGCTCGTGATTTAA
Source organism: Homo sapiens (assembly GCF_000001405.40). Taxonomy (NCBI): domain Eukaryota; kingdom Metazoa; phylum Chordata; class Mammalia; order Primates; family Hominidae; genus Homo; species Homo sapiens. The sequence continues at coordinate 29,761,519 of NC_000006.12, forward strand.
TTTCAGGGATAGAGTCAATATTTGAATTTGACTCTATCCCTAAAAATGAATTCAATTTTGAAGTTGAATCCAAATTCCATTTCAAGGATAGAGTCAATAGGAATAGAGTCAATGTTTTCCCTTAATGGGAGCTCCTTTTCTCCATTTATCTTCTTAAAGCAGGGGGAAGGGGATGAGTCTTTCAAGTTCCCATGGACCCATGGACATCATGAGATCAACCTAATTGCCCTCATTCCATTTTCCTTTACTTTGCAGAAAAGAAACAAATTCCTTTCCACCCAAAATATGACAGCGCCTGTGGTCCAGGGCTCGAGCCTATAGTGGATGCCCAGCAGCCAACTTCCTGGAATTGAGACCTCCCCAGCAGGCTTGGGGGTGAAAAGAGAAACTAGACTCCAAAAGGGACCCAGTGCTCTGTTGGGGAGAGAGGAGCACACCACTGCATCCCACCCTGAAGAATGGGAGTGAGAAGAGAGGACAGGTGAACCCACCATGGCTCCAGTGAGATGGGAGCGGGGAACGCCCAAGAAGGAGGACAGCCATGGGGTGGCCCGAGCCAAAGCCACCAGACATCATTACATGTCTGGGGCCCTCTCAGGCCGACATGAGTTTTACTGCTCCACACACTCTTTTGTTAAGAGCTAGCTGTCAGTAGATCAGTGAGAGAGCAACTTTGATACAGAGGAAACCATGCCTGAATGGGTCAGCCCAGAAGAATTTAGTAGTAGGTTCTATGCTTCCCTCCAGGGCCTCATGGGCGTGGGCAACTTTTTTTTTTTTCCAGCCACTCACCCTAGGTAATGAAGAAAGCTCTCTGAACTGTGTCCTTGCTGGGCACACAGGCCCCTACCACATGTACATGGCGTGGGAGTCATGGCTAAGGCAGGGTGAGACTCCTATTTGAGGCCAGGAAAAGCTAATGACCCTACATTTGGTTCAGTCCTTGTGGGGTCCTGACTAGGGTGTGGGCCACTGTGTTCCCACAGATGCTCTGTTAGCCCTTAGGCTGTGAGATACACAGGCAAATGTTATATTGAAGCCTTTGTTTCTCTTACACTGAGGTAACACTACTGCAGCAGAGCAAACCTTATTGTATCAGTGCACCAACCCCAAGTTCATGTTCATTACAGCAGGAAAAACTAACATGTGGTGAATTCTGCCTCCACAAGGGACAAGGACCTGATAAGACTACAATGACCAGGATGGCCAATATCCCTGTCTTCTTGCAACTCAAGCTTTGCCTGGTTACCCCCTACTTGCCCCAACTCCTTGGACTCCAGCCCTCCGAGGACAGCCAGACATCTGAAGGAAGTGCCAGGCACAGATGCCAGGTTGCATAAGTGCTGACCCCTGAGCAACTGGAGAAGCTGTTAGGTCCCAGCTGGCCTAGAGATCCCTGGCTCAGGGAGTATAACTGGATGCCTTGAACAAAGATATGGGGTCACTGGAAAGAGAGGACCGGCTGTCCCTCCCCACTAAGAAATAATTAACTGTTAGATGAGGGGGAATTCCTTTTCAAGGGCTCTGTGGACTGTGCTGCTCTGGAGGGGGTGGGGAGAGGGAGGAGCCCTGAGGTCTGGGCTGGGGTGTGGTTGGGAAGGAGCTGAGAGCTGAGAGCTGTAACTACCCAAGGAGCTGCAGGGGTGAGGTTGGTGCAGGGTGGGATTTAGAGGATTTCCCCCAGACTCCTGTGCTGATCCCCTTCATCTCCTCCACCCCCACCCTTGGTGTCCGTCAACATGCGGGGGTGCCCTCATCTTCCCACTGCCCCTGGAGCTGTTCTACTCTTCCACGCTTGCCTTGGGGTTTTCAGAGCAGCATCTTTGTGAGTCCTGGAGTGCTAGGGACCAGGAGGGGAGAGGAGGCAATAGCCTCCTTTAATTTGGCAACAGCTTTTCGTTATCATCTCCACTTTCCAAGGCAGGAAAAGTGTAGGCAACAGCTCCGAGAGATCCTGGAAGAGGAAACACCATGGCAGGTGAGGCAGGGAGCTGTCTGAGTTTCCTAGCAGACATCAGGAGCCCGCCCTTCCAGGCCTGGGCTTTGCTTCAGTGCCTGGCCCTGCATAGGCCCCTGCCCCTGTCCCGTTCTGCTGCCCCCACCTCCCTCTCAGCCTGGCCCCAGACAGAATCCAGACCAACTCCTGTCTGCTGTGAAAAATGTTCCTGCCAGTTTAGGCAGATCTTGCTTTAGAGCACTGGTGCCCAGCCTTCCACAGGTCTTGTGTCTGTTTTTCTTGGCACTATGTTTCTTCTCATGTATTCTTCTGAATTGGCAAGGCAGGAATTACATCACTGGTTTGCAGATGAGGAAACTGACTCATATGGTTTCATTCAGCACTCATTCACTGTGAAAGTGTCTGTCAGGGCCAATTGTGGGCCAGATGTGCCCAGGGTTCTATAGCTAGCTGGTGGAAAGGCCTGAAGGGTTCATATTCAGGTCCACTTGACTTGAAAACTCATATTGACCTTACTTATGTACTAATTCCCACTTTACAATCCATGCCACAAACTTTGTTGTCTTAAGAAGTTGCCACAGCAGCCTTCAGCAGCCACCTTGTGATCAGTCAGCAGTCATCAACATTGAGGCAAGACCCTACTCCAGCAAAAACATTAGTATTAGCTGAAGCCTCAGATGACTGTTAGCATTTTTTAGCAGTAGTGTAATTTTTAATTAAGGTATGTACATATCTATTTTATACATAATGCTATTGTATACTTAATAGGCTAAAGTATAAATATAACTTTTATGTACACTACAAAAACAAAAAAATTGTGTGACTTGTTTTGTTTGCATGATCTGAAACCAAATCTGCAATCTCTCTGAGATATGTCTGTAATTTCCCTTTCCCTCTTCTTGCTGGCCCAGAATGACCTTGTTTCTTGTCCCTGTCTAGCCCTGCCTGTTACAGGGGTTTGCCTTCTCTGGTAGGTCTGGACACTTTGTATTCCCTGTAACCTTGCCTCCTGGCATATGACACTAGTACTAGCCTCAAGCTCTGTTGGATTAGCGAGCCTCACTCCACACCTCCTGAACTAGAACCAAAGCTCTGTGCACACACCATTCATGTGAGTCTGTAGAGATCTCAGCTTCCTGCAAGGTGTTCTGAAAGGATGTTCTGTTGTGACTGGAGGGCATAGCCACAGGTCTCTGGGCAGAGGTGGCTCAGAAAAGAGTGGGTGGCCCCAGTTTGGGTCATCTGGGAAGGGGAAGATTTTCAGATAAAAACCCATGCCTTAGAAGACAAAACTACCCAAGAGCTGGCAGCAGCTAACCAGCTTGCTATCTGGGATATCACTCTGCAGTGGGAGGGAAGATAGCCTCTACCATGGTGTAGGGGTCCAGGGACCAGGCAGGGAGGTCTTCCTAGTGGTCAGTGCTTCTCACAGTTGGGAGATGAATCACCTTTCGATGAGGCCAAAGACCTCATGTTCCTCACTAGCTGACTTGTTCCCACTCAGTGGAAAAAGAACCCAGAACCTTTGCAAAATTTTAGGAGAGAAGGACTTTCCCTCTTGTCTCTTAGTGCCAGGGTTATGCATGACTCATACTTGAATTGCAATGTGTACACAGCTTAAAGTCTTAATTATTAGAACATAAGAGGCCCAAACCACTGTTGTTATAGATATGTAAAACTATGCAGTACAAAATTAAACAACCCCCAACCAATTAAGAGTGGAGATAAATTATCAATATTTGTAAATTTAAAACAAGATCGACAGCCCTTTAGAAAAACAACAAAAAATGAGACTTTTGCAAGACAATCTAAATGATACGCTAATAACAAACCTTCATGAAAATGACATTTCGACCATCTGAGTTTCTGCTTTAAGTTACAAATTCCAAAAGGTACTAATCCCCAATAATTTACAGTAGGGAGCCCTAAGCCACAAAGAAAGGTGTCAGGGCACACCTGAGACCTGAAGTGAGAACATACCCTCCCTCAGGGTCACGAGTGAATCCTCTAAGACCCCTCCTCCCTCAGACACTCCATCCAGTCATCAGAAGGTCCACACAGCACTAAGACCCAACCACCTCACTGTCTTCACCTCCATGGAGAGAGCCCAGGTGACAGCCATGCCTGCTCCTCCTCCCTCATCTCCCACAGCCTCAGCACCATCGTCTGCCTCGAGTCCACCAGGACTGAGCTCCTCATGCCCTTTCCCTGTTTGTGTCAGTCACACTGGGTCCCCCATATACCCAGCACTTGCATCCCCACAAGGCTCCGCACGCTCTATTCTGTCCCCCCACCATGTCCCCTACCTAACTCCAGAAATCTTCCCTCTGTACTCCCTGGAATCTGGAATCCTCAGTCCATGATCAGCAAAACCTCCTCATTCTCTCTCAGGATGCTCCCTCACCTCGAAGCTCTAGCAGGAACCAGGTCTTCCTGAGGATGTGACCCGCTCTGAAGTTCCCCTACATGGGGGAGTTTCCCAGCAACTTATACCCCTGGGTTCAGAGGTGAGGTGGGGTCCTTGCTCTTCACTGTGGTTCTCAGACCTTTCTGCCTCCCTCCTCCCTAAAACCCCTAAGCTGTCATCAGACTAAGGCGCCGCTCCCCTCATTGTAGCCATTCCCTGTGGGCCCCAAGCCATTCCTGTCAATCCTAACTCTTGTAGCTCCTAGATCACTGTCACCCTCTCCAGCAGTGCTGTCTCCTTGATTCTTTCTGACTTCAACATATGCAGATGTGCTGGGCTGAGTACTAGTCCCCAAAGAGATCCAGTCTTAGTCCTTGGAGTCGGTGAACAGGTTGCATTGCATGGCAAAAGGGACATTACTCATGTAATGAAGATAAAGGACCTTAAAGTAGGGAGATCATCCTGGACTCTCTGTGTGGGCCCGATCAAATCACATGAGCCATTAAAAGGAGAGAATCTGCTCTAGATGGAGTCACATGCTGCAGAGAAGGAAGGCAGAGGAGACACAGCAAAGGGGAGATCAGTGGTTCCAAGCAGGAGGATTGGATGTGCTTTAGGCACCAGAGAGAAGTCTCTAGGATCTAAGGGTGCTCCCAAAAAGGAAGTGGGAAGCTCAGTTCTATCTGCAGGAAGTGAATTCAGACAAGAACCTGAATAAGCTTGGATGTGGACTCTTCCCCAGATTCTCCAGGAAGGAGCACAGACCTGCCCATACCTTGATCTTAGCCCCGTGAGACTGGGTGGACTTGCAACCCACACAACTGTGACATGATAATTAGGTGCTGTTTAAAGCTGCTTGGTTTGTGGTAATTTTTATGGCAGCAATAGACACCTATACAGCAGAGAAGATGCCCTCACTCCCTGGCCTCTCAGATCCTGGAACTCCTTTTCTTCATTACCATCTCCTCTCTCTGCCGGAATCTCAGGACCTTGTCCTCCCCTAGGCCTCATCATGGCAAAGAACCCCAGCCCTTCCACACTCTCAATCTCACACTTCCCACTCTCTGACCATCTTTCCACTCATCCCCTTGCAGGGTAGCCACAGGCTCTGAAGACACTGATGCTATAATTTGATCATATGCTATAATGTAACATCAGTGAACCACTCATTGCATGTGTGCCTGCTTTCCAGGCATGGAGTCCATTCTGTAGTACATCTATTCCAATAATTTTTCCACCCCCTTGAAATTCCCAATCCAGTGATGCTGCTATCTATTCCTTCTCCCTTAGTGTTTGTTGTCCTCTCCTCCCTCCTCATCCATTTTGGATTCTGTAGTAAATAATTTCCATCCCTCCCTTGCCTCTCCCTTTCGTTGTCACACTTGCCTGGCAAAACTACACAGCTAGTGGATTCCACCTCAGCCTACACTGCACCTGCCCCCATAAGCTGCAGGAGGCTGGAGAGCAGCACACAGCATGCTGACTGTTCTCTCTACATTCACGACCCAAACCTCATGGGGAGCCCCCACCATAGCCAGCAATCACCCTCTCCCTGCATGGCTCACTCTCAGCCTCCTCCTGGCCTGGGTGACTCTTACATACCTTCTCTCTGTCCTCACACATCCAATCTTCCTTCCCCATTCTTACTTCCGCTGATGATCTTGCTTCCTACTTCACTGAGAAAACTGAACACATTTAGAAGACAACTTCACAGATTCCACCACCGTCTGCTCATGCATTTGCAGCTGCACCACATGTCAGGCATTTTACTACATGGGGGATTGCTGTGTGTTAACCATCCTGCTCCCAGCCAGAGCCAGTTCCTCTGCTGGTGCCCTGAACATCATCCCTTCTCATCTACTTAAAGTGTTAGTTCATCAATTAATACCTTTTTTTTCCCTCTATTGTCATCCCTTTTCCTTTTATTCCAGTGGATCATTGTGGCACTCATGAGGATGCACATCCCAGGCCCTCAGGTAGAGGAAGAATAATTGATGATGTCCCAGCTGTCGCAGCCTGAAATCTATTGTCACATTTGATCTGAGACCACACCTGCCCCAGCTTTTTCCAACCAATGATTGACCAAAGCAGGAAAACTAAGGCAAGAATATTCCTACTCTGAAGGCTGGCTGAGGCTCCAGGACTCCCTGCCATCCCTACTGAGCTTCCCTTAGCCTACACAGGGTCTAGGATGCTTCCAGCTGACCTTCCTGCCCTCTCTCCTTCACTGGGACTCAGAGTTGCATTGTGATCTGATGGCTTTTCCAGCATTTCTGTCTCTATCCTGATTTTCTCTCACAACTATTTCCCCTAATAAATCCTTACACATTTAATACTGTATTGGGGTCTAAGTTCAGGACCGCAGCTATCACAAGTGGTATCAAGGGTGATCCATGAAAATGACCAAAACTGGAAATTTGAAATAAGCTTTCCCACTGCCTGTCAGGCCAAGAGGATGCCATCTAGGTTAGCGGGGGACAAAGAAAGTCCATAGAGAAGTTGCATCTGAGCTGCCGTGGGTCTCACCAGTGCTAACCTGAGAAGATGCTCTGGTTAGGGGAAGCTATGGCAGATGTGGTGATAGAATGCCCTGCACAATAATGATGGAGTTGGGGGTAAACCCACAAAGACAGTGGAGTTGGCTGGTTACTTCCCAGCTGTGTTGATGCTCTATAAAAGGATAATGAGAATCTGCAGGTTGTTAACAGCTGTCACTGGCTATGTGTGAGAGTCTCTGCAGTGTCTCATGGAGAGGCCTTTATCTCCTGGATCAAAAGAGCAGATAGCATGGAATGGTAGCTGAACATCATTATGGTGGGCACAGTGCTCCAGAGACGTTTGATACTCAGCCAACACAGGCCTTTTATAGGAAAGTCAGGGCCCTGGTGGGGGAACCTCAGATTCTGCAAACTAGAACAGAGTTATCTGATGGGTGCCCTCCTCCAGGAACCCCTGGGCATGCAGAGGAGGCTCACCCTTCTCTAGTAATCGTTCCCACTTCCTATGCTGAAAGATGCTACAGAAGCCTCACTCCTACGATGCAGCAGGAATCCCACTCAGGAGCTTTGCAGGAACTAGCCAGCATGTCCCCATAGGGGCCTGGGGTGCACTTCTGGGATTGGAATTTGAGGGCATTTGATCAATAAACTAGAATTTCAGTCTGGATGAATAAAAATCCTTTGGCTTGGAGGCACTTTCTCAGGACATGGGTTTATCAAAGAACCCAGGACATGGGGTAAACCCACTACTGGGGTGAGTCCATATAGACTGGAAAAAATGATGCCCAACTCTCAACAAGGTAGATATGACCTAGTTATCCTGGAACATGTAGAGGATGCAATAACAAGGCTGAGGGAAGTGGGCGTGATGAAGGCCCACCAGGACCATGCTCCACAAGAGGACCCAGAGGGCACACCTTCCACCAGAGCCTCAGGAACATGCTGTGGAGAGGGACCTGCATCACTAAGAAGTGTCGGGGTGTTATCCTCTGCAGGCTGGGGGGGATGATAGTAAAGGTCCCAGAGTTGTGCTTATTCATATCTCTGGGGAGAATGTGGGCCTGAAGAGACTGAGAACAAGTGGTGGCAGTGACCTGCAAAAGCCGGAGGGCATGGTTACCATGGCAACCTCAGAGGAGCAGCCAAGGGGACTCAAGCTGCAGGGAGTGTGGGGAAAGTTAGTAGAGAGGACACCAGGGTTACAAGAGGCAGCCAACAAGGGCACTGCTTGATATATATGATAAGAAAGCAAGAATTGAGGAGCAGGAGACTGAGGGTGTTCGACCAAATACAAAGCCATGATCCCCTTCTCAATGCCTAGACCTCAATCAAGATTCAGACTCAGATCTCAGTGACAGAGGAGGAGTCCATATCCCTAGAGAAAGGACCCTGGGACACCATGGAGATATATGGCTGGGACAATTCCCTCAGTCTTTCAGCAAGGGAACCTATAGCCATTTACTCAGGAGACTGTACATTGGGGAAGGGAAATAGGCAGAACTAGGGGGGATCATTTTCATTGCATGTAAGCTGATATTGATGCCCAGATGCCCACAGCACAATCATCTTCTCCATCACAGTGGGGCTTACGGAGGCCAGGGAGTAAACCTGGACACATTATGGCCCGCAATGGGACCACTGGATGCATAGACCCAACCCTGATTATCTTCCAATTCCCTGAGTGCATAATTGACACTGATGCTCTGGTAAGTGGAGTCACCCCCACACTGGGTCCCCAGTCTGTGGTATAAGGGATCTCTTGATGCCAAAGGCCAAAGGGAAACCTCTGAAACTGCCCCCATCCTGGCCAAATCAAAAATCATAGTGTGTCCCAGCGTGGGTCTTGTGAAGGACACTGCAAGTATTGTGGGGGTCACACCACCATTACAAAGCTGAAGGAGGCGGGGTGGTGTTGAGGCTGCCTATTGTCTCCGTGTAATCCAGCAATCTGTCCCTGAGGAAGCCTAGTGAGGCCTAAAGAATGAATGAGATTACTCCAGATATGGCCAAGTAGGAGTTATAAGTGCAGCTTTTGTGCTGTCTGGATATCACTGGTAGAGCAGATTAACAAAGCCTTGGGCACACAGTGTGCAGCTGTGGATTTGGTGAGTGCATTTCTTTCCATTCCAATTACAAAGGGGATATGGAGTGATTCACATTCATGTGGGATCCACAACACATTGAATTATAGTTTGCCTCAGGACTTTTGTAACTCCCCTGTCCTCTATAGTATAGTCTTATGACTATACTAGACATACTGGATATCCTAAAGGATATTAAATCAGCTCATTTCATTTACAACTTCATGTTGACTGGGGCGAATGAGCAGCAGGTAGAAAGTGCACTGGCATCGTTGGCAAAACATTTGCACTTCAGAAGGTGAAGATAAACCTTACAGAGCTTCAGGAAAGGTCACTGTAGTGAAGTTTTATGAGTCCAGTGTTTAGGGGAATGCCAGGGGTGTCCCCTCCTAGGTAAATTACAAAGTGTTGCATTTTGCATCCTTACTGCAAAAAAAGAAAGCACACTCTCCGGTGAGCCTCTTGGAGTTCTGACGACAGCACATTCCACATGTAGAAATGTTGCTTTGGCCCACACTCTAGGTGACATAGGAGGAGGCCAGCTTCAAGTGAGGCCTACACAGGAAAGCACCCTGCAGCAGATACAGGCTGCGGTGCAGCCACCATCCCTCAGACCTCTTGGTACTGGAAGGGGCAGGGGTGGGGAAAGATGCAGGATGGAGCTGAACCAAGCAGCAGTGGGAGAGTCATGGTGGAGGGCCTGGGATCTGGAGTAAGATCATGTCATCCACAGCAGAGACATGGCTCCCCATTAGAAGCAACTTTTAGTGTTCCTGGTCCTGATTCGATAGAATGCTTAACCACAGGACACCAAGCAACGATGTGATTCCAAGTACCTGTGTGAATTGGCTTCTGTGTGACCCAGAAAGTCATAGATTGGACAGGCCCAACAGCATTCATCATGAGGTGAAAATGGTCCACCTGGGTTGTGCTTGAATCCCATGTTGACACCCCCAGAAAACACCCAAGTCTGAAGCAGCACTGAACAACCAAACAGACAAATGGAAGTTAGCCAGCCTTCACTATGGGTCAATGCAGGCCTGGTAGGATGGGCACATGAATGGAGCAAGCACAGTGGCAGGCATGAGGCTACATATGGGGCCAGAAGTACTGACTCCCCATTATCAAGACAGATCCAGCTGCTGCCACCTCTGAATGTCCAACTCATCAGCATTTGAGGCCCACCATGTGCCCTAGTGGGGCACTATTTCTTTAGGTGACTAACTAGCCACTATGTAACAAGTTGACTACATTTAGCTACTTCCATCCTAGAAGGGCCTGAGGTTCATCTTCACAGGGGTAGGCTCATATTCCATGGGTGAGTTTTCCTGTCCTGCTCTCGGACACTCAGCCAGCACCACTCTCTGGGTGCTGTTGACATTCCTGATCCACAGGCTAGGTGGTGCTCCCAACCCAGTATCTGCCTGAAGGACCCACTTGGCAGGGAAAGTTCCAGTGTTTCCGTGGCTATGGGTTTCACTGATCTGATCACCATCTGCACCACCCAGGGGCTGCCAGCCACAAGGAATGCTGGAAATGTCTTCTACAGGCAAAACTCAGTGTCATCCTGGAGGAAGCACTCTGAGGGGTGGGGGCCGTTTTTCAGGACATGGTGCATTGTTTGAATCAGAGACATCTCTACGGTGCTGTGTTCTCAATAGGAAGAATATGTGGGTCTAGAAACCGAAAGTTGGAAGCAGGTTTGTCTCCATGTCCAGTCTCTTAGATTCACCCACTGGGGTATTTTGCACGTTTTATCTCCCAACTTTGGGCTGTTCAGGGCAGGAGGTCCTTAAAAAGAGACACATGACAGCCCATTGAACTACACATTATGGTTGTCACCAGAGAAGTTTGGACAGTATGTGCCCAGAGACCAGCTGGTGAGAAAAGGAGTCTCTTCCTCTCCAGGTGCAGGTAATAGATCCTGATCTCCAGGAGGAGGCATGGCTACTTTCACACAATGAGGGCAGAAGTGTGTGTGTGAGAACCAGAGATCTACTTGGGGGCCTTCTGGTTTGCCTTGTCCCTTTGTAAATGTGAGCAGAATCATCCAGCAATCCAGCCTGAGAGGATTTGATTTCCAAGGGCCCAGACCTCTCAGGACAGGAGGTTTGAGCCACACTCCTGGGTAATCACCCAAGGCCCCACTCCTGTGCTCTGACATCCTCAGTGTCATTGGTGCAGAGACCCTGCTTCCCATGGGCTGTTCCCAGCCAGTGATGGGTCACACCAGTGACACTGAGGCAGGACATTCCTGGGAGACCAGGGACTCCTCTGACGGACAGCAGTGGCTCAAAGACTCCTCCATGGCTTTGCTCAACTCTCCTGAGATTGCCTGTGGTCTAGGACACATCCAGTAAACCTTCTGTCCTTCTGTCCATCACTGGGGGTCACATTTGCATCTTGGTCTGTTGCCTTTCCCAGGGTAACCTGCCTCCGTTGCTATATCTCTGACAGGTGTGTCCCCTAATAAAATCCTGTAACTTTAATCCCATGATGGCACTTGGAATGCAAAATCATTTTCATCTGCACACCAGTGACCTCTTACTTACTCCAATTTGTAAAATCCTTTTGTTTGTTCAACTTCTACCTGCATTGGCTCCATTTTGCTAGTATTTGTATTATGCTTTTGAGATAGTCGATGTTTGTTGCTTTAAGTCACTAAATTTGGGGGTAGTTTGTTATACAGCAATGGATAACTAATGAAGCCCTCTTACATTTCTGTTATTCTATAGAGGTTAAATACATCCGTTTTATTTCCTCCCATTTTGATAATATTAGCCATATATTGGGTTCCTAGTTTCTCTACGCCTGTTTTTTTCTTTATTTTCGTTTCTTTTCTCCTTTATTCCTTCCCTTTCTTCTCACTTCTATCTCTCCCTCCCTCTCTTTCTTTTCTATTTCCATTTGCCCTCCCTCCCTCCTTCTCTTCCCCTTCCTTCTTTGCTTCCTTCACTCCTCTCTCCTTCTTTCTCTCCTTTCCTCCATTTTTTTCTTTTTTATTATGACATATTCTGACATATAAAATAACCCTATGTGTTTGTACTATAAGGAAACATTTTCTGAATCTATATGTTAAAAGTATAAAGCCATGGTATATAGGATACAAGTTAACAACAGGAAGTTATTAACAGAGTCTGAATAAGAATGCCTGCTATAGGCTGGGCATGGTGACTCATGCCTGTAATCCCAGCACTTTGGGAGGCCTAGACGGGCGGATCACGAGGTCAGGGGATAGAGACCATCCTGGCTAACACGGTGAAACCCTGTCTTTACTAAAAATACAAAAAAAAAATTAGCCGGTGTGGTGGCGGGCACCTGTAGCCCCAGCTACTCAAGAGGCTGAGGCGGGAGAATGGCGTGAACCCAGGAGGTGGAGCTTGCAGTGAACCGAGATTGTGCCACTGCACTCCAGCCTGGGCGACAGAGCAAGACTCCGTCAAAAAAAAAATCTGCTATAATTCTGCAGCCAAGGCAGTTGCTATTAACTCTTAATTCCTTCAACTCAGTGTTTTCAGAACACATCAACATCACATATTACACATTTATTGTAAAAGCTTAAGTTGGCACAATTACTTTGGAAATCATATTATCATTATTTAGTATGGTTAAAGGCCATACAACATATCATCCAACCATCCCACTCCTAATCATACACTCTGGCGGCTTTCTCGCCTATGTGCCCAGGAGACATGCACACTAATGTTTATGGCAAAAACTGGAATCAGCCTCCTATACATCAATAGCAAAGTAGTGAAATTGTGGTATAACCATAAAATGTAAACCTTCAGCAGTAAAAATGAGTGAATGACAGCCTCCCACACAACAGATAACTCCTATACATAATGTGCATCATGAGAAAAGAAATGTAGTAGGAATTTCTGTACAGGAAGCTTAAAAACCAGTGAAACTAATATTTGGTTTGAGATTATATATACTTATTGTACAAATATTTAAAGAAATACAAAGTAATAATAAAAACAAGACTCAGGATGGGGTCTCATTCTGGGGGATGTGATTGGGCAGCAGCCCAGGGTGGCTTTGCGGGTTCTGTGTCTTATGCCAGTGCTGGGAACCCAGGTAACTACTAGATTATAACTCCTTAAACAGTATTTTTCAAACTAAAATATACCTGTTTCTTAAAAAATGAAAGAAAAAAATATCAAAGTTCATTGCAAGGATCCTTAACAAGAACTACTTACATTGGAAGAAAGCCACAGAGAATTGTAAGGAGCCACATGACAGAGAGGCTCCTTACAGGATGCCATGACAATACCCTTGGCTAAAGGGCCATATGATCCTTGGCTCACAGGCATCTCTCTAGATTTTCAGGTATACAAGATTCAATCTGATGTGCAAGGTAATTCCATTTTGCAAAGGATTTGATTTGTTACATATTCCACACATACAACTGAATTAAACTTTTACAGAATTGGAAATGCACATCATTGATCAAAATAGATGAAACAATAAAAGAGTATAAAGGAACAACCAGTGATGGAATAGCAAATATGAATGGAAAACACAACAGGATTGCTCAAAAAAACTTGAAAGCACAAAATTGCAGTGCCATTTAGAATCATAGTGGTGTCCAAATCACTTCTATCGTATCTGATTCAATACCAGAACAAAAGATGTTAAGTTTATTATAGAATGCTCACCAAATAGCCAGTTTTTGAAAAATCTTATGCCTCAGTTGGAGCTAACCATTTTGGGCTACTGCATCCAACCAAAGCTATTGACATCTTGCTAAGCTAGATGTGTTAACTGAGGTATGAGATTCACATTTTTGTAAATTAAAACCAATTAGGCAAATTTTTTAAAGTGAAATCAAGTTTATGAGAGAAGTAAGGAAACAAAAGAATGGCTACTCAATAGACACAACAGCCCTTTTTTTTAAGTGTAGGCAAATGTTTTTTGAAGATGATATTTCAATAAGAAAATTGGCACTTGGGGCATACTTCAACTAAATGTGAGACACCTTAGTTGAAACAAAGACTTATTTTCAAGTCATTATTTTTACGGCACAGAAGTCTTTGGAATATTTGCTCTAGTTACTCTGGGTTCTCAACTGTTGACTCATTGAAGAGAATATTGTTATTAAAGGTATTTGCAAGAAAAACTCAGACATACTATTGTATCCTCTTTCTCTGTCTCAAACAGTTTTCGCCACAACACCCAAGGCTCTGTGATGTCTCAAACTTTTAATCATTAATTTAAAAAGAGAAGCTTATCACAGAATTAGAAGAAACTATTTTAAAATTCATATGGAACCAAAAAAGAGCTCATATAGCCCGGACAATCCTACACAAAAAGAACAAAGCAGGCGGCCTCAGACTACCTGATTTCAAACTATACTACAGGCTACAGTAACCAAAACAGCATGGTAATAGACTAATGGAAGAGAGTAGAGAACTCAGAAATAAAACCGCATATCTAAAACCATCTGATCTTCAACAAACCTGATGAAAACAAGCAACAGGGAAATGATTCCATATTTAATAAATGATGTTGGGAAAACGGGCTAGCCATTTGCAGAAAACTGAAACTGGACCCCTTCCTTACATCTTACACAAAAATTAACTCTAGATGGATTAAAGACCTAAATGTAAAACCCAAAACTATAAAAACCCAAGAAGAAAATCTAGGCAATACCATTTGCCTGGGCATGGGCAAAGATTTTATGATGAAATCGCCAAAAGCATCTGCCACAAAAGCAAAAACTGACAAATGGGATCTAATTAAACTAAAGAGCTTCTGCACAGGAAAAGACACTGTGATCAGAGTGAACAGACAACCTACAGAATGAAAGAAAATTTTTGTAATCTATCCATCTGACAAAGATCTAATATCCACAATCTACAAGGAAATTAAGCAAATTTACAAGAAAATAACAAACAACCCCATTAAAAAGTGGGCAAATGACATGAACAGACACTTCTCAAAAGAAGACATACATGTGGCCAACAAACATATGAAAAAAAGCTCATCATCACTGGTCATTAGAGAAATGCAAATCAAAACCACAATGAGATACCATCTCATGCCAGTCAGAATGGTGATTATTAAAAAGTCAAGAAACAACAGATACTGGCAAGGTTGCAGGGAAATAGGAATGCTTTAACTGTTGGTGGGAATGTAAATTAGTTCAACCATTGTGGAAGACAATATGACGATTCCTCAAAGATCTAGAACTAGAAATACCATTTGACCCAGCAATCCCATTACTGGGTATATACCCAAAGAAATATAAATCATTCTATTATAAAGTTACATCCATGTGTATGTTCATTGCAGCACCACTCACAATAGCAAAGACATGGAATCAACCTAAATGCGCATCAACAATAGACTGGATAAAGAAAACATATGACATGTACACCATGGAATACTATGCAGCCTTAAAAAGGAAGGAGATCATGTTTTGCAGGGACATGGAAAAAGCTGGAAGCCATTATCCTCAACAAACTAATGCAGAAACAGAAAAACAAACACTGCATGTTCTCACTGATAATTGGGAGCTGAGCAATGAGAATCCATGGGCACTGGGAGGGGAACACTGTGTCCTTTTGGGGGGGGGGCAGAGGTGGGGTGCGCATTAGGAAAAATAGCTCATTCATGCTAGGCTTAATACCTAGGTGCTGGGTTGATAAGTGTAGCAAAACACCATGGCACACGTTTACCTATGTAACAAATCTGCACATCCTGCATATGTACCCTGAAACTTAAAATAAAAATTAAAAAGAAGCTTAAAGCATTAAAGAAAAATAATCACATGAAAGAAGCATTTGATTTACAAAATCCTGAAATAATAATTTTAATTTTGCTTTCAACATGTATGCAAATCCCTTGATACTCCTCCCTTCCAATGGTGCAGCTTAATTCCTTCCCTGTGAGTTCGGCTTGGACTTAATGATGCACTTCTGATATGGCCTCACCCTGTGTCCCCACCCAAACTCATCTTGAATTGTAATCCCCACGTGCTAGGGGAAAGACATGGTGGGAAGTGATTAGATCATGGGGATGGTTCCCTCATGCTGTTCTCATGATAGTGAGTGAGTTCTATGAGATCTGATGGTTTTGCAAGAGTCTTCCCTGCCACCCCCGCCCCCGACAACCTTGCATTTCTCTCTCCCACCACCATGTGAAGAATGACATGCTTCCTTCCCCTTCTGCCATGATTGTAAATTTCCTGAGGCCACCTCTTCAGTCATGCAGAACTGTGAGTCAATTAAACCTCTTTCCTTTATAAATTACCCAGTCTCAGGTATTTCTTTATAGCAGTGTGAGAACAGACAAATACAACTTCTAACTGATAGAGTAGTGCTGATATAACAGTTTTTGACTCTGGGTGTAGAACATAAAACTCACTGCAGCTTCTCTCTCTCTGTCTCTGGGATCATGAGCTCTGGGGGAAGCCAACTGCTGTGCCATAAGCAGCCCTGCAGGAAGGTCCATGTGGCTAAAAACTGAGGCCTCCTGGGACCGGACAACAAGGAACCATGTGAGTGAGCCATGTTTCTTGTAAATCCCAAGCCCTAGTGAAGCTCTCAGATGATGCAGCCCTGGACTGGACTGTAACCTTGTGAGAGGCTCTGAGCCAGAAGCACTCAGGGAAACCTTGCTCCTGGATTCCTGACCATTGGAAACTGCGGTAGATGATGTTTGTTGTTTTGCGCTGCTAAGTTTTATGTAATTTGTTATGCAATAGTAAATAACTAATACATTTTCATAAGAGAGGATGATTTATTGCACTTCAATTTTCATTTGCTCTAAATTTATGATCATGATTATTACTATTTTTGAGACAGCATCTTGCTCTGTCACAGAGGCTAGAGTGCAGTGGCATGTTCACCATTCACTGCTGTGTTGACTTCCTGTGCTCAAATATCCTCTGACCTCAGCCTCCTGAGTAGCTGGCTGGGACTACAGGCATGAACCACCATGCCTGGATAATACTCTAATGTTTTTGTAGAGATGGAGGTTTCACCATGTTGCCCAGGCTGATCTCAAACTCTTGGAGTCAATGGATCTGCCTTCCTCTGCCCGCCACAGTGCTAGGATTGTAGGTGCCAGCCACCACACCTGGCATGAATTAATTATAAGCTATTAAACCTGTCACTTGATTTTAAGAGGTAAGGTGAATCTCCATGGCTGAAGAGGATGTATTTTATTATCATTCACAATGATCGCTTTACTTGAACTTCAATTTCCAACTGTGTCACAATTAAACACAAAAGGAAAATCCAACCCTTGCTAGGCTGATTCTATAATAGTCCCAACAACCACCTCCTGGTCATCCACCTTCCCCCAATTATTCAACCAACTCTACTGTAGGTGCTGCTGTGAAGGGATTTAGCAGATATAATCAAGGTCCTCAATCAGTTGACTTGAGGCTGGGTTTAGCCTGCTTGGACACTCCTAATCAGGTGAGCCCATGAAAGGACTGGGTTCTTCCTGAGCATAGAGATTCACAGTGTGAGAGGGATTCAGTGTGAGGGGTTTCCTCCACTGTGGGCTTTGAAATTGAAGGGGCTGACTAGAAAAGAATGCTGTTTGGCTCCAGGCATTGAGCACAGCCCTCCCTCCTCTCTACCTTGACAGCTAGCAGGGAACAGGAAACTCAGTCTTAACGACTGTCAGAAACTGAATTCTGCCGCCTCTATATATGCTTGAAGGAGGATTCAAAATGAAAACACAGCTTTGGGAAGCCCTGAATAGAGACCCCGTCTACATCATGCCTGGATTTCTGCCTAAAGAACTGTAAACAGATCAGTGGATGTTGTTTGGGCAGGTGTGGTAGCACACACCTGCAATCCTAACATTTGAGGGGCTTACACAGGAGGATCACTTACACTCAGGAATTTGAGACCAGCCTGGGTAATGCAATGAGACCCTCATCTCTACAATTTTTTTTTAATTAGCTGGGCGTGGTGGCATTTGCCTGTAGTTCTAGTTACTCTGAAGACTGAGCCAGGAGGATCCTTTGAGCCCAGGATTTCAAGGCTGCAGTGAGCCATGACTGTGTGACTGCACTTCAAAATGGATGAGAGAAAGAGACCATTTCTCTAAAAATAAATGAATTAATTAAATAAATGGGTATTGTTTAAAGCCAATATTTGTGATAATTTGTTATGCAGTCATAAAATTCGTACAGTCTCAACAGACAAATGGAATGAATTTATGAATTGATATGCACACTAGTTACATAAAATAAAAACTTTCTCAATCTTTTCCAGTATTGTTTATTTTATAATTTTCTGTGATGAAATTAAATTTTAATACACTCATATTTCATTTATTCAGTCAACAAAAATTAATTTGGGGAATAGGAACAGCTCCAGTCTACAGCTCCCAGGGTGAGCAATGCAGAAGACGAATGATTTCTGCATTTCCAACTGAGGTACCAGGTTCATCTCACTGGGGACTGTCAGACAGTGGGTGCAGGACAGTGGGTGCAGTGCACCAAGTGTGAGCCAAAGCAGGGCGAGGCCACGCCTCACCCAGGAAGCGCAAGGGGTCAGGGAATTCCCTTTCCTAGCCAAGGAAAGGGGTGACAGATGGCACCTGGAAAATTAGGTCACTCCCACCCTAATACTGCACTTTTCCTATGGTCTTAGCAAACGGCACACCGAGAGATTATATCCCATGCCTGGCTCGCAGGGTCCTACACCCACAGAGCCTCGCTCATTGCCAGCACAGCAGTCTGAGATCAAACTGCAAGGCGGCAGCAAGGCTGGGGGAGGGGTGCCCGCCATTGCTGAGGCTTGAGTAGGTAAACAAAGCGGCCAGGAAGCTCGAGCTGGGTGGAGCCCACACAGCTCAAGGAGGCCTGCCTGCCTCTGTAGACTCCACCTCTGGGGGCAGGGCATAGCCAAACAAAAGGCAGCAGAAACCTCTGCAGACTTAAATGTCCCTGTCTGACAGCTTTGAAGACAGTAGTGGTTCTCCCGCATGCAGCTTGAGATCTGAGAACAGACAGACTGCCTCCTCAAGTGGGTCCCTGACTCCCAAGTAGCCTGACTGGGAGGCACCCCCCAGTAGGGGCAGACTGACACGTCACACGGCCGAGTACTCCTCTGAGACAAAATCTCCAGAGGAAAGATCAGGCAGCAACATTTGCTGTTCACCAATATGCATTGTTCTGCAGCCTCCGCTGCTGATACCCAGGCAAACAGGGTCTGTAGTGGACCTCCAGCAAACTCCAACAGACCTGCAGCTGAGGGTCCTGACTGTCAGAAGGAAAACTAACAAACAGAAAGGACATCCACACCAAAACCCCATCTGTACGTCACCATCATCAAAGACCAAAGGTAGATAAATCCACAAAGACGGGGAAAAAACAGAGCAGAAAAACTGAAAATTCTAAAAATCAGAGTGCCTCTCCTCCTCCAAAGGAATGCAGCTACTCACTAGCAATGGAACAAAGCTGGAAGGAGAATGACTCTGATGAGTTGAGAGAAGAAGGCTTCAGACGATCAAACTTCTCCGAGCTAAAGGAGGAAGTTCGAACCCATGACAAAGAAGTTAAAAACCTTGAAAAAAGATGAGATGAATGGCTAACTAGAATAACCAATGCAGAGAAGTCCTTAAAGGACCTGATGGAGCTGAAAACTACGGCACGAGAACTAAGTGATGAATGCACAAGCTTCAGTAGCTGATTCGATCAACTGGAAGAAAGGTTATCAGTGATGGAAGATCAAATGAATGAAATGAAGTGAGAAGAGAAGTTTAGAGAAAAAAGAATAAAAAGAAATGAACAAAGCCTCCAAGAAATATGGGACTATGTGAAAAGACCAAATCTGCATCTGATTGGTGTACCTGCAAGTGACGGAGAGAATGGAACCAAGTTGGAAAACACTCTGCAGGATATTATCCAGGAGAACTTCCCCAATCTAGCAAGGCAGGCCAACATTCAAATTCAGGAAATAGAGAGAACACAACAAAGATACTCCTCAAGAAGAGCAACTCCAAGACACATAATTGTCAGATTCACCAAAGTTGAAATTAAGGAAAAAATGTTAAGGAAAGACAGAGAGAAAGGTCGGGCTACCCACAAAGGGAAACCCATCAGACTAACAGCTGATCTCTCGGCAGAAACTCTACAAGGCAGAAGAGAGTAGGGGCCAATATTCAACTTTCTTAAAGAAAAGAATTTTCAGCCCAGAATTTCAAATCCAGCCAAACTAAGCTTTGTAAGTGAAGGAGAAATAAAATCCTTGACAGACAAGCAAATCCTGAGAGATTTTGTCACCACCAGGCCTGCCTTACAAGAGATCCTGAAGGAAGCACTAAACATGGAAAGGAACAACTGGTACCAGCCACTGCAAAAACATGCCAAATAGTAAAGACCATTGAGGCTAGGAAGAAACTGCATCAACTAATGAGCAAAATAACCAGCTAACATCATAATGACAGGATCAAATTCACACATAACAATATTAACCTTAAATGTAAATGGGCTAAATGCTCCAATTAAAAGACACAGACTGGCAAATTGGATAAAGAGTCAAGACCCATCAGTGTGCTGTATTCAGGAAACCCATCTCACGTGCAGAGACACACATAGGCTCAAAATAAAGGGATGGAGGAAGATCTACCAAGCAAATGGAAAACAAAAAAAGGCAGGGGTTGCAATCCTACTCTCTGATAAAACAGACTTTAAACCAACAAAGATCAAAAGAGACAAAGAAGGCCAATACATAATGGTAAAGGGATCAATTCAATGAGAAGAGCTAACTATCCTAAATATATATGCACCCAATACAGGAGCACCCAGATTCATAAAGCAAGTCCGTAGAGACATATAAAGAGACTTAGACTCCCACACAATAGTAATGGGAAACTTTAACACCCCACTGTCAACATCGGACAGATCAATGAGACAGAAAGTTAACAAAGATATCCAGGAATTGAACTCAGCTCTGCACCAAGCAGACCTAATAGACATCTACAGAACTCTCCACCCCAAATCAACAGAATATACATTCTTCTCAGCACCACACCGCACTTATTCCAAAACTGACCACATAGTTGGAAGTAAAGCACTCCTCAGCAAATGTAAAAGAACAGAAATTATAACAAACTGTCTCTCAGACCACAGTGCAATCAAACTAGAACTCAGGATTAAGAAACTCACTCAAAACTGCTCAACCACATGGAAACTGAACAACCTGCTCCTGAATGACTACTGGGTACATAATGAAAGGAAGGCAGAAATAAAGAGGTTCTTTGAAACCAACGAGAACAAAGACACAACATACCAGAATCTCTGGGATGCATTCAAAGCAGTGTGTAAAGGGAAATTTATAGCACTAAATGCCCACAACAGAAAGTAGGAAAGATCTAAAATCGACACCCTAACATCACAATTAAAAGAACTAGAGAAGCAAGAGCAATCACATTCAAAAGCTAGCAGAAGGCAAGAAATAACCAAGATCAGGGCAGAACTGAAGGAGATAGAGACACAAAAAACCCTTCAAAAAATCAATGAATCCAGGAGCTGATTTTTTGAAAAGACCAACAAAATTGATAGACCGCTAGCAAGACTAATAAAGAGAGAAGAATCAAATAGATGCAATAAAAATGATAAAGGGGATATCACCACCAATCCCACAGAAATACAAACTACCATCAGAGAATACTATAAACACCTCTATGCAAATAAACTAGAAAATCTAGAAGAAATGGATAAATTCCTCGACGCATACACCCTCCCAAGACTAAACCAGGAAGAAGTTGAATCTCTGAATATACCAATAACAGGCTCTGAAATTGAGGCAATAATTAATAGCTTACCAACCAAAAATAGTCCAGGACCAGATGGATTCACAGCCGAATTCTACCAGAGGTACAAGGAGGAGCTGGTACCATTCCTTCTGAAACTATTCTAATCAATAGAAAAAGAGAGAATCCTCCCTAACTCATTTTATGAGGCCAGCATCATCCTGATAGCAAAGCCGGGCAGAGACACAACAAAAAAAGAGAATTTTCGACCAATATCCCTGATGAACATAGATGCAAAAATCCTCAATAAAATACTGGCAAACCGAATCCAGCAGCACATCAAAAAGCTTATCCACCATGATCAAGTGGGCTTCATCCCTGGGATGCAAGGCTGGTTCAACATACGAAAATCAATAAACATAATCCAGCATTTAAAGAGAACCAACGACAAAAACCACATGATTATCTCAATAGATGCAAAAAAGGCCTTTGACAAAATTCAACAACCTTCATGCTAAAAACTCTCAATAAATTAAGTATTGATGGGACGTATCTCAAAATAATAAGAGCTATCTATGACAAACCCACAGCCAATATCATACTGAATGGGCAAAAACTGGAAGCATTCCCTTTGAAAACTGGCACAAGACAGGGATGCCCTCTCTCATCACTCCTATTCAACATAGTGTTGGAAGTTCTGGCCAGGGCAATTAGGCAGGAGAAGGAAATAAAGGGTATTCAATTAGGAAAAGAGGAAGTAAAATTGTCCCTGTTTGCAGATGACACGACTGTATGTCTAGAAAACCCCATCATCTCAGCCCAAAATCTCCTTAAGCTGATAAGCAACTTCAGCAAAGTCTCAGGATACAAAATCAATGTGCAAAAATCACAAGCATTCTTACACACCAATAACAGACAGACAGCCAAATCATGAGTGAACTCCCATTCAAAATTGCTACAAAGAGAATAAAATACCTAGGAATCCAACTTACAAGGGATGTGAAGGACCTCTTCAAGGAGAACTACAAACCTGCTCAATGAAATAAAAGAGGATATAAACAAATGGAAGAACATTCCACGTTCATGGATAGGAAGAATCCATATCATGAAAATGGCCACACTGCCCAAGGTAATTTATAGATTCAATGCCATCCCCATCAAGCTACCAATGACTTTCTTCACAGAATTGGAAAAAACTACTTTAAAGTTCATATGGAACCAAAAAAGAGACCACATTGCCAAGAGAATCCTAAGCCAAAAGAACAAAGCTGGAGGCATGACGCTACCTGACTTCAAACTATACTACAAGGCTGCAGTAACCAAAACAGTATGGTACTGGTACCAAAACAGAGATACAGACCAATGGAACAGAACAGAGGCCTCAGAAGTAACACCACACATCTACAATCATCTGATCTTTGACAAACCTGACAGAAACAAGCAATAGGGAAAGGTGCTGGGAAACTTAATAAATGGTGCTGGGAAAACTGGCTAGCCACATGTAGAAAGCTGAAACTGGATCCCTTCCTTACAACTTACACAGAAATTAATTCCAGATGGATTAAAGACTTCAATGTTAGACCTAAAACCATAAAACCCAAAAGAAAACCTAGGCAATACCACTTAGGAAATCAGCATGGGCAAGGATTTCGTGACTAAAACACCAAAAGCAATGGCAACAAAAGCCAAATTAGACAAATGGGATCTAATTAAACTAAAAAGCTTCTGCACAGCAAAAGAAACTACCATCAGAGTGAACAGGCAACCTACAGAATGGGAGAAAATTTTTGCAGTCTACCCATCAAACAACCCCATAAAAAGTGGGCAAAGGATATGAACAGGCACTTCTCAAAAGAAGACATTTATGCAGCCAACAGACACATGAAAAAATGCTCATCATCACTGGCCATCAGAGAAATGCAAATCAAAACCACAATGAGATACCATCTCACACCAGTTAGAATGGCGATCATTAAAAAGTCAGGAAACAACAGGTGCTGGAGAGGATGTGGAGAAACAGGAACACTTTTACACTGTTGGTGGGACTGTAAACTAGTTCAACCATTGTGGAAGACAGTGTGGCAATTCCTGAAGGATCTAGAACTAGAAATACCATTTGACCCAGCCATCCCATTACTGGGTATATGCCCAACGGATTATAAATCACGCTACTATAAAGACACATGCACATGTATGTTTATTGTGGCACTATTCACAATAGCAAAGAATTGGAACCAACCCAAATGTCCATCAATGATAGACTAGATTAAGAAAATGTGGCACATATACACCATGGAATACTATGCAGCCATAAAAAGGATGAGTTCATGTCCTTTGTAGTGACATGGATGAAGCAGGAAACCATCATTCTGAGCAAACTATCGCGAAGACAGAAAATCAAACAGCGCATGTTCTCACTCATAGGTGAATTGAACAATGAGAACACTTGGACACAGGGTGGGGAACATCACACACTGGGGCCTGTCGTCAGGTGGCGGGATGGGGGAAGGATAGCATTAGGAGAAATACCTAATGTAAATGACTAGTTAAAGAGGGCAGCAAACCAACAGGGCACATGCATACATATGTGACAAACCTGCACGTTATGCACATGTACCATAGAACTTAAAGTATAATTTTAAAAAAATGTAAGAGAAAAGAATACCAAAGTTAATTGCAAGGATCCTTAATAAGAACTACTTACATTGGAAGCAAACCACAGAGAATTGTAAGGAGTCATGTGACAGAGAGGACCAGGATGCCATGAAAATGGACTTGGCTAAAAATAGGTCATTTAACCCTTGGCTGACTGGCATCTCTCTAGATTTTCAGTTATACAATGTTCAATCTGCTGTGCAAGGTAATTCCATCTTGCAAAGGATTTGATGTTACATTCTACCACACATACAACTGAATTAAACTTTTACGGAATTGGAAATGCAAATAATTGATCAAAATAAATCAAACAAGAAAAGAATAGGAAGGAATAACCAGTGATGGAATATCAAATATGAATGGAAAACAGAATAGGACTGATAAAAAGAAAAAAAGCTTCAGAAGCACATAATAGCCGTGTTATTTAGAATCATAGTGGTGTGCAAATGACTTCTATCACATCTCATTCAATACCAGAGCAAAAGATGTTAAGTTTATTATGTAATGCCCACCAAATAGCTAGCTTTTGAAAAAAACTTGTTTCTCAATTTGAGCTAACCATTTCAGGCTACTGCATCAAACCAAAGTTATTGGCATCATGCTAAGCTAGATGTGTTGACTGAAGTATGAGATTCACACTTTTGTAAATGAAAAGCAATTTGATTAGGCAATGTTTTCCTAAGTGAAAGCAAGTTATTAGAGAAGTAAAGAAACAAAAGAATGGCTACTCCATATAGCGGAGTTTTTGTTTTTTTTTTTAAGTGTAGGCAAATGTTTAGTGAAGATGATATTTCAATAAGAAAATTGGTGCTTGGGACGTGCTTCCACTAAATTTGAGATATCTTAGACAAAACAAAGTCTTATTTTCAAGACATTATTTTTATCAGACTGAAGTCTTGGAACTATTTGATCTAGTTACTCTATGTTCTCAACTGTGTTAACTAATTGAAAACAACATTGTTATTAAAGGTATTCACAAGAAAAATTCAGAGTTACTGTTGCATATCCTTTCTCTGTTTCAAACTGTTTTCTCCTAAGCACCCAAGGCTCTGTGATGTCTGAAACAGTTAATCATTAATTTTAAAAGATAAGCTTATCGTGGAATTAGAAAAAAAAACTATTTTAAAATTCATATGGATCCAATAAGAGCTCATATAGCAAAGAGAATACTAAGCAAAAAGAACAAAGCTGGAGGCAGCACACTACCCCACTTAAAAGTATACTGTGAGGCTACAGTAAACAAAACAGCATGATACTGGTACAAAAACAGGCACATAGACCAATGGAACAGAATAGAGAATTCACAAAAAAAGTCCGCACATCTACAACCATTTGATCTTCAACAAACCTGACAAAAACAAGCAACGGGGAAAGGATTCCCTATTTAATAAATGGTGATGGGAGAACTGGCTAGCCATATGCAGAAAATTGAAACTAGACCCCTTCCTTACACCTTACACAAAAATTAACTCAAGATAGATTAAAGACTTAAATGTAAAACACAAAATTATAAAAACCCTGAAAGAAAATCTAGGCAATACCATTCAGGACACAGGCATGGGCAAAGATTTTATGATGAAATCGCCAAGAGCATCTGCCACAAAAGCAAAAATTGGCATATGGGATCTAATTAAACAAAAGAGCATCTGCACAGAAAAAGAAACTATCAGAGTGAACAGACACCCTACAGAATGGGAGAAAATTTTTGCAATCTATCTATCTTACAAAGGTCTAATATTCAGAATCTATAAAGAACTTAAGCAAATTTACATGAAAAAAACTTCATTAAAAAGTGAACAAAGGACATGAAGAGACATTTCACAAAATAAGATGTACATGTGGCCAAAAAAACATGAAAAAAAGCTCAACATCACTGATTACAGAAATGCAAATCAAAACCACAAATGAGATACCATCTAATGCCAGTCAGAATGGCAATTATTTAAAACTACATAAACACCAGATGCTGGCGAGGTTGTGGAGAAATAGGAAGGCTTTTACACTGTTGCTGGAAATGTAAATTGGTTGAACCATTGTGGAAGACAGTTTGGTGATTCCTCAAAGATTTAGAACCAGAAATACCATTTGACCCAGCAATCCCATTACAGGGTATACATCCAAAGGAAAATAAATCACTCTATTATAAAGATACATGCATGTGTATGCTTATTGCAGCACTATCCACAATAGCAAAGACATGGAATCAGCCCAAATGCCCATCAATGATGTACTGCATTAAGAAAATATGGTACATATACACCATGGAATATTATGCAGCCACAAAAAGGAATGAGATTCAGTCTTTTGCAGGGATATGGATGAAGCTGGAAGCCATCCTCAGCAAACTAACACAGGAACAGAAAGCCAAACACCACATGTTCTCACTTATAATTGGGAGATGAGCAATGAGAACACATGGACACAAGGAGAGGAACATCACACACTGGTGCCTGCTGGGGGAGGGCAGTGGTGGGAGGAGTATTAGGAAAAAATAGCTAATGCATGCCAGGGTTAATACATAGGTGATGGTTTGATAGGTGCAGCAAACCACCATGGCACACATTTACCTATGTAACAAACCTGCGCATCCTGCACACATAACCTGGAACTTAAAATTAAATTAAATTAAAAGACAAGCTAAAAGGGTTAACGAAAAATAATTAGATAAAAAAATTTTGATTTTCAAAATCCTGAAACAAGAGTTTTAAATTTGCTTTTAATATATATTCAAATCCTTTAATACTGTTCCCTTCCAGAGATGCTGCTTAATTTCCTCTCTTGAGTGTGGCTGGGACTTAATGATGCATTTCTGATATGGTCTGGCTCTGAGTTCCCACCAAATTCTCATCTTGAATTGTCATGCAAATTGTAATCCCTATGTATCGGGGGAGGGACCTCCTGGGAGGTGATTGGATCACGGGTATGGTACCCCCATGCTGCTCTTATGATGCTGAGGGAATTCTCATGAGATCTGATGGTTTTATGAGGTATTTTTCCCCACTTCGATCTGCAATTCTCTCTCCTGCCACCATGTGAAGAAGGACGTGTTTGCCTCCACTTCTGCCATGATTGTAAGTTTCATGGGGCAGCCTTCTCAGCAATGCAGAACTATGAGTCAATTAAACCTCTTTCCTTTATAAATTACCCAGTCTCAGGTATTTCTTTATAGCAATGTGAGAACGGACTAATACAACTTCTAACTGGTAATGCTGACATAAGAGTTTGTGACTCTGGGTGTAGAACATAAAACTCACTGCAGCCTCCCCCTTCTCTCTCAATGTCTCTGGAATCATGAGCTCTGGGGGAAGCCACCTGCTGTGCCATAAGCAGCCCTGAAGGAAGGTCCATGTGGCTGAGAACTGGGGCCTTCTGGGAACAGAAAACAAGGAACTAGGGCTTTTCCAACAGCCATGTGACCCATCCATGTTTCATGTGAATCCTCAGTCCCAGTGAAGCACTCAGATGATGCAGGCCTAGGCTGACAACTGGACTGCAACCTTGTGAGAGGCCCTGAGCAAGAAGCACTCAGGGAAACCTCTCCTGGATTCCTGACCATTGGAACCTGCGGGAGATGATGAATATTTGCCATTTTGAGCTGCTAAGTTTTACATAATTTGTTATGCAATAGTAAATAACTAACACATTTTCACAAAAGAGGATGTAGTATTACACATTAATTTGCATTTGCTCTAAATTTATCATTATTATTAATATTATTGTTATTGAGACAGGGTCTCGCTCTGTCGCCCAGGCTGGAGTGCAGTGGCATGATCACCATGCACTGCAGTGTCGACTTCCTGGGCTCAAGGGACCCTCTTATCTCAGCGTCCTGAGTAACTGGGACTACAGGCATGAAGCACCACGCCTGGCTAATTTTCTAAATTTTTTTGTAGAGATGGGGGTTTCTCCATGTTGCCCAGGCTGATCTTCAACATCTGGAGTCAACAAATCTGCCTTCCTCTGCCTTCCACGGTGCTAGAATCACAGGTGTGAGCCACCACACCTGGCCTAAATTAATTATAAGACATTACACATGTAACTTAGTTTTAAAAGGTAAGGAGAATGTCCATGGCTGAAGAGGATGCATTTTATTACCATTCACAATGATCACTTTACTTGAACTTCAATTTCCAACTGTGTCCAAATTAAACACAAAAGGAAGATCCAACCCTTGCTGGGCTGATTCTTTGATGGCCCCCAACAGCCACCTCCCGGTCATTCACTTTCCCCCAGTTATTCAAGCAACTCTAGTGTAGATGCTGCTGTGAAGGGATTTAGCAGATATAACTAAGGGCCTCAATTAGTTGACTTTAGGCTGGGTTTATCCTGCTTTGACTGTCCTAATAAGGTGAGTCCTTGAAAGGTCTGTGTTCTTTCTGAGCATAGAGATTTGCAGTGTGAGAGGGATTCAGCATGAGGGGTTTCCTCTACCGTGGGCTTTGAAAATGAAGAGGCTGTGTAGGAAAGAACACTGTTAGGCACCAGGAATTGAGCACAACCCTGCCTATTCTCTGTATTGACAGCCAGCAAGGAACAGAAACCTCAGTCTTACAACTGCCAGAAACTGCATTCTGCCACCTCTGTATAAGCCTGAAGGAGGATTCAAAATGAAAACACAGCTTTTGGAAGCCCAGAACAGGGATTCTATCCACATCTTGCCCAGATTTCTGACCAAGGAAGTATAAGCAGATAAATGGGTGTTGTTTTGCCAGTCGTGGTAGTGCACGAATGAATTGATGAATTGATATGCACACTAATTACATAAAATAAAATATTTCTTAACTTTTTCAGTATTTTACATTTTATAATTTTCTGTGATGCAATTTAATAGACTCATATTTCATTCATTCAGTCAAGAAAAATTAATTTAATCCCTACAATGAACCAGGTGTGCCCTCATATGCTTACGTGCCTGACATTCCAGAAGCTTCACAAGACCAAGGTGGAGCCAGTGGAATGTTTTAGGTGGAGAAATGACACACTCTGACTCACAGGAGCAGGACCACTGTGCAGAGAACAGTCACGTAGCAGGTAATGGGACAGTGCTAGTGTCACAAATAAGGAGTGACAAGGTGGTGGGGACTAAGGGGAGAGGAGGGCCTGAGGCATGAGAGGAATGGAGGGAAGGGCTGGAGATGCAGGAGGTGAGGAAATGGAGCAGAGGGAAAGAATTCGAAAGCAGCAGAACTCAGGTTTAAACACATTGTTTTATATATTTTAATACATCAATCTACAGAGCCTTGCAGGGTGATCTTTGCAGTTGGCCTTTAATACCTTATGTGGGTCTGCCTAAAAACTAATTTTTTTATGTTAATCAGGTTTAAAAAATACTAAGTGTTCATATAAAATATACACAACACTTAGAAGTGGATACTTCCTAAAAACAGGCAGTGCATGAGCACTGGTGAGGGGCATTGTGACTGCATTGAGTGCTTGCCACTGTGAGATGAATAAAGTCCGTACTGGCTCCTGGTTACAACATATAGTAACACAGTGGCTACCTTGTATTAGGAGATGTCCTGGACTCACACAGAAACTCAGGGCTATGGAATGAAGGTAAATTTAAAATACTACAAGCGGGAGTCACAGATACATTGTCTGGGAAAGTGAAACTTAGGAGCTTTGTGATTCCTGTTGTAATGCTTTTAGACACATTTATATGTCAAGGGACCAAAGTCACATTTTTGGCCGATTAGATTCCTGATCATTAGGAGTTACCAAGATTCTGCTACCCACTGTAGTTAATAAACAAAAAGCAAACTGGTCTCTATTCTATCTCATGCACTCAGGCACAACTTTTCCAGATTTAAAAAACAAACAAACAACAACAACAAAAAACCCTGTCTCTACACCTCCATTCCCAGGGCAAGCTCACTCTCTGGCAACAAGCTCCCTGGGGTGATTTTTCTTCTAGAAGAGTCCACGGGGACAGGTAAGGAGTAGGAGGCAGGGAGTCCAGTTCTGGGACGGGGATTCCGTGATGCAAAGTGAAGAGAGAGGGACGGGGCCCATTCCGAGGGTTTCTCCCTGGTTTCTCAGACAGCTCCTGGGCCAAGACTCAGGGAAACATTGAGACAGAGCGCTTGGCACAGAAGTAGCGGGGTCAGGGCGAAGTCCCAGGGCCTCAGGCGTGGCTCTCAGGATCTCAGGCCCCAAAGGCGGTGTATGGATTGGGGAGGCCCAGCGCTGGGCATTCCCCATCTTTGCAGGGTTTCTCTTCTCCCTCTCCCAACCTGTGTCGGGTCCTTCTTCCTGGGTACTCACCGGGCTGCCCCAGTTCTCACTCCCATTGAGTGTCGGGTTTCTAGAGAAGCCAATCAATGTAGCCGCGGTCCCGGTTCTAAAGTTCCCACGCACCCACCGGGACTCCGATTCTTCCCAGTCGCCGAGGATGGTGTCATGGCGCCCCGAACCCTGCTTCTGCTGCTCTCGGGGGCCCTGGTCCTGACCCAGACCTGGGCAGGTGAGTGCGGGGTCGGGAGGGAAACGGCGTCTGTGGGGAGTAGCTAGGGGCCTGCCCGGCGGGGGCGCAGGAACCCGGTTGCGGTGCCGGGAGGAGGGTCGGGAGGGTCTCAGCCCCCTCCTTGCTCCCAGGCTTCCACTCCTTGAGGTATTTCCACACCACCATGTCCCGGCCCGGCCGCGCGGATCCCCGCTTCCTCTCCGTGGGCGACGTGGACGACACGCAGTGCGTGCGGCTCGACAGCGACGCCACGAGTCCCAGGATGGAGCCGCGGGCGCCGTGGATGGAGCAGGAGGGGCCGGAATATTGGGAAGAGGAGACAGGGACCGCCAAGGCCAAAGCACAGTTTTACCGAGTGAACCTGCGGACCCTGAGCGGCTACTACAACCAGAGTGAGGCCTGTGAGTGACACCGGCCGGGGGCGCAGGTCACTACCCCTCCACATCCCCCACGGACCGCCCGGGTCTCCCCGAGTCTCTGGGTCCGAGATCCACGCCGAGGCAGCGGGACCTGGAGACCCTTGACCCGGGAGAGGCCCAGGAGCCGTTACCCGGTTTCATTTTCAGCCAAAATCCCCGCAGGTTGGTCCTGGCGAGGGCGGGGCTCGGTGGGCGGGGCTGGCCGCGGGGGCGGGGCCAGGGTCTCACACCCATCTAGAGGATGTCTGTCTGCGACGTGGGGTCGGACGGGCGCCTACTCCGCGGGTATCACCAGCTTGCTTACGATGGCAAGGATTACATCGTCCTGAACGAGGACCTGTGCTCCTTGACAGCCGCAGACACGGCGGCTCAGATCACCCAGCTCAAGTGGGAGGCGGCCCGGGGGGCGGAGGTTCATCCTCACAGGGATAGGCACCTATTAGATGTGGTGTGGTTTTCCTCTCTACTCTTAGACCCTCAGCCAGTATCACTATTGGCATTCCTGAGCCACTGGCTCAGAATTTCAGTACATTATCTGCCCGCGGGACACACCTCAGAGGAAAGGGGATGAAGCGTGGTCCATGACCATGGCACCCCCTGGTCTTATCACCACCTGCACCTCCCAGGGGCTGCCAGCCACACAGAGTCATGGACAGGTCTCTACAGACACAACTTAGTGCCAGCTTGGATGAAACCCTCTGAGGAATGGGTGCCATCTTTCAGGATGTGGTGCATGTATTGAATCAAAGATGTCTCTATAGTGCTGTGTTTACAGAAGGAAGAATACGTGGGTCCAAAAACCAAGAAGTAGAAGCAGGTGTGGCTCCATATCTAAACCCTTATATTCACCTTCAGGGTGATTTTGCACTTCTCATCTCCAATATCTGGGCTCTGTAGGGGAGGAGGTCCTGGTTTCCCAAAGGGGGCACCCTGGCAAGGAGACATTTAAATGAGAGTCCATGGAAATATACATTATGGCTGCCCCCAGGGATGTTTGAATAGTATGTGTCCAGATACAAGCAGGTGAGAAGAGGAGGAGGCAGGGCTGCTATCACACAAGGAGGGCAGGAGATGTGTGTGTGGAAATAAGAGATCCACTTGGAGACCTTATGGTTCCCCTTGTCCTGTTGTAAGTGTGAGCAGAATCATCCAGCAACCCAGCCTGAGAGGGTTTCATATTCAAGAGCCCAGAACCCTCAGGAAGGAAGGATTGAGTGATACTCACAGGTAATGTCCCAAGGCTGTGCTCCTGTGCTCTGACATCCTCAGCAGGATTGGTGCAAAGCCCTGCTTCCCATGGGCTGTTCCCAGCCAGTGACTGGTCACAGCAGGCATTAAGGCAAGCCATTCCTGGGAGACACGGGACTCCTCTGATGGCTAACTGTAGCTGGAAGACTCCTCCACGGCCTTGCTCAACTCTCCTTAGATTGCCTGTGCTCTAGGATGCGTCAAACAAACTTTCTCTCCTTCTGTCCAGCACTTGGGGTCACACTTGCATCGTGGTCTGCCGCCTTTTCTCAGGGATTTCTGGCTCACTTCCCATATTCCCTTACGGGTGTGTCCCCTTATAAGATGTCGCAGACTTTAAGCTCATCTTGGCATCTGCTCCTTGAAGGACTTGGACTAAAAATTATTTCCATCTGCATATCAATAACTCTTATTCCAACCTGTAAAATCCTTCTCTTTATCCAACTTCTGCCACCCCCACAGAATCTATTTTACTTGTGTGTGTAGTATCTCTTTGAGTTAACAGATATTTGT
The DNA here is from genome assembly GCF_000001405.40 of Homo sapiens. Taxonomy (NCBI): domain Eukaryota; kingdom Metazoa; phylum Chordata; class Mammalia; order Primates; family Hominidae; genus Homo; species Homo sapiens. The sequence continues at coordinate 29,794,486 of NC_000006.12, forward strand.
TCTATTAAGCTACTAAATTTTGAGGTAGTTTGTGACACAGCACTTGATAACTATTAAGGCTTTCTTAAGTTTCCATTATTCCATGGATATTATCTACATATCTTTTAATCCCTTGCATTTTAATAACATTAGCTATACTTGCTGTTTCCAACTCTTTCCTCCTATTTTTGAACATTTTAAATTTTGTCTTTCTCTGTCCTTCCTTCCTTCTTTCCTCCTTTCCTCCCTCAGAGCTTTCTCCCTCCCTCCATTTTTTTCATAAACTCCAAGTGTTTAGGCCAAAAGGAAGCATTATTTGAACTTTATGCTAAAAGTATAATGCCGTAATTTATAATATAAAAGTAAAGAAAAGGAAGTTGTTAATGGAATATGAAAAAATGCCTAGGGTGATTCTATAGCCAAGACAGTACCTTTTAACATTTAATTTCTGCCTCCAACTGAATGTTTTCAGAACACATGAGCAACACAAGCTCTTTCCCATTCTTGGTACAAGCACTTGAGAAATCAAATTAGCCTTATCTAGTATGATTAATGTCCATACATCATATAATCCCACCATCTGCCTCCTGATCATACCCCCTGGGGACATTCTTGGCTATGTGTCCAGGAGACATGTACACCAATGTTTATGGCAAAAACTGGAAACAATCACATATACATCAATGGGAATTAACAAAATAGTCGTATAATAATAAAAAGTAAAACTTCAGCAGCAACAGTGAATGAACAGCACCCTCCCACATCAGAGATAACTCTCCTACACATAACATGCATCAGCATCACAGAAGAATGCACATTGTGTGAGTTCTCTGTACGGGGAAGTTAAAAAAAGCAGGTCAAACTGTGATTTGGATATATATATATATACTTATTGTAAAAATCTTTAGAGACAATGAAAAGGAATAGTAAATACAAGACTCAAGATAGAAGTTCCTTTTGGGGAATAGAATTGGACAACAGCCGAGGGTGGCTTCATAGGTTTTGTTTTTTATGCCAGGAGGGGATGTCCAGGTAGTTAAGTTACTTGATCATAAATCTTTCTTTCTTTCTTTCCTTCCTTCCTTCCTTCCTTCCTTCCTTCCTTCCTTCCTTCCTTCCTTCTTTCCTTCTTTTCTTTCTTTCTTTCTTTCTCTTTCTTTCTTTCTTTCTTTCTTTCTTTCTTTCTTTCTTTCTTTCTTTCTTTCTTTCTTTCTTTCTTTCTTTCTTTCTTTCTTTCTTTCTTTCTTTCTTTCTTTCTTTCTTTCTTTCTTTCTTTCTTTCTTTCTTTCTTTTCGAGATGGAGTCTCCCTCTTGTTGCCCAGGCTGGAGTGCAGTGGCATGATCTCAGTTCACTGCAACCTCCGCCTCCCAGGTTCAAGCAATTCTCCTACCTCAGCCTCCTGAGTAGCTGGAATTATAGGCATCCACCACGACACCCAGGTAATTTTTGTATTTTTAGTAGAGACGGGGTTTCACCATATTGTCCAGGTTGGTCTCAAACTCCTGACCTCAGGTGATCCGCCAACTTCGGCCTTCCAAAGTGCTGGGATTACAGACATGAGCCACCATTCCCGGCCCACAAATCTTTAAAGTGTCATTTTTCAAAATGCACCTTGTGTGCCATTCCTGACTGATTATTTGGAAATGAAAGAGAAAAGAAAATACCAAAGTTCATCTCAAGGATCCTTAGCAATAACTACACACGTTAAAACAAAGCCACAGCCAATTGTAAAGAGTCATGTGACAGAGAGGACCAGGATCTCATGAAAAATAGCCTTGGCTAGAAAGAGGTCATTTGACCCTGGGCTAATTGGCAACTCTCTACATTGTCTGGCATACAGTGTTCAATCTGATGTGCAAGGCAATTGTATCTTGCAAAGAATTTGAGAATTTGATATGTTGCTCACATTTTACCACACATACAAGTGGATTAAACTTTTACACAGTAAAAAAAAAAAGCATTGTTGAGCAAAATAAATTAAATGAAAAGACATAAAGGAATAACTAGTGATGAAATAGCAATAAGAATGGAAAACATGAAAGAGATGCTTGTACAGCAATGATAGCAGCACAAAAGAACAGTGTTTTTCAGAATCATACAGGAGTCCAAATCACTTCTACCACATCTAATTAAAAAACACAGTGAAAGATGTTAAACTTTCATAGGATGCCCACTGAATAGCCAGTTATTGAAAAATCTTGTTCCTAGATTGGAGTAAACAATTTCTGCCTACCCTAGCCAAACAAATTATTGTCATGATGCTAAGCTAGTGTATAGACAGAGGTGTGAGATTCACATTTTTCTAACTGCAAAGCACCCTGATTAGGCAAATATTTTTGTAGATGCTTGAGTAAGAAAATTGGCATTTTGGGCATTCTTAAACCGAATTAGAAACTTCTGAAGAGAAACAAACGTAGTTATGATTGTAAAGGCATTATTGTATGGCACCAAAGTCTTGGGACACTTTAATTTAGCTACTGTATTTTCTCAACTCTGTTGCAACTTATCAAAGAGAATATTAATATTAAAGGCATTTACAAAAAAAATCTGAGATATTGTTGTATCTTCTTTCTCTGTCTCAAATATTTAATCAACTTTACAGAAGAGAATTTTAAAGTATTAAAAAAAGTCAGATACAAGAAGTATTTGATTTACAAAACCCTGAAACAATAATGTTAATTTTGCTTTTAACATGTTTATAAATTCTTTGATACTCCTCCTTTCCAGAAGTGCAGCTTCATTCCCTCCCTGTTCGTGTGGCCTGGACTTAATGACTCACTTCTAACTGATAGAGTAATGCTGACATAATAGTTTGTGATTCTGGGTGTAGAACATAAGACTCACTGAAGTTTCTACTTTGGTTCTTTCTTTCTCTGGAATCATGAGCCCTGGGGGAAGCTGGCTGTTGTGTCATAAGGAGGCCTGTGGTCCATGTGACTAGGAAGTGAGTCCTCCTGGGACCAGACAATAAGAAGCTAAAGCCTCTTCCAAAAGCCATGTGAGAGATTCTTGTGTCTTGTGAATCCCCGGCCCCATTTGAGCCCTCAGATGATTCAGCCCTGGAAGACAACTAGACTGCAACGTTGTGAGAGGCCCTGAGCCAGAAGCATTCAGAGAAACTTCTCCTGGATTCCTGACCATGGATAACTGTGGGAGATGATAAATATTTGTTGATTTGAGCTGCTAAGTTGTAGGTGACTTGTTATGCAGCAGTAGATAACTAATACAGCTTCACAAGAGAGGATGAATCACTGAACTTTTTCATTTGCTCTAAATTCATTATAAGATATTAAACATGTCATTTGCTTTTAATATTTAATAAAAATTTCCATGGCTATATAAGATATATTTTATTATCATTAACAATGATCTATTTTTTGATCTTCAACTTGTATGTTCTATTTAAACATGAAAGGAAGATCCAGGCTAGCTAGGCTGATTCTATGATGACACCCCAATAACCACCCTTGGTTTCTCAGGTTACCCCAGTTACTCAGTTGACACTAAAGCAGGTGCTGCTGTGAAGAGGTTTTGCAGATATATTTAAAGTCCCCAGTCAGTTGACTTTAAGATGAGGATTATCCTGCTTAGACGGTCCTAATCAGGTAAGCTCTGAAAAGGACTGGGTTCTTCCTGAGAATAGAGACTCACAGTGTGAGAGGGATTCAGCGTGAGGGGCTTCCTCCACTTTGGGCTTTGAAAATGGAGGGATCATGGGGAAAGAACACTGGTGGCCAATAGGAATTAGAAGCCCTCCCCACTGTCTACTCTGATAGCCCGAAGGAAACAGGGACCTTAATCCTACAATTGCCAGAAACCGAATTCTGCCAACAAACTCTACATAAGCTTGGGGGAGAACCCCAATCTTAAGATGAGGATACAGCTTTGCGAAACTCTGAACAAAGAGTCTATCACATTAGGCCTGGATTTCTGATGAAGGAAATGTAGACAAATAAATGGGTGCTGTTTTCAGCCACTAAGTTTGTGGTAATTGGTTATGTACTGCCAGGAAATAAATAAACAGATTCAAAGGATAAGTATATGACATTTTCTCCACCGGAATGAATTCATGAACTGATATGCATAGTAGTTGCATAAAACCAAATATTTCCTAACTTGCTTTGCATTTTCCATTTCATGATTTTTGTGTGATACAATTTTGAACACAATTATATTTCATTCATTCATTCAACAAAAATTAACTTAGTGCCTACTATGTGGCAGATATACTTTTATATTCTGTAGATACAACTTTGATCAAAGCAACCCAAAGCCCCTGTGCTTGTGCCTTCCATTCTAGAGGCTTCTTGAGAGTAAGATGGAGCCATTAGAGGCTTTTAAGTGAAGAAATGACACAATCTGACTCACATTAGCAGGATTGCTGACCTTTGTGGGGAGAACAGTCATGGGCAGCAGGCGAGGGACAGAGCTAGGGACACAATTCAGTAGTGACAGAGTAGTAGAGACTAAGGGGAGAGGAGGGCCTGAAGGATGACAGGGACAGAGAGAAGGGCTGGAGAAGCAGGAGGTGAGGTAAAGGAACAGAGAGAAAGAATTCTAAAGCAATGGAATTCTCAGACTTAAATACAGTGTTTTATAGATTTTTAATGCATTTATCCGCAAAGCCTGGCACAGTGTTACTTGCACCTTGGTCTTTAATGCATTCTGTGGGGCTGTCTAAAAGCTAATTGCCTCTCTAAGATAAAAAGGTTAAAAAAGGCCGGGCGCGGTGGCTCACGCCTGTAATCCCAGCACTTTGGGAGGCCGAGGCGCGTGGATCACAAGGTCAGGAGATCGAGACCATCCTAGCTAACATGGTGAAACCCCGTCTCTAATAAAAAATTACAAAAAAATTAGCCGGGCGTGGTGGCGGTCGCCTGTAGTCCCAGCTACTTGGGAGGCTGAGGCAGGAGAACGGCGTGAACCCGGGAGGCGGTGCTTGCAGTGAGCGAGATTGCACCACTGCACTCCAGCCTGGGCGACAGAGCGAGACTCCGTCTCAAAAAAAAAAAAAAAGGTTAAAAAAGAATACCAAATGTCTCAATAAAATATACACATAGCTTAGATGTGAATAATTCATAATAATAGGCAAGTGCATGGGCCGGCCATTATAGCTCATGCCTGTAATACCAGCATTTTGGGAGGCTGAGGCGGGAGGATTGCTTGAGCCCAGGAGTTCAAGACCAGCCAGAGCAATTTAGGGAGACCTCATCTCTACAAATATTATTTTTAGAAAAATTAGCCAGGAGTGGTGGCACAAGCCTGTGGTGCCAGCTACTTGGGAGGCTGAGGGAGGAGCATTGATCACATGAGCCAAGGAGGTCGAGGCTTCAGTGAGTCATGAGCGTGCCACTGCACTTTAGCCAGGGTAACAGAGTGACGCCCTGTCTGTAAATAAATAAAAAATAAAAAAATTAATAATAAAGGGAGTGCATGAGCACTGGCGAAGGGCACTTTGGCTGCATTAAGCACTTGCAATTCTGAGGTAATTAAATTCTGTACAGGCTCCTGGTTGCAATATACGGTAATACATTGTGCTTTGTATTGAGATGTCCTGGACTCGCACACACAAACTCAGAGCTATGAAATAAAGATACTGTAAAAATACAACAGACCAGAGTCACAGATACACAGTCTGGGAAAGTAAAACTTCACTTTGTGAGTCTAATTGCAATGCGTTTAGACATATTTATATATAATGGGGCCAAAAATCATCTCTTTTACAAATTAGATTCGTGACCATTCAGGGGCTACCAAGATTGTGCTACCCACTGTAGCACAATCGGAGACCCACGCCGAGGCTGCGGGACTCGTGGAGACCCTCGACACAAGAACCCCAGGTGCCTATACCCGATTCCATTTTCAGTTCAGGCCCAAATCCCCGGGGGATTGATCGGGGCAGAGGAGGAGCTCAGTGGCTGAGGCTGACCGCGGGCTTGGGGACAGGGTCTCCCACCTCCAGTGGATACACAGCTGCGACCTGGACCCGGACCGGAGCCTCTTCGCGCGGGGATGAACATACCCTACGATGGCGCCAGTTACCTCGTCCTAAACCAGGAACTGCTCTCTTGGACCGCAGCGGAAAAGGCGGCTCAGATGTTTTGGAGGAGGAACATGCAGAGCTGCTCAAAACCTACCTGCCGGGAAGGTGGGCGGAGTGGCTCAGCAAAGGCCTTAAGAATGAGAAGGAGAGGCTGCAATGCGCAGGTACCAGAGGCCACGGGTCGCCTCCCTGATCTCCTGCAGATATCCCTGAGCCACCTTCCAAAAGAAGGGGAGGAAAATGGGACCAACGCTAAAATATCCCTCTCCCTCTTGTCCTGAGGCAGAAGAGTCCTCCTGGGTTTCTAAATCCTATACCAGAGAGTGACTGAGGGCCCGCCCTGCACTCTGGGACAATTAACGGATGAAGTCTCTGCGGGAAAGGAGGGGAAGACAATCCCTGGAATACTGATACGCGGTACCCTTTGACCCCCCAGCAGCCTTGGGCACCAGGAATTTTCCTCTCAGGCCTTGTTCTCTGCCTCATACTCAATGTGTGTGGGGGTCTGATTCCAGCTCTTCTGAGTCCCTCGGCCTCCACTCAGGTCAGGACCAGAAATCTCTGTTTCCGCCTCAGACACTAGAACTTTCCAAGGAATAAGAGATTATCCCAGGTGCCTGTGTCCAGAATGTTGTCTGGGTTCTGTGCTCCCTTCCCCACCCCAGATGTCCCATCCATTCTCAGGATGGTCACATGGGTGCTGTGTCTCATGAGGAATGCAAAGTGCCTGAATTTTCTACCTCTTGCCCTCAGATCCCCTGAAGGCACAGGTAACCCTCCACCCCATCTCCAACTATGAGGCCACGCTGAGGTGCTGGGCCCTGGGCTTCTACCCTCTGGAGATCACACTGACCCAGGAGCGGGATGGGGAGGACCAAATTCAGGATGCAGAGTTTGTGGAGACCAGACTTGCAGGGTACAGAACCTTCCAGAAGTGGGCAGCTGCAGTGGTGTCTTCTGGAGAGAAGCAGAGGTACACATGCCATGTGCAGCACGAGGGGTTGCCTGAGCCCCTCACACTAAGATGGGGTAAGGAGACGAATGAGGGGTCATGTCTCTTCTCAGGCAAAGCAGAAGTCCTTCTGGAGCCTTTAAGCAGGGTCAGGGCTGAGGCCTGGGGGTCAGGGCCCCTCACGTTCACCTCCTTTCTTAGAGCTGTCTTCCCAGCCCATCATCCCCGTTGTGGGCATCATTGCTGGCCTGGTTCTTCTAGTTGCTGTAATCACTGTAGCTGTAGTCGCTGCTGTGATGTGGAGGAATAAGATCCCAGGTAGGAAAGGGGTGAGCTCTGAGTTTCCTTCTTCCATTGGTGGATTTCAAGCCCCAGGTAGGAGTAGGCTCATATCTTGCCTAGTTGTGAGGCACCATCTCCACACACATTTACCCTGTTCAGAGGCCCTGTCTATCAACGCTTACTCTTTTGTAAAGCACTTGTGAAAATGAAGGACAAATTTATCACCTTGATTGTGGTCATGGGAACCTGACTCCCAGCAGTCACAGGTCAGGGGAAGGTCCCTGCTGAGGACAGACCTCAGGAGGACAATTGGTCCAGCCTCAACACATCCTCTTCCCTTGGGTTTTCTGATCCTGACCTGGGTCTGTAGTCACAGTTCTGGAAACTCCTCTAGGATCTCATGCCCTGCCTCCTCCCTGGCCTCTCACAGTTTGTTTTCTTTCCACAGATGGAAAAGGAGGCAGTTATGCTCAGGCTTCATGTAAGTGTGGTAGGGGTGGGAAGAGTGATCCCTGAGATCCTTGGGATAGTGTAGACAGGAGCCCATGGGGGAGCTCAGCCACCCCAAAATTCCTCCTTTAGTCACATCACCTGTGGGCTCTGACCAGATTTTGTTTTTGTTCCACCCCAAACAGGAACAGTACCCAGGGCTCTGATGTGTCTCTCAAGGCTTGTAAAAGTGACACCTTAGAGGGCCTGAAGTGAAAGAGGAGTTGGGCAGAGGGGACACAACTAAGCTCTGGAGATTCTTTGATTTGGAATTTTTCAAGGTGTGGTGGGCTGTTCAGTGTCACAACTTACTATGACTGACCTGGATTAGTTTATGACTATGTTTTTTCTAAGATTGCCTTGTGAGGGACTGAGATGCAAGATTTGTTCATGCCTCCTCTTTGTGACATTAAGAGCCTCTGGCTTCTCTTTCTGCCAAAGGGTCTGAATGTGTCTATGTCTACAGTAACAGGTAAGAAATGGGAGACCAGCCCATCCTCATGTCCACCATGACCCCTGATATTGTTTGGATCTGTGTCCCCACCCAAATCTCATGTTCAATTGTAATCCCTAATTTTGGAGGTGGTGTCTGGTGGCAGGTGATCGGCTCATGAGGATGGATCCTTCATGAACGGTTTAGAACCATCTCTTTGGTGCTATTCTTGTGATAATTCTCATAAGATCTGGTGTTTAAAAATCTGTGTCACCTCCCTGCTCTCTCTCCCTCCTGCTCCAGGCATGTAAGTAATGTCTGCTTCCCCTTAGCCTTCCAGCATAATCGAAAGTTCCCTGAGGCCCTCTCATAAGATGAGCAGATGCCAGAATCATACTTTCTGTATAGCCTGCAGAACCATGACCCAATTTAAACCTCTTTTCTGTTTTTGTTTTGTTTTTGTTTTTTGAAGGAAAATTTATATTATTTTAATTATTTTTACATACAGAAAACTCAACAGCATACATTTCACCCAATTTAGTGGCATGTTCTTTACCCTTTGCCTTTTTGAGCTTGGCAATGCAAACCACATACTTGAGACCCAGGACACTGTCTCCCCAGTGATGGCGGATCTCATCGTATCTGTCATTGTAATTGGTCCTGAGAACTCCCACCAGCTTAGCCAAAGCACCTTTGTCTTCCGAGTTAACCTGTGTGAAGGTGACAGTGGTGCAGGTCTTCCTATGGACTAGATGTCCCAGTCTTGCCTTCCCTTTGATAATGCAGTAAGGGACCCCATTTTATGACACAGGACAGGCAAGAAGACAACCAGCTTGATGGGATCTACATCATGTGCAATCACCACCAGCTGAGCTTTCTTGTTCTCCACCAAGGTGGCGATGGTGTTAACTCCTGCTCGAAGGACAGGTGGACTCTTAGTGGGGAATGTCCCCTTTGCCAGCAGCTTTCTTCTTGGCCCGGGCCAACAGCCTCTGCTTCTTCTCTTGGTTTGTCTCTGGTCTGTATTGTGGGCCAGCTTAAGCAGCAGAGTAGCTGTTTGGCTGTCTGGTGCCTGGGTGAACTGGTTAATCTCAGGAGGCACTTTCAGCCACTTATAGAGGATGGTTCTCTGCTGCTGCAACCTGATATAGCAGGGCCATTTCACAAAGTGGGTGAGGTCTCTTTTGGGCTGGATATCCTGTCCAGTGCCAAAATTCTTAGGCCTTTTCTCAAACAAGGGATTTACCACTTTCTTGGCCTCCTGCTTCTTCACGACAGCAGGGGCTGGAGCCACCTTCTTCTCCTTGGCCTTCTTTCCTTTTGGCATCTTGGATGGTGGGAGGAGAAAGAAAGAAACCTATTTTCTTTATAAATTACCCAGTCTCAGGTATTTCTTTATAAAAGTGTGAGAATGAACTAATTCAGAAAATCGGTACCAGGAGTTGGGTATTACTATAAAAATTCTTGAAAATGTGGAAACAGCTTTGGAACTGGGTAACAGGCAGAGGTTGGAAGAGTTTGGAGAGTTCAGAAGACAAGAAAATGGGGGAAAATTTGCAACTTCCTAGAGATTTGTTAAGCTGTTGTGACCAAAATGCTGATAGTGATATGGACAATAGAGTCCAGGCTGATAAGGTCTCACATGGAGATGAGGAACTTATTGGGACCTAGAGGAAAGGTCACTTTTGTTATGCATTGGCAAATAACTTGGAGGCATTGTTCCCCCTCCCTAGGGATCTGTAGAACTTTGAACTTGAGAGTGATGTATAAGGGTATCTGGTGGAAGAAATTTCTAAGCAGCATAGCATTCCAGATTTGGCCTGCCTGCTTGTAATAGCCTATGCACATATGTGTGAGCAAAGACATGACCTGAAACTGGAACTGATATTTAAAGGGGAAATTTAATATCCAGGACAATTCCTAGTGGAGCTGCAGGAACAGGACCCCTGCCAAGACTACTAAATCATAGAGCCACTGGCAATATGCAAGCTCAGCCTGGAAAAGCCATAAGCATTCAATGTTCACCCATGAGAGCAGCTATATGGATTATGTTCACCAAAGCCACGGATATGAGGCTGAAGATGGCATTGTGAGTCCATTGCTTGCACCAGCCAGTGTGCTCAGGGTTCAAGATATAGAGTCAAAGGAGATTATTTTAGAGCTTTAAGTTTTAATGTCTGCCATGATGAGTTTCAACCTTGTGAGGACACTGCATTCATTTCTTTTGGTCCACTTATTTCTTTTGGAATGGAAATGTATAGGAAATGTCTCTACCACTGTTGTATTAATATTTTAGAAGTAAATAACTTTTTTTAATTTTACAGGTGCACAGCTATAAGAACTTACCTTGAGTCTCAGATGAGACTTTGGAATTTAGAGTTGATGCTGGATCAACCCAACACATTTTGGACAATTGGGAGAAGATTATTGTCTTTTGCAATGTGAGAAGAATGTGAGCTTTGGCTGGCTAGGGACAGGATGCAATGATATAAATATTTATCCCCAGATACCTCATGTTAAAATCTGATCCCCAATGTTGGACTTAGGGCCTAATGGGTGGCGTTTGGGTCTTGGGGGCCAATCTTTTATGAACAGAGAGATACTGCCCTCTCTCGGGAGTCAATGAATTGTTGCCCTATTAGTTTCCAAAAGAGCTAGTTGTTAAAAGAGTCTCGCACCTTCCTACTCCCTCTGTTCCTCTCTTACCACGTGACTTCTGCACATACCAGCTCCCCTTTGCCTTCTGCCATGAGTGGAAGCAGCCTGAGGCCCTCGCTAAATGCTCAAACATTTCCAGACATCAGAATCCTGAGCCAAATGAACCTTGTTTATATAAATTAGTCAGTCTCAGACATTTCTTTATAGCAACACAAAACGGAATAAGACAACCCTCTCATCATAGGTATGTGTCTGTGGCAGCCAGCCCCCATTCTCAAGGTATCCAGGATCCTCTCAGCCAAGAGTCCTTTCCTCAGTATTCTAAAGACACTCTAATCACTCAAGAGATTCTAAGGTTTTTAGGAGAAACCAGGGACAAAACTAAATGTTTTTGTGATAACTCATATTACCCCCTTTTCTTTGACCACATATTTTTCATACGAAAAGGATTATAACAGTAAAGAAGCATTGGCATATTATCCAAGTCTCATTCGGTCATTCAAAATTAGGCCAGTTTATCATCCTCTTGTATGAATATGTCTCCCAGAATGACATCACTCAGCTTTGCAGACACCATTCAATCTTATCAGGTTCCAAAAACAAGAATGGTCTCAGGGACATACAGCTTCACCCTTTTAGGCATCCAGTATAGTTGACCTAAGAGACAACATCTCTTGCTCACACCACTTTTGAGGAGATAAGCTAATATTGAATTTTCCTCATTACATAACCCTTTGATTTATTCACCTACCCTCAGCCACTATTCCTCCTTCTGTCCCTTTATATCAGTCTTTTCCAGTTCTAGAAGTGACATTAGGTTTGGCTGCTGTGCTGGCCTAGACTGCATGCAGCAATAGTATTCTACCATGTCTTCTCTTAATCTACTCTTGATCATAGACAGTAGGTTACATAGGTTAGGAACTAGTGCAGGCTATCTGACCACCAGTCTACGTAGCTCTACTTACAGTTAATCCCGACTTTGCCAGATGAAATGAAGGCACAGCGCAATCCTTGATTTGCTTGGGAATTCTTACATAAAGGTATAAAAATATAGTTATGGTTTTTTCCTTAGGGATAATTCCTGTTTCTGGCAGTTCGATTTGCATCCCTGTTCCTGGTACCACTGCACCCTGTGTAAAAAAAGAAATAAGAAATGAAGTGTAGTCATTATTCCAGCATCCTCCCCTTAAGAAGAATTGTATGTACAGTCATAACAGCATCACCCTGATCCATCAGGAAAAAGAGAGGAAGCTACCTAGTGGAGTCAGTTTCGCAGCTCCACCCATGTTGACAGTAAGCACATTCATGAAGATATAAAAGCCAGTCCTTCATGTTTATATTGCCCAACAATTATATTGGCAGTTTTTAGACAATTAGACAACCAATGTTTCAACTGACTATTTCTTTTTCTTTTTTTTTTTGAGATGGAGTCTCACTCTGTCGCCCAGGCTGGAGTGCAGTAGTATGATCTCGGCTCATGCAACCTCTGCCTCCCAGGTTCAAGCAATTCTACTGTCTCAGCCTCCCGAGTAGCTGGTAATACAGGCGCCCACCACCACACGCAGCTAATTTTTGTATTTTCAGTAGAGACGGGGTTTCACCATATTGGCCAGGATAGTCTCAAACTCCTAAACTCAGGTGATCCGCCCGCCTCGGCCACCAAAAGTGCTGGGATTACAGGCATGAGCCACCGTGCCTGGTCAGCCATTTCAATATTCTATCAAAGTTTCCCCTGAATAGTACATTTCCCTGTGCACTGTTGGCTTTTTAAGGCTGTAAAGTGTGTTTTCTTGTGTAAAGAAATGTGACTCAACAGTCCAAATTGGTGTAATCTCCATTTTTCTGGTTCTTGTATAGCCTTTGAAGCATTGACATCTACCCCTGGTTGATCATAGCCCAATCCAGAGTCAGTGACTTCCCTGTCAAGATCCATTGGCAGCTCCTTTGGGGTTGCTGGCATTAGTCTGGCTTGCCAGCTATGAATGATCAAAGCTTCCCACTACAGAATCTGTCACAGAGCTGCCTCTGTCTGTTTTCTTGACCAAAAGTCAAAACAGACAGTATGAGAAATGAGATAAATTACCAAAATTGTGAACACAAGAGAGAGTATCACTAATGACCCTTTAGAAGTTAAAAAACATTATAAGTTAATACTCTGAAAAACCTGAAGCCAATCAGTTAGACCACTTAGATAAAATGGACAGATTTATACAAAGATAGAAATTGCTGAAACTGACTCAAAAATAAATAGAAAATCTGAAGAGAACTGTACACTAAGACAGTAATTTTAAAACCTTCTCACAAAGAAATGCCAAAGCCCAGATATCTTCACTGGTGAATTCTATCAAATATTTCAAAAGCTCTTTCAGACAAGAAGAGAGGAGGCAAGACTTTCTAGCTCATTTACAGAACTGACATTACCCTAATATCAAAGTCAGAGCAAGACTGACAAGAAAAGAATACCATAGACCAGTGTCACCAATAAACATAAATGAAAACATCCTTAACAAACATTGGCAGACAATAGAAAGCCACGTAAAAAAGGATTACATTCCATGACCAATGGGATTCATCCCAGGAATATATGGCTGGATTAACAATTAGAAATCAATTAATGGAATGCACTGTAGTAAGGGAATAAAAGACATAATTATCTCAAAAGATACAGAAGAAACAGTTGACAAAAATGTTAACACCACTCATGTTCATAAGTTTCAACAAAATAGGAATGGAGGGGACCTTCCTCACCCTGATAAAGGGCATCTATAAAAAACCCACAACTAAAATCATGCTTGCTGAAGAAAGACTGAATGCTTTTCTCCTAAGATGGAGATCAATGCAAGGATGTCCAATCCAACACTTCTACTTAACATTGTACTGGAGATTGCAGCTGGTGCAATAAGGCAAATAATTAAAAGTTAAAGGCATCCAGATAAAAAGGAAAACATAAAACTCTATTCACAGATAACATGACCTTGTCTGTAGAATTCACAAGCAGATAAAAGCCTGCTAGCACTAAAAAATGAATCCAGAAGCTCCCATAGGATATAAAATCAAATTAAAAATTATTAACATATTTCTCTATACAAGCAATTAAAATCTAAACTTTCCTATCACAGTAGTTACAAAAAGAGAGAAATAGGAATAAATTTAGGAAGACAGCAGAGTTTGTTGAAAACTACAAAACATTACTGAGAGAAATTAAAGGTCTAAATTCATGGAGAGATGCGGTTGGAAAGCTCAATAATATTGTTAAGATGACAATTCTCCACCAAGAGATCTATAGGTTCAGTACAATCTCTATCAAAACCCCAGCAGGCATTTTATGGAAAATTGACAATTTAATCCTAAAAATGTATGTGAAAATGCAGAGGATGCAGAAAAGCCAACGCAAATTTGAAAAAAAATGGAATGTCATATAAAACTACAATAATCCAGACAGTGTGAAAGCGAGAGACACAGAGATTAATGAACAGAAGTGAGAATCTAGAAAGACATTCTTACATTTTTTTGTCAATTGATCTTCAATGAAGTTGCATAGGTAATATGATGTGACACTTATCGCCATATAAAATATAAGCTCAAACAAATTAGAGACCTAAACAGCTAAAATTTATAAGTTAAAACCATAAAATTTCTAAAAGAAAATATAGGAGAAAATTTTTGTGACATTGAGTAGTTAGGCAAAAGATTCTTACATAAAATACAAAAAACATGATCTACAGATGAAAAAAAAGTGAGAGACAAATTGGGCTTAGTTAAAATTTAAAACTTAAGTGCTCCAAAAGACAATATTGAGAAAATGAGAAGACAAGCCGTAGATTGAGAGAAAATATTTCACAATTTATCACAAATTACATCTGTGATGAAGAACATGTATCCAGAATATGTGAAAAGTTCTTAAACTCAATGTAAGAAGATGAGCAACTCAACTAAAAATGAGCAAAACATGCTCAACTGACTTTTACAAAAGCACAAAAGCAATTCAATGAAGGAAGGAGAGCTTTTCCATCAAATGGTGATGGAACAACTGGACAACCACAGTGGAAAAAAAATAACCTGAGCCAAAACCTCATGCTTCATACAAAAATAACTCAAAATGAGTCACAAGCTTTCATGTAAAGCACAGAGTTAAAATGGCAAACATTGAGCCAGGTGTGGTATCACAGGCCTGTACTCTCAGCTACTCAGGAAGCTGAGGTGGGAGGATCCCTTGAGCCCAGGAGTTCAAGGCCAGCCTAGGCAATAATTTTTTTTCTAAAATAAATAATAAATTTAAATTTTTAAATTACAAACCTTTTAAGAAAAAGTCATCAGAGCTAAGACTGGACAAAGAGTTCTTAAACATAACACCAAAAGTATGATCCATAAAAGTTAATAAATTGGATCTTATCAACACTAAAAACTGTTGTTCTGTGAGAGACCTATGAAGAGCATAAAAAGACAAGCTACAGAATGAGAGAAGATATTTGCAGGCAACATATTCTGTAAAGACTGTATTCAGAATATATGAAGAAATTTTAAAACTCAACAATAAAAATGAAATCCAAATACAAAACAGGCAATGAGCAAGACATGAACAGACATTTCACTGAAGAGGATAAATACTGGGCTAATAAGCAGATGAATAGGTGCTCAACATCATTATCCAGTAGGAAAATACAAATTAAAACCACAGTGATGAGAATGGCTGAAATACAAAATAAAGGTAGCAACAGATGCTGGCAAGGACGCAGAGGAACTGGGACACTCTTATATTGCTGGTAGGGATGTATTTTAAAATGGTACAGCCGCTCTGGAAATGAGTATTGTAGTTTTCTTCAAACCGAACATGCAATTTACCTTATGACTAGCAATTGCCCTCCTAGGCACTTATTTCAAACGAGGGAATACTTTATGTTCACGAAAATCCTGTGCACAAATACTCTTGCAGCTTTATTCATGATACCCCCAAACAGGAATTAATACAACTGTCTTTCCGTAGGTGAGTGAGATCTGCTGGTTGAAATAATAACTGAGTCACACAAGTGCCCTTTCTCAAGGCTACCATCCTGCTTCTCTGTGCAGTAAGTGTTTTATGCATATTTCCCATTTTCTCACAAAGAATATTAAACACGTATACTCAAGGATCAAACTTTAATCCACATAAATTTTTTACTGCTCCATCAAAGACACTCTTAAATGGGACTGCAGTTTGGAGCCACTGCCTGGTTCTGCTAAGGTGCTGGGTGTGTTACCGACCTTGGCATTTGCAGCACTATGGAAAAGTCAACACAATGAAACAGGCAGATGGCATCTTGGTATTACTGTGAAAACAAGTCTGCCTCCAGGACTCTCTGAAGGCTGCTCAGGGGACACACTTTCAAAATGGCAAAGATCAATTATGGTTCCTAGTGGGACACAACCCCTAGCCTATTCCTATTCAGCACTGTCTTGCTCTCTATTTTCCCTCATTCTTCCAACTTATAACTGTATAAATTTTCAAATGTGCAAAGAAGCTGAAAGAATGGTGCGGTAAAATTCAAGCTACCACTCTGCCGTATTTGGTTAATATCTCTTTATATACATAAAAGGAGAGTGTGAAATGATGGACCATGGAGACCCAGAAGGGTAAGGGGGTTGGCAGTTGGTGTATAATAGAGGGGTTTCTTGATAGGTACAATGTGCTTGTCTCCAGTGCTGGATGCTCTGAAGGCCCTGACTTTACCACAACCAATATAGCAATGTAGCAAAATTGCACTTGTGCCTCATGAATATATATGAATCTAAGAAATAAAAAATAAAATAACATAACATGTTTCTTTATAGATACAGGTAGACATGTTTGTATAGCATGTGTGTGAATGTGTGTGTGTGCCTGTGTGTGTGTGTCCACCTGTGTGTGTGTTTCCGTGTAGAGAGGCAGCACAAATTAAGAGATTAAGATTTTGTGACTGAGCTATTCCAAAGTAACTTAAACATAAAACACACATGGATAAATGTGTCTGTGACAACAAACCTGAATACAAACATGAAATAATATGTCTATAAACACATCTCTAGATAGATAGCTTATGAATGAATTCCCTACCCCAGCTCCCTTACTGGTTGCCCTGTGAACACAGGGAGTCAGGGAACAGGACCCAGCTAGGGTCCCTCATCCTTCTCTTGCATCCAGGCAGGTCCTGCATCCACTCTGGCTGCACAGAAGGCTCCCATCCCTGCCTTGGTCTGTTTCACAGGTGCTCCCCTAACTCTCTCTGCCACCACTGCTTTATCTGGATGGAGCTGAGGCTGCCCTGACCAAGAACAGCACCACCCATCTGTGTCCCCAAGACCAGGAAGTTAGGAGGAACCACACAACAAGGTCAGGAACTATCCCACCTCCCCAGTCAGTCTGAACTGATGGCGGGAGATGCTGATGCTTGCTTTACTCATCCTCAATCCCAGCTCACTTATTCTTCATTAATTCAATCCAATCTCCCCAGCAGTCACTTCACCCCAGAAGCTGACTGACCTCTACTCTTCGTAATCAGGAAACCACAAAGCACTCTCCTTCCCCTCCCTGATATCACCCTTCAGCTCTACATCATCATATGTGGGCTCTAACTCTGCAGGGAAGATGTTGCCCCACAGGGTCAGCCCCTGAACACTGGCTGCAAATGTCCCCCCATCCCTTCCCAGCCCTTTCGGTGTTGCTGTGAATCTGTCCCTCACTGAGAACTGGCGGGGAGATGTGGGGGAGGAGGGAAGGTTTCTTTATGCTGTGTCAAAGCATGGAGACAGACCTCTCCTTCTCTCCTGAACCTCACACTATCCCTTCCCAGACACTTGAAATAAAACGCAGACCAGAAATGTCTATTTAAGAGTTAAATATCTATAGTATAAAATATGAAGACAGAGTAGAATGGGGTAATGCAGGAGAGCATGACAGAGATGACAGGACCTCAAGGTGCCAGGAAAGCTGGTGCTGGGCCAGGACCAAGGAGCCATCAGCAGGACACTCACTCATAATGCTCACCTATAATAATACAATTACTGCATATGTAATATATCAAAATATAATAAAATAACAAAATAACAAAAATAATATGGCACAGCTGCAAATACCCCATATATACTAACCCTTTTCATTCATCCAACCACAAGAAATAAATGCTCGTAGTTTCCCCATGTCATAGATGAGGAAAATGAGGCACAAAGAGAGAACATGCTGGTGAGGCCTAGGCAAGGAGTTGAATCCAGATCGCCTGGCTGCAGAGTCTAGTTGCCCTCAGTGGAGCCAGCGAACCCAGGAGCTGACACCAGAGACTGAGATCTCAGCTGTGCACTGCCCTGGTGGTCTCCTGTCCCAACCAGGTGTTGACCCAGGCCTTGCAGGCTCACGCGCTCTGGAAAAAAGAGAGAAACCAATAAATGCTCCCCTGGGTGCAGAGTGCTGCTTTTTATTCCCTGAGGAGTTCTCCCTCCTCAGTCACTCCCAAATCAGATTTACCCTTTCTCTGACGGAAGATGACGTCCCCACTTTTTTCTCCCTCCCATCGCACTTTTCCAGCCCCTGCCAGTCCCCTCCCGTGACTCCATCAACATCAGCACCTGCCCTGTGTCCACCATCCATTGTGCAGTGAGTGAAAGGACCCAGGACTAAGGAACAAGACCCAGGAGGAAACTCAGTGCCCTTTCCTCCTCCTCTCAAGCCTGACCAGCCCTGACACAGTGAGAGGCCTCCCCAAAGAGAGGCCCTGGCCCTGTCTCCATGTCCTTCCAGGTCTGGGCCAAGTCACACACAGTCCTTCTCTTCCTGAGACCCCAGGCCCTCTTCACCTGCAGAGGCACCTGCATACCAGGGCAGGCCCTGCACGCTGTGGGTTCTGCCCTCCACCAGCAGCTCACTGTTCCTCCCCTCCCAGCTCTGAGCAGACAGCTCCTAACTAGAGATCCTATCAGGAAGCCCTGGGGCTCACAGGCCCTGCATGGAAATATGTGGCTGCCATGGAGTCTGCACCTGACCTGATGCTGGGGACCCCCTTGCTCAAGGAGGCCCAGCCTGCCCTCCCCATAACCTGCATTTGGGCTGTGCTTGCTCCTGCCTGTCCACTCAACCCTGGAAATGCAGCTCCACCCCAGGGCTGCTGCTTGGTGAGGCTGCAAGCCCTTCCTGTCCCATTCCTAACAGGGATTCCACCCAGGCCACTGCCATCGCAGCTCACAGGGGATCTTCTTCGCCTGTGGAGTAGGGGGTTTCTTCAGACCCCTCATCCTGAGGCTGCCTCTACGCACCCTCTGCACCTGGGGATTGCCACTGCCACAGGCACTGTCTCCCACATGGACCCTCTGAGAAACGAAGCCCCAAATTTGACTTCCTGTTCTATTCAACATCCTTTACAACATCAGTATTGGGGGAAATCCTATTAAGATTATCCAGCTGAAATTATGTTGATGGACACCAATACTTAAAGCAGGAATTTTGAGAAACTAACATGTAATTTTCATGCCTTTTTCTGGCCAATGTCCCAGTGACCTACGAGAAAACCTTTCCTGCCTACAGGGAACCAGAACTGACAATCCCTCTATAGGAGACACCGCAGGTGAGAGCAGGAGCAACCACAGACCTGCACTGCCCGTGCTGTGGTTGCCTCCTGGACGGGGCCCTCTTGCTGCAGGGCAGGGGATGAACCGTCCCATCTGCCCAGGCCTGAGTGGCCAACTAACTGTGCAATTAGGTTCAAGGATGAGTCACCACCACCTCACTGGCCAGACACACGGAAGTGGAGAAATGGCAGAAAGACTCGGGTTTCCTGGACACCCCAGACTCTCACTGTCCCCTGCACTGCCTCTGTCTTTGCAGAAACTCAAAACTTTCTGCTTGCTCTTTTCCTCTCCCCTCAAACAACCTGACTGTGGGGGAAATGATTCTGACTGTCTCTTATTGTAAACTTACCAGGCAGCGACTACACTAAGAACAAAAACATTGGCTCAGGAAAGGCAAGGTGAGGCCACAGAGCACAGAACAAAGCCCAAAAAACAGCCCACTGGGTACTATGACCCTCGGGGGCTGGAAAAAGTAACACCTGGACATGGGATGAAAACAGGGACCACAGCTGCCCTGACAGAGGGCTGGTCCCCACTCCCCAAATAGCCCAGGGACATCTGCTTATCAACTGGTCCATATTATCTGCAAGGAAACACAGGGAGACAGGGGCCATATGGTGGGAACCCAGAAAAAGCACGGTCTCGAGGGACCCAGAGGACGTGACACCCCTGAGACAGCTCCCAGATGAGGCATATGGGGAGCTGCAAAGTGGACAGAGGATGGCCATGTGCACTCAGGACTCTCCCTGTTACAAGGGGACCTCAAAGGGGCTGTACACATGGGGGCCCTCATTCTGGGCCTCGTGGGTCTTTTTCTTGATGTCCTCCTGATGGCTGGAGAAACAGGGGAGGGGGATGCAGAGAGGAAGGGACTAGAGGCACCACCTCTCCTTGGATTCCTCTCCAGTTTCTAGCCCTCCCTAGATCACATCTGCCTTTACTATTTGCTCCCTCTGAGATAGTGATCATCCAGGCCCTCAGCAATCAGCACGCAATTCCCAACTCACCCACCTGGATGCGACCTGGTAAGCCTGAGAGACAGAGACCGGGATGGGGACAAAGCAGGCACCACGGCCCTCCCTGCTGCCCACTCCTCACCTGCAGCAGGAGGAGGCCACAGCTGGATGTTCGAGGGCCTTGGCCCAGCCCTGGCTTGGGCAGGACTTAAGGGTGTAAAAAATAACCTACATGTGATGGTTCATTTTCAATTCTATGTGCCTTAGTATAGGTTTAAGCAGGCCACATGGTCATAAAGAGATAAAGAAGGAAAATGTACTAAGCCACCATCCCCCCTACTTCTTGCTTTCCCTTTCATGCACTGGCCAGGCACCTATCGGTTGGGGCCCCCTCAACGACCCCTTCCCCACCTCACCAAAAAATGTAGTTTAGGCTAGCTTGCAACATAGATAATTGTACCCTTTCTTATCAACTAAGTGCAGCCATTAGGGACATAAGTCAAATGTTTAAAGAGTCCTGAGACAATCACAATGCATTATGGGCTGCAACAAAATGCAGCAAAAAAAAAAACAAAACCCTAAGGAACATACTTGAAGTCTTAAACTACCAATAGGTGACATCCGGGAAGATCGTAAGTCCTTGGTACTCAGCTAATGAGCAACTGGGGGAGGGAGTTGCGCACTAGGGAATAAATTGTTGAAACTCTCCCTGGTGTGCCTGCATTCCAGACACCCAATATTGCAAAACCGTCACTAACACTCTCACTTTTGCTGTTCTCTGGGTCTCAGAGTCCATTCTTTGGGTTTGGATGGGTGCGTTTGTTTCTCATAATCTAGTTGCCTATATGGGGATCTCTGTGCTTGTGTGAAGTGAGTGAGACTCTGCCTGAAAGGAGAAACACGTACCAATTGATTCATGTGGCCCATTCTATCTGGATGTCCTGGCTCCTCGCAGAAGCCATAGACAAACTTGAAACTGTTATTCAGGACACAATGAAAGTGACATGGGGGTACGGGAGGGTGGGGTGGAAAGCGGGCACCACAGCAACCAGGCAACCTCATGTGTCTTGTGGAAGGCACTGAAAGTACTGTGGGGGTCACATCACCATGAGAGAGCTGAAGGATGTGGGGTGGTGTTGGGGCTGTCTATCGTCTCTACGTAATCCAGCAAACTGTCCCTGAGGGAGCCTGATGATGCCTAAAGAATGAATGAGATTACTCTAGGTATGGCCAAGTAGGAGTTATAATTGCAGCTTTTATGTTGTCTGGATATCACTGGTAGAGCAGATTAATAAATCCTTGGGCCCACAGTGTGCAGCTGCAGACTTGGTGAGTGCATTCCTTTCCACTCCAATTAGAAAGGGGATATGGAATGATTCACATTCATGTGGGATCCACAACACATTTATTTATCATTTGCCTCAGGGCTATTGTAACTCCTCTGCCCGCTATAGTATATAGTCTTAAGACTACACTAGACATACTGGATATCCTATAGGATATTAAATCAGCTCATTTCATTGACAATTTCATGTTTACTGGGGTGGATGAGCAGCAGGTAGAAACTGCACTGGAGTCCTTGGCAAAACAAGCACACTCCAGAAGGTGAAGGTAAACCTTACAGAGCTTCAAGAGTGGCCACTGAAGTGAAGTTTTATGGGTGAACAAGTGCCAAGTGTTTAGGGGAATGCAGGTGTGTCCCCTCCAAGGTAAAAGACAAACTGTTTCATCTTGCATCCTCACCAGAAGGAAGGAAGCACACTGCCTGATGAGCCTCTTTGAGTTCTGATGACACCACATTCCACATTTAGGTGTGTTGCTTTGGCCCACACTCTAGGTGACATAGGAGGAGGCCACCTTCATGTGGGGCCCACACAGGAAAGGACCTTGCAGCAGATCCAGGCCATGGTACAAGCAGCCAGCATCCCTCAGACCCCTTGGGGCTGGTGGTGCCAGTGGTGGGGAAAGATGCAGGATGGAGCTGAACCAAGCACCAGTGGGAGAGTCACAATGAAGGGCCTGGGATTCTGGAGTAAGATCATGTCATCCACAGCAGAGACATATGCCCCCTGTTAGAAGCAACATTTAGTGTTACTTGTCCTGATTTGATAGAATGCTTGACCATGGGACACCAAACAACAATGTGGTTCCAAGTGGCTGTGTGACCCACAAAGTCATAAATTGCACAGGCCCAACAGCATTCATCAACAGGTGAAAATGGTCCACCTGGGTTGAGCTTGAATCCCTTGCTGACACCCACAGAAAACACCCAAGTCTGAAGTGGCACTGAACTACCAAACAGACAAATGGCAGTTAGCCAGCCTTCACCATGGGTCAGCCCAGGCCTGGTAGGATGGGTGCATGAATGGAGCAACCACAGTGGCAGGCATGAGGCTATGTATGAGGCCAGCAGCACTGACTCTCCCAGCCCTACCAAGGTAGATCCAGCTACTGCCACTCCTGAATGTCAACTCGTCAGCATTTGGAGCCCATGATGTGCCCTAGTGGGGCGCTATTTCTTTAGGCGACCAGCCACTAAGTAACAAGTGACTACATTTAGCTACTTCCATCCTGGAAGGGCCAGAGGTTCATCTTCACAGAAATAGGCCCATATTCCATGGGTGGGTTTTCCTGTCTTGCTCTGACACTCAGCCAGCACCACTCTCCGGGTGCTGTTGACATTCCTGATCTGCAGGCTAGGCGGTGCTCCTAGCCCATTCTCTGCCTGAAGGACCCATTTGGCCTGGAAAGTTTTAAAGTTTCCATGGCTGTGGGTTCCACTAATCCTATCACCATCTGCACCACCCAGGAGCTACCAGCCACAAGGAATGCTGGACAGGTCTTCTATAGGCACAACTCAGTGCCAGCCTGGAGGAAGCACTCTGAAAGTGCCATCTTTCAGAACATGGTACATTGTTTGAATCAGAGATGTCTCTATGGTGCTGTGTTCTCAATGGAAGAACATGTAGGTCCAGAAATCAAAAGGTGGAAGCAGGTATGGCTCCATGTCCAATCTCTTAGATTCATCCACTAAGGTATTTTGCCTTTTTTATCTCCCAACAATGGGCTGTGCGGGTTAGGAGGTCCTGGTTTCCAAAGGAGGGTACCCTTAAAAGTAGACAAAAGAGAGCCCATTGAACTACACATTACTTTAGTCACCAGAGAAGTTTGGAGAGCATGTTCCCAGAGACCACATCGTGAGAAGAGGAGTGTCCTTCTCTCCAGGCCCAGGTAATAGGCCCTCATCCCCAGGAGGAGGCATGGCTGCTTTCACACAATGAGGGCAGAAGTGTGTGTGGAAACCAGACATCCACCTGGGAACCTTCTGGGTCCCCTTGCCCCATTGTAAGTGTGAGCAGAATCATCCAGCAATTTAGCCTGAGAGGATTTGATTTCCAAGAACCCAGACCCATCTGGGCAGCAGGTTTGAGTCACACTCCTGGGTAATCTCCCAAGGCCCTGCTCCTGTGCTCTGACATCCTCAGTAGCATTGGTATGGAGGCCCTGCTTCCCATGGGCTGTTCCCAGTCAGTGATGGCTCACACCAGTGACACTAAGGCAGGACATTCCTGGGAGACAGGGGACTCCTCTGATGGCCAATGGTGGCTCCGGGTCTCCTCCATGGCCTTGCTCAACTCTCCTTAGATTGCCTGTGGTCTAGGAAACATCCAGTAAACCTTCTCTCCTTCTGTCCATCACTGGGGGTCACACTTGCATCTCGGCCTGTTGCCTTTCCCAGGGTAACCTGACTCCCTCACAATATCGTCTGACAGGTATGTCCCCTAATAAAATGCTGTAACTTTAACCCCATGATGGCACTTGCTTTTTGGAGGATTTGGACTACAAAATCATTTTCATCTACACACCAGTGTCCTCTTATTCCAATTTGTAAAATCCTTTTGTTTATTCAACTTCTTCTACTTGCGTTGGCTCCATTTTGCTGGTATTTGTATTATGTTTTTGAGTTCGTCAATGTTTGTTGATTTAATCACTAAATTTGGGGGTAGTTTGTTATGCAGCAATGGATAACTAATGAAGCCCTCTTACATTTCCATTATTCTATACAGGTTACGTACATCTGCTTTATTTCCTTCCATTTTCATAATATTGGCCATACGTAGGGTTTCTAGTTTCTCAACGTGTATTCTTTTCTTTATTTTAGTTTCTTTTCTTTTTTGTTCCTTCCCTTTCTCCTTCCTTCTGTCCCTCCCTCCCTCTCTTTCTTCTCTATTTCCATTCAACCTCTCGCCTTCCCTCCTTTTTACTCTGCTTTCCTTCCCTTTTCTTCCCCTTCCCCTTCCTTCTTTTCTTCTTTCACTCCTTCTTCTCTTCCTCCTTCTTTCCCTCCCTTCCTCCATTTTTTCCTTTTTATTATGAAAATTTCCTAACATATAAAATAACCCTATGTGATTGTGCTATAAGTAAGCATTTTCTGAATCTGTATGCCAAAAGTACAATGCCACGGTATATGAGAAACAAGTAAACAACAGAAAGTTATTGACAGAATCTAAATAAAAATGCCTGCTATAATTCTGCAGCCAAGACAGCGGCTTTCAACTCAATTCCTTCAACTCAGTGTTTTCAGAACACATCATCAACATCAAGTATTACGCACTTATTTCAAAAGTTTAAGCCAGGCGTGGTGGTTCACGCCTGTAATCCCAGCACTTTGGGAGGCTGAGGTGGGTGGACCACCTGAGGTCAGGAGTTCAAGACCAGTCTGGCTAACATGGTAAAACCCCATTGTCGCAATCGGTTACTATGGGATATAATGAAGGGGGATGAACACAGAAATAAAGACAAAGACAAAAAGATCTGTTCTAAAAGAAGGGGTCGGGGGCTTCTTGCTTCTAGTGATTCCTTCTGGCAGCAAACTCAGTTTGTCAGTTTGCCAACATCCTGCTTTCATGAGAACAGTTTGCTGTTTGCTCATATAGCCTCCAGTGGTATACTGAGTTGATCACGACCCTCATTCTTTCGGCCTCCAATACCCCGACTCTACTAAAAATACAAAAATTAGCTGGGCGTGGTGGTGCATGCCTGTAATCCCAACTACTCGGGAGGCTGAGGCAGGAGAATTGCTTGAACTGGGAGGTGGAAGTTGCAATCAGCCAAGATAGCACCACTGCAGTTCAGCCTGGGCAACAGAGCAAGACTTCGTCTCAAAAATAAATAAATAAATAAATAAATAAATAAATAAATAAATAAATAAGTTTAAGTTGGCACAATCACTTTGGAAATCATATTATTATTATCTAGTATGGTTAAAGGCCATATAACATATCATCCAATCATCCCACTCCTAATCATACACTCTGCGGGCTTTCTTGCCTATGTGCCCAGGAGACATGCACACTAATGTTTATGGCAAGAACTGGAATCAGCTACATATATATCAATAGAAAACTAGTGCAATTATGGTATAACCATAAAATGTAAACCTTCAGCAGTAAAAACGAATGAATGACAGCCTCCCACACCACAGATAACTCCTATATGTAATGTGCATCATGGGAAAATAAATGCAGTAGGAATTTGCTGTACTGGAAGCTTAAAAACCATCAAAACTAACTAATATTTGGATTGGGGATATATCTATACTTATTACACAAATCCTTAAAGAAACTCTATAATTTCTTTATAGATATTATGAAAACAGCAAGGTACTGGTACAAAAACAGGCACATAGACCAATGGAACAGAACAGAGAACTCAGAAATAAGACCACACATCTAAATAAAGGAATAATAATCACAAGACTCAGGATGGAGTCTCCTTTTGGGGGATGTGAATGGGCAGCAGCCCAGGGTAGTTTACAGGTTCTGTGTTTTACAACAGTGCTGGCTAAAGTCCAAACAACATATCATCCATTCCCTTTTAAAATGGAACTTTTAAAATAAATGTGTAATACTTGATGTTGATGATGTGTTCTGAAAACATTGAGTTGAAAGAATTGACTTAAATTCCTAATTCCTTAAACAGATTTTTTCAAAGTAAAATATGCTTGGTTTTTATAAAAATGAAAGAGAAAAGAATACCAAAGTTCATTGCAAGCATCCTTAACAAGAACTACTTACATTGGAACAAAACCACACAGAATTGTAAGGAGCCATGTGACAGAGAGGACCACGAGGCCATGAAAACGGCTTTGGCTACAAATAGGTCATTTGATCCTTGGCTCACTGGCATCTCTGTAGATTTTCATGTATACAATCTTCAATCTGATGTGCAAGGTAATTCCATCTTGCAAAGGATTTGATGTTACATTCTACCACACATACCACTGAATTAAACTTTTACAGAATTGGAAATGCACATCATTGATCAAAATAAATGAAACAAGAAAAGAGTAGAAAGGAATAACCAGTGACGGAATAGCAATATGAATAGAAAACACAATAGGACTGCGAAAACAAAGAAACAAACAAAACCACTTCAGAAGCACCTGATGGCATGCTATTTAGAATCATAGTGGTGTCCAAATCACTTCTATCACATATCATTCAATATCACAACAAAAGATGTTAAGTGTATTATAGAATGCTGATCGAATAGCCAGTTATTGAAAAAACTAGTTTCTCAATTCGAGCTAACAATTTCGTGATACTGCATCAAACCGAAGTTATTGGCATGCTAGATGTGTTGACTGAAGTATGAGATTCACATCTTTGTAAATGAAAAGCAATCTGATTAAGCAATATTTTTCTAAGTGAAAGCAAGTTAATTAGAGAAAGAAACAAAGGATGGCTACTCCAGAGACAGAGCAGTACTTCTTTTTTTAAGTGTAGGCAAATGTTTTTTGGAAGACGATATTTCAATAAGAAAACTGGCACTAGGGGCATACTTCCCCTAAATTTGAGACATTTTAGACAAAACAAAGACTTATTTTCAAGGCATTATTTTTATAGCACTAAAGTCTTGGAACTATTTGATCTAGTTATTCTATGTTCTCAACTGTGTTAACTCATTGAAGAGAACATTGCTGTTATTAAAGATATTGGCAAGAAAAACTCAGAGATACTGTTGTATCTCCTTTCTCTGCCTCAAACTGTTTTCCCCTCAACACCTAAGGCTCTGTGATGTCTCAAACTTTTAGTCATTAATTTAAAAAGTGAAGCTTATCATAGAATTAGAAAAAAACTATTTTAAAATTCATATGGATCCAAAAAAGAGCTCCTATAGCCAGAAGAATCCTAAGCAAAAAGAACAAAGCTGGAGGCATGAGGCTACCTGACTTAAAACTATACTACAAGGCTACAGTAACTGAAACAGCAAGGTACTGGTACAAAAACAGGCACATAGACCAATGGAACAGAATAGAGAACTCAGAAATAAGACCACACATCTAAAACCCTGTGATCTTCAATGAGCCCGACAAAAATAAGCAATGGGCAAAGGATTCCCTATTTAACAAATGGTGCTGGGAGAACTGGCTAGCAATCTGCAGAAAATTGAAACTGGACTCCTTCCTTACACCTTGCCCAAAAATTAACTTAAGATGGATTAAAGACTTAAATGTAAATCCCAAAACTATAAAAACCCTGGAAGAAAATCTAGGCAATACCAATCAGGACATAGGGATGGGCAAAGATTTTATGATGAAAATGCCAAAAGCAACTGCCACAAAAGCAAAAATTGACAAATGGGATCTAATTAAACAAAAGAGCTTCTGTAGAGTGAAAGAAACTATTATCAGAGTGAACAGACATCCTACAGAATGGGAGAAAATTTTTGCAGTCTGTCCACCTGACAAAGGTCTCATATTCAGAAGCTACAAAGAACTTAAGCAAATTTACACCAAAAAAAAAGCTTCATTAAAAAGTGGACAAAGGACCTAAACAGACACTTCTCAAAAGAAGACATACATGTGGCCAATAAACATAAGAAAAAAAGCTAAACATCACTGATCATTAGAAAAATGCAAATCAATACTACAATGAGATACCATCTCATGCCAGTCAGAATGGCAATTATTAAAAGTCAAGAAACAACAGATGCTGGCAAGGTTGCAGAGAAATAGGAAGGCTTTTACACTGTTGGTGGAAATGTAAATTGGTTCAACCATTGTGGAAGACAGTGTGGCAATTCCTCAAAGATTTAGAACCAGAAATACCATTTGACCCAGCAATCCCATTAAAGGTTATATACCCAAAGGAATATAAATCATTCTATTATAAAGGTATATGCATGTGTATGTTCATTGCAGCACTATTCACAATAGCAAAGACATGGAATCAACCCAAATGCCCACAAATGAGGAACTGGATAAAGAAAATATGGTACATATACACCACGGAATATTATGCAACCATAAAAAGGAATGAGATCAAGTCCTTTGCAGAGATACGAATGAAGCTGGAAGCCATTATCCTCAGCAAACTCACACAGGAACAGAAAACCAAACACCGCATGTTCTCACTTATAATTGGGAACTGAGCAATGAGAATACATGGAACCAGGGAGAGGAAAAACACACAATGGGGCCTGTTCGGGGAGGGCAGTGATGGGGGGATCATTAGGAAAAATAGCTAATGAATGCCAGGGTTAACACCTAGGTGATGGGTTGATAGGTACAGCCAACCACCATGGCACACGATTACCTATGTAACAAACCTGCACATCCTGCACACGTACCCTGGAACTTAAAATTAAATTAAATTAAATTAAATTAAAAGATAAGCTTAAAGCATTAAAGAAAAATAATTAGATAAAAGAAGTCTTTGATTTACAAAATCCTGAAACAATAGTTTTAATTTTGCTTTTAACATATACGTAAGTCCTTTAGTACAGCTCTCTTTCAGAGGTGCAGCTTAATTCCCTCTCTTAAGTGTGGCTTGGACTTAATGATGCACTTCTGATATGGCCTGTCTCTGTGTTCCCACCCAAATCTCATTTTGAATTGTCATGCGAATTCTAATCCCCACATATTGGCGGAGGGACTTCATGGGAGGTGATCGAATCATGGGGATGATTCCCCCAAGCTGTGGAAGTCAGCGGTTGAACCTATTTTTCCTAATGCTCCCCTCAGCACTGCCCTCCCATAATAGGCTCCAGTGTGTGATGTTCCTCTCCCTGTGTCCATGTGTTCTCATTGCTCAGCTCCCAGTTACAAGTGAGAACATGTGGTGTTTGGTTTCCTGTTCCTGTGTTAGCTTGCTGAGGATAATGGCTTCCAGCTTCATCCATATCCCTGCAAAGGACTTGATCTCATTCCTTTTTATGGCTGCATAATATTCCATGGTGTATATGTACCATATAAGGGGATTTTCCCCACTTCACTCTGCATTTTTCTCTCCTGCCACCATGTGAAGAATGACATGTTTGCTTCCCCTTCTGCCATGATTGTAAGTTTCCTGGGGCAGCCTCCTCAGCCATGCACAACTGTGAGTCAACTAAACCTCTTGCCTTTATAAATTACCCAGTCTCAGGTATTTCTTTATAGCAGTGTGAGAACAGACTAATACAACTTCTAACTGATAGAGTAATGTTGACATAACAGTTTGTGACTCTGGGTGTAGAATGTGAAACTCACTATGGCTTCCACCTTCTCTCTCTCTGTCTCTGGGATCATGAGCTCTTGGGGACCCAGCTGCTGTGCCATAAGCAGCCCTGCAGGAAGGTCCATGTGGCTAAGAACTGAGGCCCCCTGGGACCAGACAGCAAGGAACTAGGCTTTTCCAACAGCCATGTGACTAAGCCATGTTTCACATGAATCCCTAGCCCCAGTGAAGCCCTCAGACGATGCAGCCCTAGGCTGACAACTGGACTGCAACCTTGTGAGAGGCCCTGAGCCAGAAGCACTCAGGAAAACCGCTCCTGGATTCCTGACCATTAGAAACTGTGGGAGATGATGAATATTTGTTGTTTTGAGCTGCTAAGTTTTACATAATTTGTTACACAATAGTAAATAACTAATACATTTTCACAAGAGAGGATGTATTATTACACATTAATTTGCATTTGCTCTAAATTTATCATCATCATATTACTATTTTTGAGACAGGGTCTTGCTCTGTCACCCAGGCTGGAGTGCAGTGGCATGATCACCATGCACTGCAGTGTCGACCTCCTGGGCTCAAGGGATCCTCTGATCTCAGCCTCTTGAGTAGCTGGGACTATAGGCATGAATTAACATGCCTGGCTAATTTTCTAATTTTTTTGTAGAGATGGGGGTTTCACCATGTTGCCCAGGCTGATCTTGAACTTCTGGAGTCAAATCTGCCTTCCTCTGCCTTCAACAGTGCTAGGATTGCAGGCGTGAGCCACCACACCTGGTCTAAATTAACTATAAGATATTAAACATGTAACTTAGTTTTAAAAGGAAAGGAGAATTTCCACGGCTGAAGAGGATGTATTTTATTACTATTCACAATGATCACTTTACTTGAACTTCAATTTCCAACTGTGTCCAAATTAAACACAAAAGGAAGATCCAGCCCTTCCTGGGCTGATTCTATCATGGCTCCCAACAACCAGCTCCTGGTCATTCACCTTCCCCCAGTTATTCAACCAACTCTAATGTAGGTGCTGCTGTGAAGGGATTTAGCAGATATAATTAAGGGCCTCAATTAGTTGACTTTAGGCTGAGTTTATCCTGCTTGGACTGTCCTAATAAGGAGAGTCCTTGAAAGGACTGGGTTCTTCCTGAGCATAGAGATTCACAGTGTGAGAGGGATTCAGCATAAGGGGTTTCCTCCACTGTGGGCTTTGAAAATGAAGGGGCTGTGTAGGAAAGGACGCTGGTGGGCACCATGCATTGAGTGCAGCCCTCCCTGTTCTCTACAGTGACAGCCAGTGAGGAACAGGGACCTCAGTCTTACAACTGCCAGAAACTGCATTCTGCCACCTCTGTATAAGCCTGAAGGAGGATTCAAAATGAAAACACAGGTTTAGGAAGACCGGAACAGAGATTCCATCCACATCATGCCCAGATTTCTGATTAAGAAACTATAAACAACAAATGAGTGTTATTTGGCCAGGCGTGGTAGTGCACACCTGTATCCTAACATTTGAGGAGCTGACACAGGAGGAACACTTGCAGCCAGGACTTTGAGACCAGCTAGGATAATATAGTGAGACACTCGTCTCTACATTTCTTTTTAATTAGCTGGGCATGGTGGCACTTGCCTGCAGTCCTAGCTACTCTGAAGACTGAGGTAGGAGGGTCCCTTGAGCCCAGGAATTTGAGGCTGCAGTGAGCCATGATCATGTGACTGCACTTCATCCTGGATGACAGAGGGAGACTCTGTCTCTAAAAATAAATCAATGAATACAATAAATGGGTGCTGTTTAAAGCCAATGTTTGTGACAATTTGTTACCCAGTCTTATAAAATTCATACACAGACTCAAAAGACTCCTGGAATGAACTGATGAATTGATACGCACACTAGTTACATAAAATAAAATCTTTTTTAACTTTTTTAGTGTTTTACATTTTATAATTTTCTGTGATGCAATTTAATACACTCATAATTCATTCATTCAGCCAAGAAAAAATAATTTAGTCCCTACAATGAACCAGGTATGCCCTCATATGCTCAAGTGCCTGACATTCTAGAAGCTTCACAAGAATGAGGTGGAGCCACTGGAGTGTTTTAGGTGGAGAAATGACACACTCTGACTCATAGTAGCAGGACCACTATAGAGAGAACACTCATGTAGCAGGTCATGGAACAGTGCTAGAGCCACAGTTCAGGAGTGAGAGGGTGGTGGGGATTAAGGGGAGAAGAGGGCCTGAGGGATGAGAGGGACGGAGGGAAGGGCTGGAGGAGCAGGAGGTGAGGAAAAGGAGCAGAGGAAAGAATTCCAAAGCAGCAGAACTCTTAGGTTTAAACACATTGTTTTATAGATTTTAATACATCCATCTACAGAGCTTCGCTGGGTGTTCTTTGCAGTTGGCCTTTAATATCTTATGTGGGTCTGCCTAGAAACTAATTGTTTTTTATGTTAATCAGGTTTAAAAAATACTAAGTATTCCTAAAAAATATACACTCCACTCACATGTGGATACTTCCTAAAAACAGGCAGTGCGTGAGCACTAGTGAGGGGCATTGTGACTGCACTGAACACTTACAACTGTGAGGTGAATAAAGTTTGTGCTGGCTCCTGGTTGCAACATATAGTAACATAGTGTGGTACTTTGTCTTGAGGAGATGTCCTGGACTCACACGGAAACTTAGGGCTACGGAATGAAGGTAAATTTAAAATAAAACAAGCGGGAGTCACAGATACACTGTCTGGGAAAGTGAAACTTAAGAGCTTTGTGAGTCGTGTTGTAATGCTTTTAGATGCATTTATATACCAACAGGCCAAAGTCACATTTTTTACCGATTAGATTCCTGATCATTCAGGGGTTACCAAGGTTATGCTACCCACTATAGTTAATAAACAAAAAGCAAACTGGTCTCTATTCTATCTCATGCACTCAGGCACAACTTTTCCAGATTTAAGGGGGAAAAAAAACCCTGTCTTTACACCTACAATCCCAGGGCGAGCTCACTCTCTGGCAACAAGCTCCCTGGGGTGATTTTTCTTCTAGAAGAGTACAGGAGGACAGGCAAGGAGTGGGAGGCAGGGAGTCCAGTTCAGGGACAGGGATTCCGGGATGAAAAGTGAAGGGAGAGGGCCAGGGACCTTGCCGAGGGTTTCTCCCTGGTTTCTCAGACAGCTCCTGGGCCAAGACTCAGGGAGACACTGAGACAGAACGCTTGGCACAAGAGTAGCGGGGTCAGGGCGAAGTCCCAGGGCCTCAAGCGTGGCTCTCAGGGTCTCAGGCCCCACAGGCGGTGTATGGGTTGGGGAGGCCCCGCGTTGGGGATTCTCTCCTCCTTCTCCTAACCTGTGTCGGGTCCTTCTTCCTGGATACTCACCGGGCGGCCCCAGTTCTCACTCCCATTAGGTGACAGGTTTTTAGAGAAGCCAATCAGCGTCGCCGCGGTCCTGGTTCTAAAGTCCTCGCTCACCCACCCGGACTCATTCTCCCCAGACGCCAAGGATGGTGGTCATGGCGCCCCGAACCCTCTTCCTGCTGCTCTCGGGGGCCCTGACCCTGACCGAGACCTGGGCGGGTGAGTGCGGGGTCAGGAGGGAAACAGCCCCTGCGCGGAGGAGGGAGGGGCCGGCCCGGCGGGGGCGCAGGACTCGGCAGCCGCGCCGGGAGGAGGGTCGGGCGGGTCTCAACCCCTCCTCGCCCCCAGGCTCCCACTCCATGAGGTATTTCAGCGCCGCCGTGTCCCGGCCCGGCCGCGGGGAGCCCCGCTTCATCGCCATGGGCTACGTGGACGACACGCAGTTCGTGCGGTTCGACAGCGACTCGGCGTGTCCGAGGATGGAGCCGCGGGCGCCGTGGGTGGAGCAGGAGGGGCCGGAGTATTGGGAAGAGGAGACACGGAACACCAAGGCCCACGCACAGACTGACAGAATGAACCTGCAGACCCTGCGCGGCTACTACAACCAGAGCGAGGCCAGTGAGTAACTCCGGCCCAGGGAGCAGATCACGACCCCCACCTCCATGCCCCACGGACGGCCCGGGTACTCCCGAGTCTCCGGGTCTGGGATCCACCCCGAGGCCGCGGGACCCGCCCAGACCCTCTACCTGGGAGAACCCCAAGGCGCCTTTACCAAAATCCCCGCGGGTGGGTCCGGGCGAGGGCGAGGCTCGGTGGGCGGGGCTGACCGAGGGGGTGGGGCCAGGTTCTCACACCCTCCAGTGGATGATTGGCTGCGACCTGGGGTCCGACGGACGCCTCCTCCGCGGGTATGAACAGTATGCCTACGATGGCAAGGATTACCTCGCCCTGAACGAGGACCTGCGCTCCTGGACCGCAGCGGACACTGCGGCTCAGATCTCCAAGCGCAAGTGTGAGGCGGCCAATGTGGCTGAACAAAGGAGAGCCTACCTGGAGGGCACGTGCGTGGAGTGGCTCCACAGATACCTGGAGAACGGGAAGGAGATGCTGCAGCGCGCGGGTACCAGGGGCAGTGGGGCGCCTCCCTGATCTCCTGTAGACCTCTCAGCCTGGCCTAGCACAAGGAGAGGAGGAAAATGGGACCAACACTAGAATATCGCCCTCCCTCTGGTCCTGAGGGAGAGGAATCCTCCTGGGTTTCCAGATCCTGTACCAGAGAGTGATTCTGAGGGTCCGTCCTGCTCTCTGGGACAATTAAGGGATGAAGTCTCTGAGGGAGTGGAGGGGAAGACAATCCCTGGAAGACTGATCAGGGGTTCCCTTTGACCCCACAGCAGCCTTGGCACCAGGACTTTTCCCCTCAGGCCTTGTTCTCTGCCTCACACTCAATGTGTGTGGGGGTCTGACTCCAGCTCCTCTGAGTCCCTTGGCCTCCACTCAGGTCAGAACCGGAGGTCCCTGCTCCCCCGCTCAGAGACTAGAACTTTCCAAGGAATAGGAGATTATCCCAGGTGCCCGTGTCCAGGCTGGTGTCTGGGTTCTGTGCTCCCTTCCCCACCCCAGGTATCTGGTTCATTCTTAGGATGGTCACATCCAGGTGCTGCTGGAGTGTCCCATGAGAGATGCAAAGTGCTTGAATTTTCTGACTCTTCCTTTCAGACCCCCCCAAGACACACGTGACCCACCACCCTGTCTTTGACTATGAGGCCACCCTGAGGTGCTGGGCCCTGGGCTTCTACCCTGCGGAGATCATACTGACCTGGCAGCGGGATGGGGAGGACCAGACCCAGGACGTGGAGCTCGTGGAGACCAGGCCTGCAGGGGATGGAACCTTCCAGAAGTGGGCAGCTGTGGTGGTGCCTTCTGGAGAGGAGCAGAGATACACGTGCCATGTGCAGCATGAGGGGCTGCCGGAGCCCCTCATGCTGAGATGGAGTAAGGAGGGAGATGGAGGCATCATGTCTGTTAGGGAAAGCAGGAGCCTCTCTGAAGACCTTTAACAGGGTCGGTGGTGAGGGCTGGGGGTCAGAGACCCTCACCTTCACCTCCTTTCCCAGAGCAGTCTTCCCTGCCCACCATCCCCATCATGGGTATCGTTGCTGGCCTGGTTGTCCTTGCAGCTGTAGTCACTGGAGCTGCGGTCGCTGCTGTGCTGTGGAGAAAGAAGAGCTCAGGTAAGGAAGGGGTGACAAGTGGGGTCTGAGTTTTCTTGTCCCACTGGGGGTTTCAAGCCCCAGGTAGAAGTGTGCCCTGCCTGGTTACTGGGAAGCACCATCCACACTCATGGGCCTACCCAGCCTGGGCCCTGTGTGCCAGCACCTTCTCTTTTGTAAAGCACCTGTGACAATGAAGGACAGATTTATTACCTTGATGATTGTAGTGATGGGGACCTGATCCCAGTAATCACAGGTCAGGAGAAGGTCCCTGGCTAAGGACAGACCTTAGGAGGGCAGTTGGTCGAGGACCCACATCTGCTTTCCTTGTTTTTCCTGATCCCGCCCTGGGTCTGCAGTCACACATTTCTGGAAACTTCTCGAGGGTCCAAGACTAGGAGGTTCCTCTAGGACCTCATGGCCCTGCCACCTTTCTGGCCTCTCACAGGACATTTTCTTCCCACAGATTGAAAAGGAGGGAGCTACTCTCAGGCTGCAAGTAAGTATGAAGGAGGCTGATCCCTGAGATCCTTGGGATCTTGTGTTTGGGAGCCCATGGGGGAGCTCACCCACCCCACAATTCCTCCTCTGGCCACATCTCCTGTGGTCTCTGACCAGGTGCTGTTTTTGTTCTACTCTAGGCAGTGACAGTGCCCAGGGCTCTAATGTGTCTCTCACGGCTTGTAAATGTGACACCCCGGGGGGCCTGATGTGTGTGGGTTGTTGAGGGGAACAGGGGACATAGCTGTGCTATGAGGTTTCTTTGACTTCAATGTATTGAGCATGTGATGGGCTGTTTAAAGTGTCACCCCTCACTGTGACTGATATGAATTTGTTCATGAATATTTTTCTGTAGTGTGAAACAGCTGCCCTGTGTGGGACTGAGTGGCAAGTCCCTTTGTGACTTCAAGAACCCTGACTCCTCTTTGTGCAGAGACCAGCCCACCCCTGTGCCCACCATGACCCTCTTCCTCATGCTGAACTGCATTCCTTCCCCAATCACCTTTCCTGTTCCAGAAAAGGGGCTGGGATGTCTCCGTCTCTGTCTCAAATTTGTGGTCCACTGAGCTATAACTTACTTCTGTATTAAAATTAGAATCTGAGTATAAATTTACTTTTTCAAATTATTTCCAAGAGAGATTGATGGGTTAATTAAAGGAGAAGATTCCTGAAATTTGAGAGACAAAATAAATGGAAGACATGAGAACTTTCCACAGTACACGTGTTTCTTGTGCTGATTTGTTGCAGGAGAGGAGAGTAGATGGGGCTGCGCCCAGTGGGTGCTCAGGCCACCATGAACTTTATGTGGTCACTGCTCAGCTGGGTCATCTTTGCTGCTCCATTGTCCTTGGCCCTTCAGTAGAACCTTGTCCCACCAGGACCTGTGATCACATAGACTTGGATATCACCTAGGATGGTCCCTACACGTAGAAGTTCCTGTGTTATCAGAAGAAAAATTTTCAGACCCCTACACCTCTTCCCCTCCTTCCAGGTCTCTTTCAATTGTATTTTCCATCTTTTTTTTTTTTTTTTTTTTTAGATGGAGCCTCACTCAGGCTGGAGTGCAGTGGTGCAATCTCAACTCATTGCAACCTCCACCTCCCGGGTTCAAGCAATTCTCCTGTCTCAGCCTCCCTAGTAACTGGGAGTACAGGCACATGCCACAATACCCAGCTAATTTTTTGTATTTTTAGTAAAGACGGGATTTCACCATGTTAGCCAGGATGGTCTTGATCTCCTGACCTTGTGATCTGCCCGCCTCTGCCTCCCAAAGTGCTGGGATTACAGGTGTGAGCCACCATGCCTGGCTTCCCCAACCTTCTTAAAGGAAGCAGATTCTGAAACTTCCCGAGAGGAGAGGTCCCAGAGTTTTTCATTGTAGTTTACTTTCTGTTGGAACTCCTCTTCTGCTCTCTCTCCTACTCTTCTTCCTGCCCTGAGTTGTAGTAATCCTATTGCTGGCTCCAAACCAAACTCATGGATTTGTAAAGCAGAGTCTAATTTAGATTCATATGTGGTTGGATAATTGGAGCCATAAGCCTTGGGTTATCTTTCCTCAAGAGACAAATATGGTTGTGTGCTGCAGTGTGCAGGAGGATTGGTGTGGGAGGAGGGAGGGAGGGAGGACACAAAAGCAGCCCTGGTGAGAAAAGCACTGGTGCATTTATATCCACATGAGATAATATTGTTCCACAGCGGCTACAAAATGACATTTGGCCTGAGTCTACATTAATAAAGATATTGCCTTTAGAATAGGGGGGCGCACTACAGTAATCATCCATTCAAGTGGCATTTGTTGTCTGCTAGGTATTTGACTGTTTTTGCATTTAGAAAACATCGTTAAAGTAAAAACAGAAAAATTTCTGGCCTTGTCGTGTATACATTCTAGATGCAAGCTTGTCCAACCTGCAGCTCTCGGGATGCATGTGGCCCAGGACAGCTTTAGAATGTGACGATTTTTTTGCTTATCTGTAGTGGCAGATATCATGAAAATTATCCATGCATTTTTTTTCTTTTTTCTATTTTTTTCTGCTCATCAGCTGTCATTAGTGTATTTTTTGTGTGGCTCAAGACAATTCTTCTTCCTATGTGACCCAGGGAAGCCAAAAGATTGGACACCTCTGCAGGCAGATGATATAGTATAAGCAGAGTAGGAACAGAAAATGCTTGAGTTAGAAGGTGGCAAGTGCTGTGTGGCAGGTGATCCAGAGGGTGGGCTGTGGGTACAGGGAGGTGGCTGTTGTGCTGGGTGGTCAGCATGGGCCTTGTTGCAAATGTGACCTTGGAGTAAAGATTTGAGGGATGTGAGGAGTTGTCTACACGGATGTCTCAGAAAGTTCTTTTCAGGCAGGGAAACCTTCAGTGCAGATGCACTAGGGCAGGAAATTGTCTGTGTTCCTGGAAGGAGGAAGAGGCCAGAAGTGTTGAACAGAGAGAAACTGAAATGAAGTCAGAGGTGTGCCCAGAGCAGGTTGCCCTGGAGGGTGTGGGAAGGATGTTGACCTTTGCTCTGAATGACATGGGGAGTTAGAGGACAGTTTTGGAAAGTGGGACATGGTAGGACTTATCCTTTGAAAGCTTCTCTCTGGCTGCTGTGCTGAGAACAGAATTGAGAGGTGGGGGACTAGTGAGGCAGTGGGAAAAACGGTGGGAAAGGAGTGCAGTATTCCAGGATGGAGACGTCGCTTACCTTGACTGGGGTGTGAGCAGGGGAAATAGTGGGAAGTGATGGGATTCTGGATGAATTCACAGCACTTGCTAATGGATTTATCTGTGGTGTGAGAAAGAAGAATCAAGGACACCCACAGTATTGGACTGAGTGAGCAGAAGGGTGGAGCTGCTGTCAATGGAGATGGGGAGACTCTGGCAGGAGCATACAGAGGAGAGGGCATTGCAGGCATCCAGTGGAGGTGACATCTACGAGGAATGAAGGTGAGGGGCCCAGATGCCTCTGCAGCTACAGATTCATCATCCAATCACTATCCTACTTCCACCACCCCTGTGTCTCAGAGCCAGAGCATTGATTCTCCCCTGTGCTGTCTGCACAGGTAGGTGAAAGTCAGGGAAGTTATGGTCTGCTGTTGGTTATAATAAGTCACAGATTATTGTGCTTTCTCAGATAATTAAAGAAATAATAAGAGAATTTGTAACTAGAACACTTACTGAGAAGACCACAATAATGCAAAGTTTTTTATTCATCTAAAGAAGGCAACAGAAGAAAAATAGTTGAGCAAGAAAGATAATATTAGAAGGCAGTAAATGAAAATGGACAGACTTAAACCCAATGAGGTCAACAATGACATTAAACGTAATGGACTCAGACACTCCAATTACAAGACAAATAGTGCAGAGGGATAAAAATAAATAAGTAAATAAATAAATAACCGTAGGCTATTTACAAAAGCCATAATTTCAGTAGAAGGTACAGAAAAGTTGAAAGTAAAAAGATAGAAAAGAAATACCAGACAAACATTCATGAAAGACCACATGGAGATGCCATTTAGAAAAATTACAGCACATGAGTCTCCTGAGACATAGAGTACATGTAGACAGCTCACAGTGTCTTTTTCCTTTTTTTCAGAGACAGGGTCTGTTGCCCAGGTTGAAATGCAATGGTGATATCAGACCTTACTGTAACCTCAAACTCCTGGGCTGAAGCAATTCTCCTGCCTCAGCCTTCTGAGTAGCTAGGACGAGAAGCCTGTGCCGCCACACCTGGCTATAATGTCTCATTTTCTCATTTGCTGTGGTGTGAACAAGGAAACAATATCATACCATGTATTTGACTTGCAGCAGGTACACAACAAATGTCAGGTGAATGAAGAAATAAAACCACTTAGTAATCCAAGCCATATCCACATTTACATTTTACAGGTGAGGAGCAACATCCCAGACAAGTAAAGTAAAATAAATTGATTTACATCATCCAGAGCAGAATCGAGAACACATTCCCTGTGCTAAAGGAATCAGAACTCTACTAGGGGTCATAGCAGATATCATGCAAGTCACATATGTTAATTACTAGAACTGGAGTTGATACATTTTGAGATATACTAAACCAAGGGTTTGGAAGGATTAACTGAATGCAGAAATAAAGGAAGAAAATAGATTTGTTTAAAAGATGGTTAGAATCTTTAAAGAAACAACATCTTTTTAAAGTGGCCTTATGTGGACCAAAGCAGAGATGAGCTCAAATGTCAGGTGGGAAAATGCTTGACTAAATGCAGCTCTAGACCCAAGGGAGACCTAAAAATCCTGGGACATTTTCGGTTGTCACGTGGGGATTGGTGGGAGGGGG
The DNA here is from genome assembly GCF_000001405.40 of Homo sapiens. NCBI lineage: Eukaryota > Metazoa > Chordata > Mammalia > Primates > Hominidae > Homo > Homo sapiens. The sequence goes on from NC_000006.12 coordinate 29,834,710, forward strand.
TGAGTGGGGTGCTGCTGGCAAACCTCCCACAATGCACAGGACAGACCACAAGGGATTCTCTGTCTCAAATTCTTAATAGGGCTGCTGTTGAGAAACCCGCCCGAGAGGTAAGTGCTGTAATGTCCTCACCATTTCACAGATTAAGAAACTGAGGCACCAGGAAGAAAAGTGTCAGTAGGACCAGAGCTGAAGGTTGAATCCAGGCCACCTGGCTGCAGGGTCTTGGCTTCCCTGGTTAAGTCAGGGACCCAGGAGCCCACCACAAACAATCCCAGCTGCGCGGTGCCTTCATGGTCTGTGGCGCCCCCTGGTGTTGACACTGGGCCTGTGGCCAAATGAGGCTTGAGGGAAAAGGAAAACGGGTTTAGGTAGCGGGATCTCCTTCAGGCTCTCCAGATTTCAAGCCATGACTTACACTCAGAAAAAATAATGTTCACCTTAATTATCTCCCCAACCCTGTTTTTCCCAGTTCCGGCCAGTACCCTCCCTCGACTCCATCAACATCAGTACCTGCCAGATGCCCAGCACCCACCATGTGAGGAGTGAAAATGCCCCAGGACTAAAGGACAAGATGACGTTCCACCCCAGCCATCCCGCCCCTCCTAGAGCTCTAGCTCTGTGCATTTAGTGCTTAGGCTTTTAACCTGGGGTCCGCGAACCCACTTTCCCATGACACTGCGTGCAGAAGTGATGTTACATGCACACATGACTTCATTACAGGACATTGGATATTAATATTCATCCGATCAACTGGGGGCCCAAGATACCACTCTTCCCCCAACAGTTTGTGATCCTCTGAATTAAAGAAAGGGCAGAGATTGAGGGAGGCCCTAACTCCAAATCTTCTACCACTTCTAGGGAAGTGCTGAAAAGAAGTGCAAGGTACTCAACCCGCTCTGGGAATACAGCAGGAAAGCAGAGTGTTCATGGATTTCGAATTCCATCAAAGAAATACAACTTTGGCAAAATATCCAAGTCACTTTTCTAAGCCCCAGGCAGCAGCTCAAAACAAACAACACCAAAAACAAAACAAAATCTCGGCCCAGGTGAAATCATTGAAGACATAAAACTTTGTGAGACCTGTATTTAGAGCGAAGGACAATTCAATTTAGGGCTGCAGCAGAAAACCCCTACATCATATTGGGTTTTTCCTCATCATGAAGTTCTCCTGGAGGGACCTTCTCCCTTCAGCAGTGCATAGTGAGGCCATTTCTGTGTAAAAAGATAGAATCTCCTTGGATTCCTGATGTTTACATTTACTACTCACTTCTTTGACTTTGTAGATGCCAACTTCACATTCAACATCTTTCAATTATTTTCTTTACTTTGTCTAAGCAGAGAATTTAAACTTGTTTCTGAAGCAGAAAACCAGGGACTGGTTATTTGAGCTATCACCCCACTCTGTGGCTCTCTTATGCAATAAGCATAAGAGATTGTGGGCCAACAGAATTTGTAGCAAGATAAACATAAACCCTTCATTTCAGCCTATGTTTCTGTTTGTCTGGTGATGTTCCAGTCTTGCTCCAGTCTTAACATTTTAAAAAGTATAATTTTACTTAAATTTCATTTTATAGGAAGTCATATGTATTCATTTCTGTTAGGTTTCTCAGTGAAAGCCTCCTCAAAACAACTGTGAAGTAAAGACATGTAAATAAATTCATGGTGCTCCCATGTATTCGTGCTCATTGCATCTTACAAATGTGTCAGCCCCACTGCAACAGATGGTGCATCAACAAATGGTGCTGGAAACCTGGATATCCACATGCAAAAGAATGATGCTGGACAAAATTTATGCCCTTCCATTACACCCTTTTCAAAAATTAAGTCAGAATGCCTTAAAGAACTAATCTTAAGAGTTAAACCTGTAAAACTCTTAAAAGAAAATACTGAGGGAAAGTCTTATGGTCATTAGAATTGGTAGTGGTTTCTTGGCTGGTGACCAAAAGTACAAGCAATAAAAGGAAAATGACAAATAAGACTTCATCAAAATGTAAAAACTTTTTTGCATCAAAGGACGCTATTAAGAGGTGAAAAGAGGCTAGGCGCAGTGGCTCACGCCTGTAATCCCAGCACTTTGGGAGGCCAAAGTGGGTGGATCACCTGAGGTCAGGAGTTCGAAATCAGCCTGGCCAACATGGCAAAACCCTGTCTCTACTAAAAATACAAAAATTAGCCGGGCGCAGTGGTGGGCACCTGTAATCCCAGCTACTCGGGAGGCTGAGGCAGGAGAATCGCTTGAACCTGGGAGGCAGAGGTTGCAATGAGCTGAGATTGCACCATTGCACTCCAGCTGGGGCATCAGAGAGAGACTCCGTCTCAAAAAAAAAAAAAAAAAAAAAAAAAAAAAAAAAAAAAAGTGAAAATAAAAGAAACTGCATAGAATAAGATAAAATATTTGCCAATCACATATCTGATAAAGAATTAATATCCAGACTACATACAGAACTACAACTTAACAATAGCAAAACAATCTCATTCAAAAATGGGTAAAAGACATGAATAGACAATTCTCCAGAGAAGATACACAGTAAGGACATAAAAATAAGGAATTCCAATAAGGACATGAAAATATGCTCAGCTTCACTAGTCCAGGTGTTGGTGAGGATGTGGAGAAAATGGAATGCTTGTGCACTGCTGCTGAGAGTGAACAACAGTGCAGCCATCATGGAAACAGGATGACGCTTTCTCAAGAAGGTAAACATAGAATTTCCATATGAAGCAACAATTCCACTTTTGGGTGTATACCCCCCAAAAATTGAAAGCAGGTATGCACACAGATAATTGTACAGTCATGCTCATAGCAGTGCTATTCCCAATAGCCAAAAGGTGGACGCAACCCAAGTGTCCATCAGAGGATGATTGGAAAAACAAAATGTGGTGCATATACACATGGAATATTAATCAGCCTTAAAAGTGAAGAATATTTGGATTGGATGGAACCTTGAAAACACGCTAAATAAAATAAGCCAAAAAAAAGGCAAATATGATATTTCACTTATATGAGGCACCTAGAATAAGCAAATTCACAAAAACAGAAAGTAGAATACAGGTTACCAGGGGCTGAAGGCAGGAACAATGGGCAGCTGTCATTTAATGGGTACAGTCTCTGTTGGGATGATGAAAATGTTCTGAAAATGCATGTTGGTGTTTGTGTAACCACCATCAATTGTAAATGTGCTTAATGCCAATGAATTGTACACTGAAAAAAATTGTTAGAAGGTAAATCGTATAGTATGTGTGTTTTACCACAATTTTAAAAATATATATCAACACCAAATCCAATCACTTCTCACTCCTCTGCCACCTCCACCCCAGAACCATCCTCACTAGGATAGAAAACCGGAAGGGCCTTCCAGCTGGGCTGCCTGCTGACTCTCATGCCCACTGTCCATCACCCACACAACAGAGAGAGCGTGCCTTTCCAATGGGAATTAGGGCATATCCTATGAACGCTCCAGCTCCTTCCCTTCTTAGGCACAAGGAAACCCCAGTTTCCCACCATTTCCTATGCACTCCTTATCACAGGGTCCCCTCTGGCCACTTTGGCCTCATCCCATTACTCTCAGCCTAGCTCATTCTTCTCCACTCACACCAGTTTCTTGTCTACTCCACCCTGTCTCTACCACCTGCCCCTGCTGTGACTCCCACATGCATGTGCTGCCCAGTGATCCACATGGCTCACTCCTCACACCATTAAGGTCCCTGCTTAAATGTCCCATGGTCAAGTGTTCAGAAATGTCTTGTCCAGTGACCTCTTCTGAAATCTATCCCCTGCCATTCCCACCACCGCCACCAATCTTCTAACCCAAGCATATTTTTCTTAATGGCAATTATCAGTGATACTATGACAGGTTTTATTTGTTTATTGTCTGTTGATTTATTAAGGTTACCAAGAAAGAAAGAACCAATAGCATAGGTACATAGATGATAGATAGATAATAGATAGATAGATGATAGATGATAGATAGATGTTAGATGATGATAGATAGATAGATAGATAGATAGATAGATAGATAGATAGATAGACAGACAGATAGATAGGTGATTTATTGGGCTAATTGGCTCACACAATTATGGAGGCTGAGAAGTCCCATGATAGACTGTCTGGAAGCTGGAGAACTAGAAAAGCCAGTAGCGTGGCTCAGTCCAAAGTCAAAGCCCTGAGGACCCAGAATACAGAACAGGAGGATAAAGGGGCTCACTGGTGCAAAAGTCAGAGTCCAAAGATCATCGAACCTGGAGTTTTGATGTCCAAGGCAGGAGAAGAAGGGTGTCCCAGCCCCAGTTCCAGAGAGAGAGACAGAGACAGAGAGAGACAGAGAGACAGAGACAGAGAGAAATTTTACTTCTATCTACCTTTCTGTTCTATCTGGGCCACTAGGTGATTGGACTGTGGCTGCCCACAGTGAGAGAGCATCTTCCCCACCAGTCCACCCACTCACATCCCTTCCAGAAAAACTCTCACAGACACTGGTTTAATACTTACAATTTGAGTAGTCTATAATTTATTTTTTTGAGATTGGGCTTGCTGGCTGGAGTGCAGTGTTGTTCATGGCTCACTGCAGCCTGAATCTTCCAGGCTTAAGCAACCCTCCCACCTCAGACACCCAAGTAGCTGGGACTACAGGCATGTGCCACCAAGCCCGGCTAATTCTTTTGAATTTTTTGTAGAGACAGGGTTTCTCTATGTTGCCTAGGCTGGTCACAAACTCAGGGGCTCAAGCAATCTGCCAGCCTGAGCCTCCCAAAGTGCTGGAAGTACAGGCATGAGCCACCATGTCCATCCTGAGTGTTCTATGAATTTTTAAAATCACAACCATAGAAGAATCTTCATGTACAAACATGCTTGTCAAAATATTCTTTACCAAAAGACAAGATGAAAGCACATGGATCTAAAAGAACCCTGGTGACTTCTCCTTGTTTGAGATGGGATGCAGCTTCTAGAAGTGTGTAAATTTTATGCAGACTTTATGACATGGAAAACTACTTTCATAATAATACATTCAAAAAGCAACTTCAAAATAACCCACAACCACTCTGGGAGGCCAAGGTGGGTGGATCACTTGAGGTCAGGTGTTCAAAACCAGCCTGGCCAACAAGTGTAACCCCATCTATATTAAAAACACAAAATTAGCCAGGCGTGGTAGTGCACATCTGTAATCCCAGCTACTCGAGGGGCTGAGGCAGAAGACTCACTTGCATCCGAGATGCAGAGGTTGCAGTGAGCCGAGATCATGCCACTGCACTCCAGCCCCTGGGGGACAGAGTGAGACTCCATCTTAAAAAAAACCCCAAAACTTATGAATGCAACTTTCTACAATGAAAGCATATATAAAAATATATACATAGAAAACAAAAGAATGGAAGTCAGCATCACTGCAGAAGATAGCTCCAGGGATGACCATTCACACTGCAGTCCAGGAAGTTTCAATAATATGATAGCAGTGGTTCTTTGGAGGGGAAGCCTGGGTGATATTTCTTTCTTCTCTGCATTTTTTTTTCTTTAAAATTCAACCAGGTGTTGATGTGTGCATTTTAAATTCTTCTGTAATCAAATACATTTTCATATTTCTAATGTAGAAACATGTATTTTTAACATTCAAAATAAAACATTTGAAGTAAAATAACAATGAAAAGTGGCTGAACACTGTGGTGGGCACCTGTAGTCCCAGCTACTCAGGAGGCTGAGATAGGAGAATGGCTCGAGCTCACGAATTTGAGGCTATGGTCACACCTGTGAATAGTCACTGCTCTCCAGCCTGGAGAACATAGTGAGACCTCATATTTAAAATAATAATAATAAAAAGAAGTTCAGATCTCCTTCCAATCTCAACCTAAAACAAATTTCTCATTTGAAGTCCATATGGCAGAAATGCCTACTGATGGCTCCTCCAGAGAGTAAAAAAAATATTGTTCCTCTACAATCCATGACTCATCCTTCTGTTACAGTGTTCACCTGGGCAATGAAGTCAACACTGAGAATATCATCAATTTATGGAATACTGATTATCTCTTTTATAGATATATAAATTATAATTATGTATATATATATTATATTATAATATATATAATTACCATCACACCTGAGAGAGTGAGATGGATTCTTTTCTTCCACAGATGAAAATCTGAGTCCCTGAGAACCTAGGGTTTTGGTATGGGTTCACTGAAAATGTTGGCCTTGAGAATTAGGAAACAGCTTCCTGCAGGCCTGCCTGGATGTGAGCCACACCAATGGAGTCTCCACAACAGCAGGAAGAGCAACTGAGAACCCTGGAAGCTTCACACTTGTAATGTTCCATGTCCAGCGGCATTCAGTTGATGGATGGGCCAAGATAAGAATACAGCTCCTTCCTTCAATTGGGGGTGGCAGAGGGGTGAATCAGTCAGCTACACATAATGTGTGTGGTGTTTCTACAGATATCTTTAATTACTCTGCTGAGAACTCCACCTCAAATGTACAAAAACTCTGTACTCACTGGTAAGCAGGATCCTTTTTAGGAAAGCAAAGGACTTTGCTGACTTAAGCAAAACATTTTCTCTCCAAATGAATTATCCTGATTGGATAATCTCTTACTCCCACTGAAATTAGCCCCAGAGTTGCATTTGAGCATTTGGGTCAAAGACAGAAAGTCATTTTGAGGGTTGGGCCTGGCTGATCTTGGACAATGTTCTGAAAGAGGGCTTTCTACTTGCAGAAGAACAAAGGTTTGCTCTGGGTAGGAGATGATGTCCTGAGAAGAAAAGACAGATAGGCAGATTCTCAAGCAAACTCAGGAGTTTACTATACAAAAGATTTTGGAATACCTTCCTCAGCCTCTTTTTCATTGTGGTAAAATACACATAAACACAAAGGATACCACCGTAACCATTTAAAGTGCACAATGCAGTGACAATTCGTATGTTCACAATGTTATGTAACCATCATCACTCTCTAGTTCCAGAGTGTTTTTATCACCTCAGGGGGAACTCTGCACCCATTAAGCAGTCACCCTCCATTTCCACCTGCCAGCAGACCCTGTCGCCACAAATCCACTTCTTTCTCTATCGACTTGCCTCTTATGAATATTTCACAAAAATGGGCTCATAAGTTACGTAGCCTCCTGTGACTGGCTTCCTTCACTTGTCTTGTTTTCAAGATTCAGCAATGTTTTAGCATATGCCAGTGCTTTATTCATTTTATGACCAAATAATATTCTATTGTAGGAAAAAACTATATGTTGTTTCTCCATTCATTGGTCGATGGACATTTTCTTTTAAATCAAATAGGAAAAACAAGAGAGGAATTACAAATATATATATGTGTGTGTGTGTATATATATATGTCTTGTAGGGTTGAGACAATCTCAGTCAGCTTTTTTTAACCTGTGAATGTCGTGATTTCTCCATCATTTCTGAAGGAGAGTTTTGCAGACATACAATTCTTGGTTGATAGTCCTTTTACTTTCTCAGCTTTAAATTTGTCATCCCAACGCCTCCTGAACCCCATGGTTTCTGATGAAAATTTGTATGTTAATCTTATTGAGGATCCATTGTACCTGAAAAGTTCCTTCTCTGTTATTGCTTTCAAGATGGTCTGTTTGTCATTGGTGTAGACTGGTTGATTATAACGTCTCTCAGTGTGGACTTCTAAAATTCTTGCTGCTTAAAATGTATCAAGTTTGTTGGATGAGTAAAATTATATTTTTCATCAAATTTAGGAGATTTGAAGTTATTATTCCTCCAAATAGCCATTCTTCTTTTTCTCTCTCCTTTCTTTGAGGATTCCCAAAATGCATATGCTTGGTGTTGTCTCACAGTTTTCTTAAGTTCTGTTCATTTTTCTTCATAATTTTTTTTTATTTCTGCACCTCAAACTGGATAATTTCAATTGTCTTACCTTTAAGCTTGCCGATTCTTCATTCTGCATAGTGAAAGTTGCTTTTGTAAAAAAGTAAATAGTAAATTTACTCTAGTAAAATATAGTAAAAAATAGTAAAATTACTCTAGTAAATTTTTCATTTCAGTTATTGCACTTTTCAGCTCCAAAATTTCTATTTGGTTTCTTTTTAAACTTTCTATCTTTTTATTGATGTTCTCTATTTGAGTTAAGATAGTTCTTCTGATTTCCTTTAGTTTTTTGCCCATAGTTTCCTTTAGCTCTGTGAACATATTTAAGCAGTCAATTCAAAGTTGTTTGTCCAGTAAGTATGTTCAATGGCCTTTCTCAGGAACAGTTTCTGTCAATTCCTCTTTTTTCTTGAGAATGGGTCTTACTGTCTAGTTTAATTGCATACCTCATTTTTATTTTGAATACTAACATGTGGTGACTTTGAAAATCATGTTTTCTAAACTATTTTTGTATAGACTGTATTCTTTATTGTGTGTCATCACTGAAGTCTCTATTCTGTAAGCTTAGTGGTCAACTCATGATTTGATAGATATTTCCTGAAACATCTTCAGCCAAAAAGAAATAAGAAAAGAAAATTCAATCTTTTTATCTGGGCTCTCTGTGTGTTTTGGGGCATGCCCTCAACACTCTGCTGGGCAGTTTACAATACTGCTTTGGCCTTCATTTCCTACTTGTGCAGATATTGAAAGTTAGCAAGAGGTGTGAACACAGGGCATTCTCAGGTGCTTTGTGAGTCTGTGCGACATACTGGTCATGGAGGAGGCTATACAGATTCCCAGGGATATGGAAGCTTTTCAAAACCCATATTCCCATCTCACTCACCCAGTTTCTCCTCCAGGCTTTTCTGTATGTCTATTACCTTTCTCATGTAATATATTTTTGCCCCAAGGGGGCAGCTGCTGGTTCAGTGGCACTTAAATGGTTTTAGCAGATGCCCTCTGCCTCTGTGACCTAAGAGAGTTCTGAGTAGGGAAAATAAATGCAAACCATTTATTTTCTTTTTCTTTCTTTTTTTTCTTTTTTTAGACAAGGTCTTGCTCTGAAGCCCAAGCTGGAGTGCAGTTGCACGATCCTGGCTCACTGTAGCCTCAACCTCCTGGGCTTAAGCAATCCTCCCACCTCAGCCTCTTGAGTAGCTGAGACTACAGGCACATGCCATAATGCCCAGTTAATTTTTGTATTTTTTGTAGAAATGGAGTTTCACCATGTTGTCTAGGCTGGTCTCAAACTCCTGAACTCAAGAAATGCACCCAGCTGAGCTTCCCAAAGTGCTGTGATTACAGGCATGAGTCACCATGCCCAGCCCAATGTAAGCCATTTCTTATCATCCTTCACGGAGTCACCCAACAGGAAAAGGTAGACAACCACAACACTTTGAGAACATGGTCCACTCGGCTCCCACTGGCATTGGAGCCCACACTAAGGAACCAGGCTGCTGTCTTCAAGATCACTACTGACTTGAACAGGGAGGAATGGGCCAAGGGTAAGATATGGTGCCACAAAGCTCTGCTCCTGAGTTCCAGTTGATTTTTCTGGACTTGCTAGGTTGCAATAAACCTTTGATGATTTTTCAGGGTTCCAATGCAGTTGATTCTTTATCAACCCAATCAGAATATCTGGTGGTAGGTCCAGGAATTCTTGCTTTAACAGCTCTCCGAGGGAATTTTTTTTTTTTTTTTTTGATGGAGTTTTGCTCTTGTTGCCCAGGGTGGAGTGCAATGGCATGATCCCGGCTAACTGCAACCTCTGCCTCCCGGGTTCAAGCGATTCTCCTTCCTCACCTCCCGAGTAGCTGGGACTACAGGCGCGAGCCACCACACCCAGCTAATTTTGTATATTTAGTAGAGACTGGGATTCTCCATGTTGATCAGTCTGGTCTCGAACTCCTGACCTCAGGTGATCCCCCCACCTCGGCCTCCCAAAGTGCTGGGATTACAGGCATGAGCCACCATGCCCAGCCAAGGGATTTTTTTTTATAGTGATGTTTTACAAGCACATTGTCTCTGTGCAGAGGTGGCCCTTGGAGTTCCTATGCCACTATGTTCTCTGATGTCACTCCTCAGCCACCTTTGAATTGTGCTTATGCATCAGAATTCCTGATCTGCTAAGTACTTCCAGGAAACTCATTCAAATGGTAAACATCATTAAGCACCTACCTTATTCTGGGTACTGTGCTCTATGGAGTTGAGCCTCAGATAAAAGACTCAAACTTCCTTGGACTTCATAGAAGTCAAAGGTGGGGGTGGGAAGATAAATAAAGAAATTATAGCACAGCATGTTATGTATTTTACATGACTTTTTTCTTTGAAAGCTACATTATTAATATTTTATGACAGTACTGAGTTACATATACCAAAGATTACAAATTAAAATTTATGCTTTCTTTCTCTCTTTTGTTCTTACATATTTCTCTGTTCTTGTAGATATTTTGAAATTGGGTATTATGGAGACAGTGCAACAGTTTCATTTATATGATAATGTTTTGTTTTACCTTTATTCATCAAAGAGAGATTTGTCAGCTGCAAATTTCTAGTTTGACATTGGTTTTCTCTCAGATCTTTGATGATTATGTTGCTTCTGGCTGCTGTGGCTGACAGGGGATAGTCAGTTACATTTTAACCAGTTGCTTCTTAGAGGATCTGTGTTTCTCCTGTGGCAAATTTTAAGATATCTGTTTCTCTTTAACATCTTCTGTTCCAGTGCAGTATGAGTAAATGTGGATCTCTTTTTATTCACAGTGCTATGATACTGTTAGGTATGAGTTCTAAATTTCTCTTAAAATAATTAACATGTCAGTATGTTCAATTCTTTGCCCTCTACTTTTAAACTTAACTTCCTCATAAAGCAACCTTTTTTGATCACCTGTTCCACCCTGACTCATCCTGATTACTTGCTCCAGCCTGACTCATTCTGGTTACCTGCTCCACCCTGACTCATTCCAGTCACCTGCTCCACCCTGACTCATTCTGATTACCTGCTCCACCCTGATTCATCCTGATTACTTGCCCCAGCCTGACTCATTCCAGTTACCTGCACCACCCTGACTCATTCTGATCACCTGTTTCACTCTCTTTAAATTAGCCAATCTGAATTAGTTTAGCCTGTGCGGTCTAACCCTAGCCAATAGGGGAATAACACAGCAGCAGGGGCCACGTGCATCAGGGATAAGAACCCCTTCCCCTTCCTTGTCCAGGGGTGTGCTCACCATTGCTCCATCTGTGAGGGCACACCCTTGTATAGAAGTAATTGCCTTGCTGAGAAGAAAAAAAGAAAATTTTATATTTGAGTGCTATTTCTTTGTGGCATCAAGACTTTATTTACAATAATACATTTCCTTAATATTTTAAGATAACCTCTTTCTGGAATGCCTCTTTCCATTTACTCACTTCTCTTCTTCTAGGAATTTAATTAGAGAAGAATTAAATTAAACCTCATTCAACCACCATATACACTGTGGAATCCAAAATAATGGCCTCACACATATGTCCAAGCCCTAAGACGCAGACCATTTAGATATGTTACTTTACACAGCAAAAGGGACTTTGCTGATATGATTAAGAGCATGGACCTTTAGATGTGGAGATTATTTTGTATTATTTGAGTGGCCCCAATCTGATTGCATGATTTCTTTAACCTGGAGATGACTGGAGAAATATGGGTCAGATGGAGTGCTGAATTTCATCTAGAATAATTTCTTAATCTAGTAAAATAACATCATCTCTGTTTTTTATTCTTTAATTAAGTGGCAAAATGCATTAAAAGGTTTAAAGTTTAAATATCCTTGCATTCTTGGGCTATATACCTTGGTCAAGACAGTCTGTTTATAACACATTGGTTAATACAGTCTACTAATATTTTTCTTAGAATTTTCACATCTAATTAATTAAAAGTGATTTTCCTATAATAGGTAAATAGTAGAAGGGGGTAAGTCTCTTATTTTACAAATTATTCAAATAATACATGAAAAGAAATGGAAGACTGAGACTACAACTCTTTGCCATCCGTAATGAATGAACAGATCTAGCCACTGAACAGCAATGACAATTTTCATCACCAAAGGGAAATAACCAGTATTAAACTCTTCCCCTTGTTGAAAAACATGATATAGTACCACCAAAACTCACGGGGAAAAAAATCTGAATAGATGCAAACCTCTATACCAAACTACAAATTTCTAGAAAATGCAGGTAATAGAGATGCATATTAAACCATAGTTTGGGGTGCAATCCACAAAATACAAACAACAGGAAACTCTACCAGACAATATTAATTTCAAAGGGATAACCTATAGAACAAATAAGAACAAAAAACTTATTTTTAAAGGTAAAACTAAACTATCATTTGGGATGATGAAAATATAAAATAGAACAAAGAAGTGAGGACCACAAAAGTCAGGATGTGATTGATTTTTATTTGAAAAAATAAAAATTTACTATTGAACTGGGTCAATTGATGGGGCTTCTAGGTCAGCTGACAAACTTCTCTCTCTTTCTGATGGTTAAAGAGTGTTTACTGTTGATTAAAGGTCACCATTTTAAGATTTTTTTTCTTTTATGTCACCTGTGTTTTATGACAAAAAGGCGAACGCAGAATAAAATGAGTTATGGGGCACGGTTCCTGTTCTGCACAAAGCCTCCTCCCCATCCTCCTCTCTGGACACTGAGCACCCAGAACAACCGGCAGCCCCAGGACCCCTGGCAGGGCTGTCTCATTACTGAGTGTGCATCCAGCTCCACGGTTCCTGTTCTGCACAAAGCCTCCTCCCCATCCTCCTCTCTGGACACTGAGCACCCAGAACAACCGGCAGCCCCAGGACCCCTGGCAGGGCTGTCTCATTACTGAGTGTGCATCCAGCTCCACGGTTCCTGTTCTGCACAAAGCCTCCTCCCCATCCTCCTCTCTGGACACTGAGCACCCAGAACAACCGGCAGCCCCAGGACCCCTGGCAGGGCTGTCTCATTACTGAGTGTGCATCCAGCTCCACGGTTCCTGTTCTGCACAAAGCCTCCTCCCCATCCTCCTCTCTGGACACTGAGCACCCAGAACAACCGGCAGCCCCAGGACCCCTGGCAGGGCTGTCTCATTACTGAGTGTGCATCCAGCTCCACGGTTCCTGTTCTGCACAAAGCCTCCTCCCCATCCTCCTCTCTGGACACTGAGCACCCAGAACAACCGGCAGCCCCAGGACCCCTGGCAAGGCTGTCTCATTACTGAGTGTGCATTCAGCTCCACGTCGCTGGAGACAATGTCCACAGTTTATTTTTTGAGTCCTGGATGAACCTGACAGGACATAGCTGAGGGGAAGCCTGGCCCAGTCTGCAGGCTTTGGCCATCAGTGCAGAGGGAGGAGGTCCTCATCTCTCCACTGGAGCAGTTACAACCAGAGCCTCCTCTCTGCGTGGGAGTGAGGCTCGGTCCTTCCCCTGAACACGGTGACAGGGATCTCTCCACAGGTAGAGATGACACCATTCCTCCTGTAACATGGTCCAATCTCACGCTTGTTCTGCTTTACAAGAAAGTTGACCCACGCTGGTGTCCCCTGAAGAAATCACAGGCACAGAGGAGGGACAGGTGGATTTCAGGGCTGTGCTTGATCTGGGAAAGGAAGAGTGCAGACCGCCAGGTGGCGCCGCTGCACTGCTTCTGCGCCCAGGAGGTGCCTGCTGGGGCTGAGATTGAAGGTGGGGAGAAGGATGTCACAGCTCATCGCACAGGTTCCCGGTAAAAATCCTCCTGCCCAGCCTAGCGGGCTCTCCCTTAATCAACTGTAGCGAAAACTGTCTCCTTCTCACGTTCCTGGAAGGTGCTTTTTGACACAAGAAAGAGGATGTGATTGCTAGGGTCATCATGTCATTGTTTATTGTGTTGCCAGTAAAGTGAAATCAAAATACACAATAAATAATAAAATAACCCATGATAAGCCAATGTTTATAATGTACTAACACCACTGAGCCAGTGTTTATAATGTACTGACACACTCCAAGTGTGGGCACAGCTGCAGACATGCCTTGTCTCTTGGGTCAGGACACAGGGTAGAGTGAAATGGAAAGAAATCCCAGTCACTGCAGAAAAGGGCCCCCATGGAAGAGGCCTGGCAGGGAGGCCAGCTGTCCCAGGGCCGCCATATTTAGGGATGACTCCCCCTTTCTGGGCAGCACTGGTTTTTTTAATTATTTTTGCATTCACAGTAGTTCTGAAATTGCAGGATGCTGAGACCCAGCACTGGTCAGTTACACCGTCTCTTCTTCACCATTAAATACTGTGCCAAACAGCACCTTCATACATTTCCATCCTCTTCCAGGAGAGAATCAAAACAACAATGGACACATTGATGCATGCAAAAATACTTTAAATATGTGCTATCAGAAGTAGCTACTAAAACATTAATTCCACTGAAATGAGGGAGGCTGTAAAAAAGAAAAACATTGCATACCCGTATTCACAGCAACATTACTCACCATAGCCAAGACAAGGAAGCAAACAAAGCACCCATCAACACATGAATAGATGAAGAACATGTGGTCTATGTAGGCAATGGAATATGATTCAACCTTAAAAAGAAGGAAATTCTGTTACATGCTGCAACATGGATGAACCTGGAGAACAATGCTAAGTGTAATAAGCCAATCACAAGGAAATTCCAATACTGCGCAATTCGTTATATGCGGCGTCTAAACTCTTAGAACCTGAAAGTAGAATGGCGGCTGCCAGTGGTTAGGCTGGGGGGATTCTTGAGGAGATTTTCAGCGTAGAGTTTCAGTTTTGCAAGATGAAAAGTTCTAGAGATCTGTTGCATAACAATGTGCTACAGTTCATATTATAGTACTCTATACTTAAAAATTGTTACGATACCAAATTTTATATAATATGGATTTTGGCGCAATGAAAAAAATAATTAGCTCTGATACCAACTTAGGAAAAGAGCACATGAATTTATTGAAAATATATTAGCATGTGCTTACTATGAAAAAGAGATGCAGAAAACTGTGAGACAAAAAGAGAGATCCTTGCTACCCCAGCTATTATCCATGAACCAGCAGAACCAGCATCTCATGAAACTGGACAGAAAGGCTCACAGGCCCAGCCTTGACAGGTTGATCAGTCTGCATTTGTCAGGACCCCAGGTGGCTCCACTGCATGTAAAGCACCGCCCCAGATGGTGGTGGAGGGAGATCCTAGGAAGGTGACTCTGTCCCACAGGTAGAAGCCTCCAGTCCAGATGGGAGCAGCCAGAAGGGCCCAAGAGGGACATTTCCAAGAAAGTAAAATTAATAGAAAGTTCAAAGTCTCTAATTTCTTAACAGAGTCACAGAAATGGAACAGATATCAAAGTTAAATTAATGAGAGTTATCTAGAACATAAACAAAAACAAAGGCAAGTATTAACTTGAGGAAGAACAAATACTACGAAGCAAGTGAAAAGTAGTCAAGTTGACATATGAGAAGATGAGTCACGGAAAAAAACAAGGAGTGGCTGAATTAAACATAATTACTATATAAATATACTGGGAAAAGGAAAGAACGGGAAGAGTGAAAGAGAACAAGTGATGGATGTGGTGACGTCGCGTTCTCCCGGGCGGGGCCGGAGGCGGTACAGATGAGGGACACATTCATGGCTAACGGGACGGCTCTTCTCGTTCTGCGTTCCGCTTGCGGTCGGTAGTCTCTCCTCCCCGCCCATGGGCGGTGGTTGGAGGCAGGGGTGCGGAATCCGGCCGACCTCGCTGTCCTCGCCCTCTACCTTGTGGCGTCGGTGGGGTTGGGGAGATGAGTTCTCCGACGCAGCAGGCACCCCTGCTCATCTCCTATGGCTGTTGCCTTTTGGGCAGCCCCTCTTCGCGGCGGTGGGGCTGTCCCGCCGGCCTGTCACGTTGCCCTTCCCTGGGCTTGTGAGGATTGGCTCCGCTTGGACCTTTGCGGTGCTCCCGGAGCCCTCCAGGTTGTCCCTCCGGTGCCGGAGGCCAAGCGGTGGTGTCCTTCCTGTTCCCAGCGCCCCCTCCTCCTGTCGCTGCTGCAGTGCCTGTGTGTGGGTCCTGAGGGGTTTTGGGGAGGTAGAATATTTTTATTTATTTAAATAAATTAAAAAATAAGAAAAAAATACAAAAAGAAAGAGAACAAGTAATCTTAACTATTGATTCCACCATCGTGCAGTGCAATAGTCAATGGCTGCAACTGAAAAATCAAGCAATGTTAATAAAGAAATGGTGCTTTGGTGCTTAGATATGTGAAAGTAAAGTCAAAAGAATCAGCTGAAACTTGAAAGTGGTTGCTCCCTAGAAAGGCAGAAATAGAGAAGAGAGGACTCTCCCTAGAAAGGCAGAGAAGACTCTCATTTTTCTCAGAAAGTCCTGCACAAATATTTACTCTTTCCATTATGTGCAATTGTAACTTCGAATAAAATAAAAACAAAAGCTTCAGTTAACATGCAAGTTTATGCCTAATGACAACTTTGTTTAACAATGATAAAGGGCTAACCAAAATATAAAAACACTTAAACATAAAACAGCATGTATAAATGTGTATGTGACATCAACCCTGAATACAAACTTGAAAGAATATGTCTATAAACAACTCTGGATAGATAGCCCATGAATGAATTCCCCACTCCAGCATCTTTACTGGTTGTCCTGTGAGCCTAGGCAGGGAGGGGACCAGGACCTGACTAGGGTCCCTAATACTCTTGCTTCCAGGCAAGTCCTGCATGCACTCCTGCTGCACCAAGGGCTCCCATCCCTGCCTTGGTCTGTTTCATAGGTGCTCCCCTAACTCTCTGCCACCACTGCCTTACCTGGGTGGAGCTGAGGCCGCCCTGACCAAGAAGAGCACCACCCATCTATGTGCCCCAAAACCAGAAAGTCAAAAGAAACCTTGCAACAGGGTCAGGAACTATCCCACCTCCCCACCTCCGAATCAGTCTGAACTGATGGCGGGAGATGCTGATGCTTGCTTTACTCATCCTCATTCCCTGTGCATTTATTTTTCACTAATTCAGTCCACATCTCCTAGAAGCAGACTGACCCCTACCCTTCATAATCAGGAAACCCCAGAGCACTTTTTATCCCCTCCAGAATATAACACTTCAGCTCTGCATCATCACATGAGGGCTCCAACTCTGTAGGGCAGGTGTACTCTCACAGCTTCAGGCCCTGAACATTTGCTTCAGATGTCCCCCCATCCCTTTCCAGACCTGTCTGTGTTGCTCTGAATCTGTCCTTCCCTGAGAACTGGCGGGGAGATATCAGGGAGGAGGGGAGATTTCTTTGTGCTATGTCAACGCATCTAGACAGAGCTCTCATTCTCCCTTGAACCTCAACTCTATCCGTTCCCAGACACTTGAAATAAAACACAGACCAGAAATGTCTATTTAAAAGCTAAATATCTATAGTATAAAATATGAAGACAGAGTAGAATGGGGTAATGCAGGAGAGTGTGACAGGGCGAGGGGACCTCAACGTGCCAGGAAAGTTGGTCCTTGGCTCCCCGGAGGAGCCGTCACCAGGACACTCACTCATAAAGCTCACCTGTGATAATACAACTACATGACATTAATGTATTAAAATATAATAAAATCATAACAAAATAACAAAAATAATATGGCACAGCTGCAAACACCTCATATATACTAACACTTTTCATCCACCCAACCACAAGAAATAAATGTTGTTACATTCCCTATTTCATAGATGAGAAAGCTGAGCCAGCAAGAGAAAAAGTGCTGGTGAGACCTGGGCAGGGCGTTCAATCCAGGCCGCCTGGCTGCAGAGTGTAGGTGCCCTCAGTAGAGCCAGTGGACCTGGGAGCTGAGAGCAGAGACTGAAATCCCAGCTGTGCACTGCCCTGGTGTTCTGTCTGAGTCAGGTGTTGATCTGGGCCTTGCAGGCTCATGTGCTCTGGAGAAAAGAGAAAAAATAGTAAGTGCTCCCCTGGGTGCACAGTGCTGCTTTTTACTCCCTGACGACTTCTCCCTCCTCAGTCAGTCCCAAATCAGATTCACCCTTTCTCCGAGGGAAGATGATGTCTGCACTTTTTTCTCCCTCCCATGGCACTTTTCCCAGCCCCTGCCAGTCCCCTCCCGTGACTCCATCAACATCAGCCCCTGCCCTGTGCCCACCAGCCACCATGCAAGGAGGAAAAGAGCCCCAGGACCAAAGGACAAGACCTGGGAAAAACCCAGTGCCCTCCCCTCCTCTCAAGCCTGGCCAGCTCTGACAGCAGGAGGACTCCCCAAAGAGAGGCTCTGGCCCTGGCTCCATGTCCTTCCAGGACTGGGCTGGGTCACACGCACAGTCCTTCTCTTCCTCAGTCCCCAGTCCCACCTCACCTGTAGAGACACCTGCACACAAAGGCAGGCCCTAAACACTGTGGTTCTGCCCTCCACCTGCAGCTCAGTGCTCCTCCACTTCCAGCCCTGAGCAGGCAGCTCCTAACTGGGAAGCCCATTAAGAATCCCATCAGCATGGCAGGCCCAGCATGGAAACATGTAGCTGCTATGGGGTCTGCAGCTGACCTGACCCTGGGAACCCCCTTGCTCAAGGAGCCTACCCTGACCCCCAGGCCCATGACCTGCACTTGGGCCATGCTTGCTCCAGCCTGGTCCACTCATCCCTGGAAGCACAGCTTCTCCCCAGGGCTGCTGCTTGGGGAGGCTGAAAGGCCTTCCTCTCCTGTTCCTAGCAGGGATTCCTAGCAGGGATTCCACCCAAGCCACTGCCCTCACAGCCCATAGGGGATCTTCTTCTCCCTGTGGAGTAGAAAGTTTCTTGAGACCCCTCAGCCTGAGGCTGCCTCTGCCCACCCTTTGCACTTGGGGATTGCCACTGCCACAGCCACTGTCTCCCACATGGACCGTCCTGGAGAGGGAGCTCCACATTTGAGTTCCTGTTTCATTTGATATGGGTTACAACATTAGTATTGGTGGAAATCCTTTTAAGACCCAGCTGAAACTACGAACATCTTTATTGGACATCAGCATTTAAAGCAGGAATTTTGAGAAATTAGCACATAACTTTCACACCCCTTTCCTGGCCAGTGCCCCAGTAACCTACAAGGCAACCGTTCCCGCCCACGGGGAACCAGAACTGACAATCCCTCTTCAGGAGACACCACAGGTGAGAGCAGGAGCGACCACAGACCTGCACTGCCCCTGCTGTGGGTGCCTCCTGGACAGGGCCCTCTTGCTGCAGGGCAGGGGATGAACCATCCCATCTGCCCAGGCCTGAGGGGCCAACTGACAGTGCAATTAGGTTCAAGGATGAGAAATCACCACCCCCTGCCAGATACACAGAAGTGGGGAAATGGCAGAAAGACTCGGGTTTCCCGGACACTCCAGGCTCTCAGTGTCTCCTGCACTGTCTCTGTCTTTGCAGAAACACAAAACTTGCTGCTTGCTCTTTTCCCCTCCCTTCAAACAACCTGACTGTGCGGGAAATCATCCTGACCATCTCTCACTCCAAACTCATCAGGCAGTGCTTATTCTTTCAAAGGTATTTTGTGACTGTGCAAGCAAATATAAATGTATATGTGTATGTTCTTTCTCCCTTTGCACACAAATTTTAGCAAACTACATATGCTTTTCTGTACCTTGCTGTTTTCCCTTACCATTGTATCACGGAGACCATCCCATGAAGAAATATCAAGAACTACACTATGTCTTTCTTTTTTTTGTTCAAAAATTTCTTGGCAATCCACTGTATAGGCATGCATTTTTTAAAATAGAGATTACCCTTTTTGAATGCAATGCTTTTTAACCAGCTCCCTACTGATAGGCATTTGGATTATTTCTTTCAGAGAACAATTTGACATCATGTAGCATCATATGGGAAGGGTGCAGTGACCCCACTCTTACATGCATATCCTAGGGGAGCTCACATATTCTTGGAACCAGAAAGCAATGTCCCAGCATGTTCATTG
The DNA here is from genome assembly GCF_000001405.40 of Homo sapiens. Classification (NCBI taxonomy): domain Eukaryota; kingdom Metazoa; phylum Chordata; class Mammalia; order Primates; family Hominidae; genus Homo; species Homo sapiens. Next base: position 29,854,507 of record NC_000006.12, read on the forward strand.
CAGCAGTGTCTTTAATAAAGACTATGTAGAGGTCAATGAAGTGGGGAAGAGATAAATTGTAGCATATTCCTCCCATGGAATACTATCTAGCAATGAAAACAAATGAACTATTTGTGTGAACATTGATCCATCTCATAGACCATGTTAACGGAAAAAGCAAGCAAATGCATAACAAAATCAGCAAGAAACAATTTATAAAAAGTCTAAAAGTAAAGCCAGGCAAGGGGGCCTATACCCATAATCCTAGCATCTTGGGAGGCCAAGGTGGGCAGATTGCTTGACCCCAGGCGTTCCAGACAAGTCTGGGAAACATGATAAATCCCTTTCTCTACAAAAAATACAGAAATTAGCCAGGCATGGTGGCGCAAACCTCTAGTCCCAGCTACTCAAGAGGCCTAGAAGGGAGGAATTGCTTAAGCCTGGCAGGTAGAGGCTGAAGTGAGTTGTGTTTGTGCCACTGCATTTCAGTCCAGGTGACAAAGTGAAACCATGTTAAAAACAAACAAACAAACAAACAAACAAAAACAAGAGACTTTTTAAAACTTAGTAAGAATATAGGGGCATACAGCAAATTCAAGACACACATTCACCAACAGTTCTTGCTTTGCTCAGTACAGTATTGACTGAAACACATGCATAACAGAACTGTGGAAAATCAGGGCTATCTACACGTGTTTCTGTTATTTTCTATGTATACTACATACAGCCAATAATATTAAAATGTCACAAATTGACAAACCTGGGTGGCAGCTTCACAAAGATTTCTTATAATTCTCTATTTTTTCTTCTAGCTAGAACTACCTTATAATAAAATTTGTGAAGTGAATCCACAGAAATTGAGCAAAATAAAAAGGAGTCGTTGAGTGTGAGGAAAGCTACAGAGAAGTAAAGACAGGTGGAGACATGACAATACTGAGCATGTTAGTGACCTTCACAGTAACTGACTTCCTGGAGGAGTGTGAGCTTAAGCCAGAATGAAGTGATAGACCGTGAAAGACGGATGAAGGAGTAGGAGCTTCTGGAGGCAAACATGGTATGTGGTTGGCTGGATTGGGATATGTGGAGGGACTCTGAACATTCTGCTTTAGGTCCAGCACTAGAGAAAGAGGACTCATCTTTATTTAGCACCTTCCACAATCTGTAGAGAAATCTGAAACATTGCAAAAGAAGATATATGAATGGCCAGTTCAGGGAAAAATGCAAAGTAAAACCACAGTGAGAAACCACTAAGCAACCATTAGAATGGCTAAAATTAAAATGATTAATAACTATAAATGCTAGCAAGGAAGTGGAACAATCTGTACTCTCCTCCATTGCCTATAAGAATATAAAACATCCATTTTGAAAATCAATTTCATATCATCTAATAAAGTTAAACAAGCTAGTCCTCTACAGCTACCATTTCCACTCCTAGGTATATACTCAAGAGAAATGAAGATTTTGTCGATAATCCCTGCATAAAAATGTTCATAGTTTCTTTATTTATAATAGTAAAAAACAAGAAATAACTGCCAATGTACAAAAATCATGATTCAGTCATACAATGGAATATTATCAGCAATGAAAATGAAAGAACTACTGATACGTGCACCAACATGGATTGATCACATAGGTATTACAACAAGCGCAAAAAGCCAGATACAAGGGAGGCCATATGGGATGAGTAGATTTGTATGAAGTTTTAAAACAGGAAGAACTGTGCTATCCTGACAGCCGTCAGATCAATGGCTGCTGGAGGCATGGAAGCTGAGTTGAAGGGAGAAAAAGGGATCTTTATGTACATTGATAGTGGCAAGAGTAATATGCTGTATTGGTCAAAATTCATTGATAAATTTGATGAAGATCTGATTATTTTGGTATATGTACATTTTATAAGCTTAAAAAGCTTATAATAAAAATTATAAAGTTGCTGATAAAAATAATAATTAAAAATATTAGCAACAAAATCCAACAGTATACCAAAAGAATAATACACCATGATATATCCATATATGGCAAACACACAGCTAACATTATACTGAATAGGGACAAGCTTATAGCCTCTCCTCCAAGATCTGGAAGAAGGCTAAGACTCCCACTTTCATCACTTTTATTCTACACAGCACTAGAAGTCCTAGCAAGAGCAATCAGCCAAGAGGAGGAAATAAAGGGCATCCAAATTGGAAAGGAGAAAGCCAACTTAGCCTTATTCGCAAATGGCATAATCTTTTACTCAGAAAAAACTAAATATTGGCCGGGTGCGGTGGCTCATGCTTGTAATCCCAGCACTTTGGGAGGCCAAGGCAGGCGGATCACGAGGTCAGGAGATCGAGACCATCCTGGCTAACATTGTGAAACCCCGTCTCTACTAAAAATACAAAAAAAAAAAAAAAAAAAAAAAATTAGCTGGTCGTGGTGGCGGGCGCCTGTAGTCCCAGCTACTCAGGAGGCTGAGACAGGAGAATGGCGTGAACCCAGGAGGTGGAGCTTGCAGTGAGCCGAGATCGCGCCACTGCACTCCAGCCTGGATGACAGAGCGAGACTCCATCTCAAAAAAAGAAAAAAAAAGAAAGAAAGAAAAATCTAAATATTCCACCAAATAAATGGTGAGAACTAATAAGCAAATTCAGTAAAATTACAGGATACAAAATCAATGTGCAAACTTTCAGAGCATTTATATATACAAGCACCATATAATCTGAAGAAGAAATCAAGAAAGCAAAACTATTTATAAATCATAAAGAGGATAAAATAACTAAGAATCAATTTACCCCAGGAAGTAAAACAAAAACTATAAGGCACTGATGAAGGAAATTGAAGAGTACACAAAACTGGAAGAGCCAGGCGCAGTGGCACATACCTGTAATCCTGGCACTTTGGGATGATGAGACAGGAGAATTGTTTGAGCCTGGGAGTTCAAGACTAGCCTGGGAAACATAGTGAGACCTTGTCTCTAAGGAAAAAAAATAAAACACACAAATTGGGAGAATTAATATTGTTAAATATTAATTTAAAAAATGAAACACATAAATTTCATGCACATAAATTGGGAGAATATTGTTAAAATGTTCATACTACCCAAAGCAATTTACAGATTCAATTCAATCCCTATCAAAATACCAATATCATTATTCACAGAAATAGAAAAAATTATGAAATTCATATGGAATCATAAAATATCCCAAATAGCCAAAGCAATCGTGAGCAAGAAGAACAAAGCTAGAGGTATCACACTTCCTGAATTCAGAATACAATATAAAGTTATAGTAACCAAATCAGCATGGTGCTGGCATAAAAACAGACACATAGACTAATGGAATACAAAAGAGAACTCACAATAAATCCATGCATTGATAGCCAACTCATTTTTGGTAAAGAATATACAATGGAGAAAGAACAAAAGCAACAATGGAGAATAAATGGAGCTGGGAAAATGCTACCAGATGCAGAAGAATACCACTAGAACCCTGTCTCCCACCATATACAGAAATCAACTCAAAATGGATTAAAGATTTAAATGTAAGTCCCAAAACTATAAAACTACTAGAAGAATGCTTACAGGAAACACTCCAGACATGGGTCTGGGCAAAGACTTTATGGCTAAGACCTCAAAAGCACAGGCAACAAAAATAAAATAGACAAGTGGGACTATATTAAACTAAATAGCTTCAGCACAGCAAATGAAACAATCAACAGAATGAAGAGGCAACCTGTTGAATAGAGAAAATATTTGCTATGTATTCATCCAGCAAGGAACTAACATCTAGAATATACAAGGAACTTAAAAAACTCAGCAGTAAAAACACAAATAATCCAATTAAAAAATGGACAAAGTGTCTGAATAGATGTTTCTCAAAAGGAGACATACAAATGGTCAACAGGTATACGAAAAACACTCAACCTTATTAAATATCAGGAAAATGCAAATCAAAACTATAATGAAATATCATCTTATCCTATTTAGAATGGCTACTAATAGGAAATAAAAAATAATGGATAGTGGTGAGCATGTGGAGAAATGGGAACTGTTGTACACTCTTGGGAAAGTAAGTACAGCAATTATGGAAATCAGTATAATGATTTCTCAAAAAACAAAAAATAGAACTACTATTGGATCCAACAACTCCACTCATGGGTATTTATATAAAGGAAAAGAAATCAATATATCAAAAGACTACCTGCACCCCCAGGTTTATTGAAGCACTATTCACAGTAGCGAAGTTATGAAATCAATGGGTGAATTCATCAATGGGTGAATGAATAAATGGTGGTATATATATACACAATGGAATGCAATTCAGCCATAAAAAAGAATGAAATCCTGTCAGTTGCAGAAACATGGATGTAACCAAAGGTCATTACGTTAGGTGAAATAAGCCAAGCAAGGAAAGACAAATACCACATGTTGTCACTAATATGTGCGAGCCAAAAAGGTTAATCTTAGGGAGGTAGAGAGAGTAGAATGACAGTTCCCAGAAACTGGGAAGAATGTAGGGGTGGGAAAATATAGAGATGCAGGTTAATGGATGCAAATGTCCAATTATATAGAGAAAATAAGTTCTAATGTTTGATAGCACAGCAGACTGACTAAAGTTAACAAAAATGTATATTTCAAAATAGCTATAAGAGTGGATTTGGCTGGGCGTGGTGGCTCATGCCTGTGATCCCAGCACTTTGGGAGGCCGAGGAGGGTGGATCATGAGGTCAGGAGATCGAGACCATCCTGGCTAACATGGTGAAACCCCGTCTCTACTAAAAATACAAAAAAAAAAAAAAAAATTAGCCGGGCGTGGTGGTGGGTGCCTGTAGTCCCAGCTACTCGGGAGGCTGAGGCAGGAGAATGGTGTGAACCCGGGAGGCGAAGCTTGCAGTGAGCCGAGATCGTGCCACTGCACTCCAGTCTGGGTGATGGTGTGAGACTCCATCTCAAAAAACAAAACAAAACAAAAAAGAGTGAATTTAAAATGTTCTCAACAGAAAGAAATGATAAATGCTTGAGGTCATGGATACCCTAAATATCTTGACTGATACACACATTCTATGCATGTATCAAAATGTCACATGTATCCCATAAATATGTACAAATATTATGTACCAATTTTAAAAAATTTAAAAAATAAACAACACAATATGGGGCATTTAAAAAGGTACAAAAATTATGAGCATGATAAAAATTTGGCAAATATTTTCCTTTTTATTAAGATCTTTTTCATTCCATAAGTTTAAGGAGAATAAAGCCCATAAAGCATCAGAAGAAGTTGCTCTCCTGAAAGAGACTCTTCTGCTCAGTTAAAAAGACAGAAACAGAATCACTGGAGTGAGTAGGACTTTGGAGAACTGCACAGCACCATGTCTTAGTGTCTGGGATTACACAGACTTAGGGAGGAGGCCTCACCTTCCGGGAAGAACTAAACTTTGGTTCTCTTTCTTGTTTTTTCTATTGCAAGACCAAAATTTTAGAAAACCAAGAGAAAGATTTCAGCCAAAGGGTTGTACTGTCTATTACTCTCTTTTATTTTTTAGAACATCCATTGTCAAAGACGATCCAGACTGTTACAAGAGGAATTGTGTTCCTACGCCACCAAAATCCACATGTTGAAGCCCTATGTTGAGAAGGCAGAAGAAGTGGCCATCTACAAGCAAAGGAAAGAGGCCTCAGAAGAGATCAACCCTGCAGCACCTTGACCTTGCACCTGTGGCCTCTGGAACTGTGAGACAACACATATTTATTATTTAAGTCACCCAGCCTTTGGTACGTTGTTATGGCAGCCCTAGCAAATTAAAACAGAAATATTACCTTTTCTACCTTGTCCTATGTATGAACATGAGATTTTTTTAGGAGTATGAATTACCTGAGATTTCAAAAGATAGAGTGAGGCAATTGAAAATAGATGATATAGGGTCATTTCCAAGCCTCTGAGTGTCCCCTGGCCACCACAGAAAAATGAAGATGTTCCCATTCCCTTTCAGTTTCACACAAAGCAAAAGTTGTAGACCTAAACTGACATAGAATCGCCAACTGCATTAATTTATTTGAGATAATGAGGCAGCTAGTTTTGCCCAAATTTCACAGAAAGACGATGAACAAGTAGTAAGCTAAAGAGGCTTCTTTTGCAGGGGATTGCAGGTATTATATGTTTTTCTCCTACTTTTAAGATACATTTTCCTAAAAAGTTTTGTCTAGGAGTAAATGTCATCACTTTGCTTTTTTTCCTCCCAATTGAATCACTTGTTCCTCCCTGCATTTCAGTAATGTTGCTAGCATGGAGGTGTTTGTCCATGATTCACAGATGATTCAAAGAGCAGAGAGCTTCTCCTGAGGTCACACAGCACGTAAGCGGTGGAACAATGGCAGGCACATGACTCTCTAGGCCCCTAGTCCAGTTTTCTGGGTTCTATGAGAATTGTAGCCCTTGGTTTCTGTTACATGTGGTTCTCTTTTGAGCCAGAGAAGGAGGACGCACAGTGAGAAGAAAGTGCCAGAGCCCCAAGTCCTGGCTTAGATTTACTGGGCTGGGGCATGGAGACAGAGGCTGCCACTGATTCTCTTAACTCCAGCTTCTATTACCAGTCACTAAGCTGAAAGCAGGAAAGTTTATCTTCTGCACTTGGTCCATCAGAACTAAGATGGCAGAAAGCCCCACTATCTACCACGGAAAAGACAAGGGTCCCTCTTACCTTGAACCATGACCCAGCTTTCTAACTACATATGTTTTTCTGCACATGTAGCTATTTTTCTTCTCATCAAGCTCCAGTACTCACAGTGCAAACACAGGAGATACTGAGCCTGATGCTCTGATGGAAGCTCTGAGTTGAGATTTTATTTTATACTTAGGTGCCTCTGAGTCATTAGAGTTTTTTGCCTGACTCCACTCTGGCCCCATTTCAATCAAGGTCTATATGCTCTGGGACCTCTCCAGGTTCTCATCAGAAATGAAAAAAAAAAAAAAAAAAAGCCATGTCCAGCTCCTGGGTCCTCCCTGATAGCAGTGAGAGGCAGCTTCTAATGGGAGAGAGCCTTGGGGTGACCAAGGCCTCACAGACTTCATTATTCCTGGACCACATGGCTCCAGCCTCCTGATCACAATGGATCAGTGGTCTTAGATTCCGCTCCAATATTTGAAGTTTTTTGTTCTTCGGCCTCGGCAAATGCTCTCTGGTTGAGATGAAGGGAAAAGACACAGAGACGCAAAAGCTGTGACTGCATGGAACTCTGTCCAAGGTACCTCCCGGTGTTCTCTTACTTATGTTGGCCATGTCCTCATGAATTTAGTGAAATGGGCATGTTGTCTCTGAGTGGAAGTGAGGGGACACTACTGGGCAGAGCTCCATCAAAGGGTGGCTGGTGTCCTCTATACCATTTATCTACACATGTTGGGGTTTTTCTAGCATGAAATGTCCCAGAGGCAGCCAAACCCGAAGCTTGGCTCCTCCAAGGAATGAGTGTGAGTATCATAGCCCTGGCCAATGAGCACTGAACTCTAGAGAGACCAAGAGACCTTCTAAATATTGGGACACTTTAGTTCTGAATCCCAGAAGTTGGCTTCTTGCCTGGGAGGCAGGTGTCACTGCATCTGATCCAAAAAAGCAGCCCCATAGCTCAAGATGCTCTTCTGGATTTCTGCCTCTTCCTGGTTCCTGGCCAAGCAAATCTTCACTGCTTTGCTAGCCCATCTATAAATTCAACCAGACTTTTCAAATATGTATTTTCCTCCCATTTTTCTAGTTGTACTCAATGGGAGAAGTGGTCCAAATGACCTAATCAGCAATTGCTGGAAACCAAAGTAACAGTATACAATTCTATGTGTTAATATCATATACCAAGAGAGAAAATGTATAGATATCAGTAGTAGCCATTTAAGCACTGTAATAATATCTATCTATATCCCATGAGTATAATATATATAAATAAATGATAACAAGAAAATAATCTTTATGTGTAATACATGACTATGACTCTGACAGACAAACCTGAGAGCATAGTACGACACTTATCACCTTCACTCATGAGCCAGATAGTGTGAAATGAGAAGCAGAGATTTGAAATGTGTTGCAAAACTCTCTCAAAGAAAGTAGAGTAATATTTTTCGTGAGCAAATCAAAGCAATCTCCTCACAAATCACATTGGACTTATAATGTGTGGGATGTGTCTTTATTAAAATGGAGGTAATCCTAGGTATGTGGTCTTTTTTACATGAACCGTACTGTCACTGGCTCACTAGCTGTCACTTCACCAACAATCATTCCATTTAATAAAAGGGAGATCCCCCCATGGGCCAGCATTTCCCAGGTGGAGGCCTCTTGCAGGCATAATCTTCCAACAGAGAATTTCCCTGGGAACCTAGAAAGAAGAGAAGAGGCTCAAGCAAAAAGGATGAAAGAAATAGCAACAACGGCGGGGCATGGTGGCTCACACCTGTAATCCCAGCACTTTGGGAGGCCGAAGAGGGTGGATCACCTGAGGTCAGGAGTTCAAGACCAGACTGCCTAACATGGGGAAACTCCGTTTCTACTAAAAATACAAAAAATTAGCTGGGTGTAGTAGCGGGCGCCTGTAATCCCAGCTACTCTGGAGGCTGAGGCAGGAGAATCGCTTGAACTCAGGAGGTGGAGGTTGCAGTGAGCCGAGATGGTGCCACTGCACTCCAGCATGGGCAACGAGAGCAAAACTCCATCTAAAAAAAAAAAAAAAAAAAACACCAACAGCGATAATATCATACACTGTCATGGTGCTATGTGTTAATCCGTGTCCTTAGCACTTTCAAAATATGAATTCATTTAATTGTCACGATACATCTATGGGGTGTGCCTGCTAATTTTCCGTTTTCAGGTGATACAATAGGAAAGAAGGTCGCCTACAAGTCGTGGTGGAGCTGGGCTTGCACGCAGACAATCCTGCCCCAGGGCCATGCTCACATCTCTGCACTATCCAGAATGTGAGGGTGGGTGGAGAGTCCAGCTCAGGGAGAGTGATTGGAGAGACAGAATAATAAGAAGAGTGGGCAGACTGGATCACTCTGATGGTTCTGGGGCTTCTCTTCCAGGAGAGAAGACAAAAATTATGTCACCATCAAGGAAAGTATCCAAAATCTCTGGCTTAAACCTGGGCGTCTCCAGCTCTGGGACAGGTGGCTGGGCAGGGAAGACAAACTAAGCCAAGGGCCCAGCTCGGAAGAGTTTCCTTTCCTGAGAATTCTGCAGGAATTTCCCTGACCTCATGGCCACCTCTCATACTTTGCTCTTGTTTTTTCCCCAGGGCCGATGAGGGCGTCGTATCTGGTTTCCAGTGGGGTCTAAAGACGCCATCACAGTGACTGGAGATTGGGCTTCATAAAGTGGGAGATCTCCAGGATCCTTCCTGGAATCCAAGATTCCCAGAGAAGCCGGATCCCGCGTCCCGGAACCCAACTCCTGCTGCTCTATGAGCCCTGACCTTGGGGAGACCTGGGCTAGTGAGGAGAGGATCAAGATGAACTGGGCTGGGGAGGCAGGAGGTAAAGGGCGGCCTGGAGAGCTCAGCAGCTCCTCCCACGGCTCTTCTGCCCCGGTCTGGGGTCTGCAGACTCCTCAGGTCATATCTCCAAGTACGCCGCCCCACGCCACCCTCCCGTGGTCCCTGTCCCTCTGTCCCCTCCCCAGCTCCCCCTACACCGTAAGAAGCTCCCAGGTAAGCGGCTCCAGGGCCGGGCGGTAGGCAGGAGGGAGCCCGGGAGGCTGGGTCCCCGCGGGGAGGCGGAGAGAGCGCGTCAGGGAGACAGGGAGCGGGCGGGGTCCCTCTCCAGCCCTCAAGGTGCCGGTTCCCGGGGCCCAGGCTCGCACTCCCGGGTACTTGGAGGCCAGGGGAGAGGGAGGACTGTGGCAGGTGAGGCAAGGAGCTGTCTGAGCCGCTCAGCAGCCTCCAGGAGTCAGCTCTCTCCAGGCCTGTCTTCACTCCAGTGCCTGGTCCTGCCCAGGCCCCCACTCCCACTCTGCTCTCAACCTGGCCCCAGACAGGATCCCAAACAACTCCTGTTCCTAATGTGAAAAATGTTTCTGCCGCTTTAGGCAGAACTTGCTTTAGAGCACTGGCACAGACTTCCGCAGGTCTTGTGTCTGAATTTCTTGGCACTGTGTCTTTTCTCACTTATTCTTCTGCAAGGAAGGAATTATATCACTGGTTGGATGAGACAATTGGCTCAGATGGGTTCATTGAGCACTCACCCACTGGGCAAGTGTCTGTCGGGGCCAGCTCTGGGCCAGATGTGCCCAAGGATCTATAGCTAGTTGGTGGAAAGGCCTGGAGGGTTCATATTCAAGTCCACCTGACTTGAAAACTCATATTGACCTTACTTAAGTACTGATTCCCCCTTTATAATCCATGCCATAAACTTCATTGTCTTATTTTAAGAAATTGCCACAGCAGCCTTTAGCAACCACCCTCTTGAACAGCCGGTAGTCATCAACATTGAGGCAAGACCCTCCCCCAGCAAAAAGATTAAAATTAGCTGAAGCCTCAGACGACCGTTAGCATTTTTTAGCAATAGAGTAATTTTAAATTAAGGTATGTACATAGTTCTTTCATACATAATGCTATTGTACACTTACTAGGCTACAGTAGAGTGTGAATATAACTTTTATATGTACTGGAAAAACAAAAATTTGTGTAACTTGTTTGTTACCATGGTCTGAAACCAAATCTGCAGTATCTCTGAGGTACGTCTGTAGTTTCCCTTTCCCTCTTTTGAACTTGTTTCTTGTCCTTGTCTGGTCCTGCAAGCTGTATGAGTTTGCCTTCTCTGGTAGGTCTGGGGACATGGTATCCCTTATAACCTTGGTTCCTGGCATATGACACTGGTACCAGGCTCTGTTGGACTAGTGAGGCTCCCTACACACCTCCTGAACTAGAGCAAAAGCTCTGTGCACACACCGTGCATGTGTGAGCCTGTGAGGAGACGGTGCCTTCCTGCAGGCTGTTCTGAAGGGGTGTTCTGTTGTGACTGGAGGAAATAGCCATGGGCCCCTGGGCAGAAGTGGCTCAGAATGGAATGGATGGCCCCAGTTTTGATCATCTGGGAACAGGAAGATTCTCAGATAAAAACCCATGTTTTAGAAGACAAAACTGCCCAAGAGTGGACAGCAGCTAACCAGTAAGCTATCTGGGATATCACTGTACACTGGGAGGGAAGATGGCCTCTGCCATGGTGTAGGGTGCCTGACCCAGACAAGGAGGCCTTCCTAGGGGTCAGTGCTTCTGAAGCACCTTTAAATGAGGACAAATACCTCATGTTCATGATTAGCCAACTTGTGCCCACTCAGTGGAAAAAGAACCCAGAATTTTGCAAAATTTTCAGAGAGAGGGATTCCCCTCTTGTCTCTTAGTGCTAGGGTTATGCATGACTCGTGCTTGAATTACAGTGTGTACACAGCTGAAAGTCTTAATTATTAGAATATAAGAGGCCCAAACTACTGCTGTTACAGATATGTAAAACTACACAGTATAAGTTTAAACAACCCACAACCAATTAACAGTGAAGATAAATTAACAACCTTTGTAAATTTAAAACAAGATTGGCAACCCTTTAGAAAAAAAATGAGACTTTTGCAAGACAATCTAAATGATACACTAATAACAAACGTTCATGAAAATGACATTTCAACCATCTGAATTTCTGCTTTAAGTTATAAACTCCAAAATGAACTAACTCCCAATAATTTACAGTAGGGAGCTCTAAGCCACAAATAAAGGTGTCAGGACAGACCTGAGACCTGGAGTGAGCACATCCCCTCCCTCAGGGTCATGAGTCAATCCTGTAAGACCCCTCCTCCCTCAGACACTCCATCCAGTCATCAGGAGGTCAAGAAAAGTTCCCCACAGCACTAAGACCCAACCACCTCACTGTCCTCACCTCCATGGACAGAGCCCAGGTGAAAGCCACCCCTGCTCCTCCTCCCGCATCTCTCACAGGCTCAGCACCATCGTCGGCCTGGAGTGCACCTGGACTGAGCTCATCATGCTCTGTCCCTGTTTGTGTCAGTCACACTGGGTCCCCCACATACTCTGCACTTGCATCCCCACAAGGCTCTGCACACCTCTATTCTGTCTCCCCGACCTCCCCAGCCACAGAAATCTTCCCAGTGCACCCCCTGGATTTCTCAGTCCACATCAGCAAAACCTCCTCAGCCTCTCTCAGGATGTTCCTGCATCTCACAGCTCCAGCAGCAACCTGGGTCTCCCTGAGGACATGACCCCCTCCGAAGTCCTCCCACATGGGGGAGTTTCCCCAGGGACTTGTACCCCTGGGTTCAGAGGTGAGGTGGGGTCCTTGCTCCTCATTGTGGTTCTCAGAACTTTCTGCCTCCCTCCTCCCTAAAACCCCTAGGCTGTCATCAGATTAGAGCCCCATTTGCCTCACTGTAACCATTCCCTGTGGGCCCCAGGCTGTTCTTCTCAATCCTGAGTCTTGTAGCTCCTGGTTCACTGTCACCCTCTCCAGCATTGCTGTCTCCTTGACTCTTGGTGACTTCAACATACGCAGATGTCGTGGGCTGAGTAATGGTCCCCAAAGATGTCCAGTCTTAATCGTTGGAACCTGTGAACAGGTTGCATTGCATGGCAAAAGGGACATTACTCATGTAATGAAGATTAAGGACCTTAAAATAGGGAGATTCTGCTGGAATCTCTGTGTGGGCCCAATCAAATCACAAGAGCTATTAAAAGCAGAGAGCCTGCCCTGGTTGGAGTCAGATTCTGCAGAGGAGGAAGGCAGAGGAGAAGCTGGAGAGGGGAGGTCAGAAGTTCCAAGCAGGAGGATTGAATGTGCCTTAGGCACCATGTGTGAGTATCTGAGAGAAGGCTCTAGGAGCTAAGGATGGCTCTTAACAAGGAAGTGGAAACCTCTTTTCTATCTGCAAGGAAGTGAATTCAGGCAAGAACCTGAATGAGCTTGGAAGTGGATTCTTCCCCAGAGTCTATGGAAAGGAATGCAGACCTTCCCGTATGTTGATCTTAGCCCCATGAGACTGGGTGGACTTGCAATCCACACGACTGTGCCATGATACATAGGTGCTGTTTAAAGCCATTTGGTTTGTGGTAATTTTTATGGCAGCAATAGACACCCACACAGCAGAGAAGATGCCCTCGCTTCCTGGCCTCTCAGATCCTGGAACTCCTCTCCTCCATGATCTTCTCCTGTCTGCCTGAATCTCATGCCCTTGTTATCCCCTAGGCCTCATCATGGCTAAGAACCCCAGCCCTTCCATACTCTCAACTCACACTTCCCACTCTCTGACCATCTTTCCACTCATCCCCTTGCAAGGTGGCCACAGGCTCTGAGGACACAGATACTATCATTTTATCATATGCTGTGATGTAATATCAGTGGACCACTCATCGCATATGTGCTTGCTTTCCACGCTTGGAGTCTACCCTGTAGTACATCAATTCCAACAATCGTTCCACCCTCCTGGGATTCCCAATCCAGTGATCCTGCCATCTACTCACTGTCCCTCACCCTGGGTGTCCTGTCCTCCCTCCTCACCCATTTTGAATTCTATGGTAAATAATTTCCATCCCTCCCTTCCCTCTCCCTTGAGTTGTCACACTCACCTGGCAAAACTACACAGCTGGTGGGTTCCACCTCGGCCTATGCTGAGCCTGCCCCCATGAGCTGCAGGAGGCTGGAGAGAAGCACACAGTACGCTGACTGGTCTCTTAAAATTTAGGATTCCAAACCACATGGGAAGTCTCTACCATGGCCAGCAATCACCCTCTCCCTGCATGGCTCACCCTCAGCCTCCTCCTGGCCTGGGTGACTCTTCCATACCTTTTCTTTGTGCTCACACATCCAATCTGCCTTCCCCATTCTTACTTCAGCTGATGACCTTGCTTCCCACTTCACTGAGAAAACTGAACACATTAGAAGACAACTTCACAGATTCCACCACTGTCTGCTCATGCATTTGCAACTGCACCACATGTCAGGCGTTTTACCATGTGACGGACTGTTGTGGGTTAACCATTCTGCTCCCAGCCAGAGCCAGACCCTCTTCTGGTGCCCCAATTGCCACCCCTTATCATCTACTTAAAGGTGTCAGTTCATCAATTAATACCATTTTTATCTTTATCGTCAACCTTTTTCCTCTCTCCCCACTGGATCATTGTGGCAGTCATGAGAATGCACATCCCAGCCCCTCATCTAGAAGAAGCAGAATTGATGATGGCCCCAGCTCTTGAAGTCTGAAATCTATTGCCACATTTGCTCTGAGACTATGCCCACCCCTGGCTTTTTCCAGCCAATGATTGAGGAAAGTAGGGCAGAAACTAAGGCAGGACATTTCTCTTCTGAAGGCTGACTGAAGCTCCAGGGCTCCCTGCCACCCTTACTGAACTTCCCTTAGCCTGCACAGGGTCTAGGATGCTTCCAGCTGACCTTCCTGCACTCTCTACATCACTGAGGCTCAGAGTTGCTTTGTGGTCCAGTGGCTTTCCCAGCATTTTCTATCTCATGAATTTCTCTCACAAGTATTTCCCCTAATAAATCCTTACATGTTTACTACTGTATTGGGGTCCGCTTCTCAGGGGACCCTAACTAACACAAGTGGCATGAAGGGTGATCCATGAAAACAGGCAAAAATGGGAATTTGAAATAAGCTTCCCACTGCCTGGCAGGCCAAGAGGATGCCACCCGGGTTGGTGGCAGACACAGAAAGTCCATGGCACAAGGTGCAGCTGAGCAGCTGGGGGTCTCACCAGTGCTGAGCTGAGAAGTTGCCTTGGTTAGGGAGTGCTATGGCAGATGCAGTGATAGAATGCCCTGCATAATAAGGACAGGGTTGGAAGAAACCTACAAAGACAGTGGCTTTGGCTGGTTACTGCTCGGCTGCATCGATGCTGTGTAAAAGGATAATGAGAATCTGCGGATTGTTGACAGCTATGACTGGCTACATCTGACACCCTCGGCAGTGTCTCATGGGCAGGTCTTTATCTCCTGTAGCAAAAGGGCAGATACCAAGGAATGGTAGCTGAACATCATTATGAGGGCCACAGTGCTCCAGAGATGTTTGACACTCAACCAACGCAGGCCTGTTACAGGAAAGTCAGGGCTTTGGTGGGGAAACCTGAGATTCTGCAAACTGGAACAGGATTATGCGATGGGTGCCCTCCAGGATCTTCTGGGCATGCAGAGGAGGCTCACCCTTCTCTAGTAATGGTTCCCACTTTCAATGCTGGAAGATGCTACACAATCCTCACCCCTATGATGCCACGGGAATCCCACTCAGGAGGTTTGTAGGAACTAGCCAGCACATCCCCATCGGAGCCCAGGGACCACTTCTGGGATTGGAATTTGAGGGTGTTTGATCAAGGAACCAGAATTTCAGTCTGGATGAATATAATCCTTTGGCTTGAAGACACTTTCTCAGGGCATGGATTTATCAAACACTCCAGGACTTTGATAAGTGGAATAAACCCACTGCTGGGATGTATCCACATAGTCTAGAAAAAAACATGCCCAACTCTCAACAAGGTAGACATGTCTTAGTTGCCCTGGAACATGTAGAGAATGGAATAACAAGCTGAGGGGAGTGGGCTTGGTGAAGGCCTACCAAAACCATGCTCCACAAGAGGGCCCAGAGGACACACCTTCCACCAGAGCCTCAGGAACTTGATGGTGAGAGGGACCTGCATCACTAAGAAGTGACGGGGTATTGTCCTTTGTAGGCTGGGGGTGATGGTAGTAAAGATAGTCCCAGAGTTTCATTTCTAATATTACTGGGGAGAGTGTGGCCCTGAAGAGACAAAGACCAAGTGGTGGCAGTGACTTGCAAAAGCCAGAGGGCACGGTTACTATGGCAACCTCAGAGGAGAAGCCAAGAGGACTCAAGCTGCAGGGAATGTGGGGAAGGATAATAGAGGGTGGTGTCCCAGGGTTAGGACAGGCAGCTGATTGATATCTATGATAAGAAAGCAAGAATTGAGAAGCAGGAGGGTGAAGGTGTTTGACCCAATACAAAATCATGATCCCATCCTCAATGCCTAGACCTCAGCCAAGATGCAGATTCAGATCTCAGTGACAGAGGAGGAGTCCATATCTCTAGGCGGAATACCCTGCAACCCCGTGGAAGTATATGCTGGGACAATTCCCTCAGTCCTTCGGCAAAGAAACATATAGCCATTTACTCAGGAGGTTGTACACTGGGGAAAGGAAACAGGCAGAACTAGGGGGATTATTGACACTGGGTGTGAACTGACATTGATGCTCAGATGCCCACAGCACTATCATGTCTCCCATCACAGTGGGGCTTACGGAGGTCAGGGAGTAAACCTGGACACATTATGGCCCACAATGGAACTACTGGATCCATACACCCAGCCCTGATTATCTTCCTATACCCTGAGTGCATAATTGACACTGATGCACTGCTAAGTGGAGTCACCCCCACAATGGGTCCCTAGTCTGTGGAGTAAGGACTTTCATTGTGCTGAAAGCCAAAGGGAAACCTCTGACACTGCCCCCATCCTGGCCAAATCAAAAATCATAGTGTGTCCCAGGGTGGGTCTTGTGGAAGACACTTCAAGTATTGTGGGGGTCACATCACCATTACAGAGCTGAAGGATGTGGGATGGTGTTGGGGCTGTCTGTTGTCTCTACGTAATCCAGCAATCTGTCCCTGAAGAAGCCTGATGAAGCCTAAAGAATGAACTAGATTACTCCAGGTCTGGCCAAGTAGGAGTTATAATTGCAGCTTTTGTGCTGTCTGGATATCACTGGTAGAGCAGATTAATAAACCCTTGGACACAGAGCATGCAGCTGTGGATTTGGTGACTGCATTTCTTTCCACTCCAATTAGAAAGTGGATATGGAGTGATTCACATTCATGTGGGATCCTCAAAACATTGATTTATCATTTGTCTCAGGGCTATTGTAACTCCCCTGACCTCTATAGTATAGTCTTAAGACTATACTAGACATACTGGATATCCAATAGGATATTAAATCAGCTCATATCATTGACAACTTCCTGTTGACCTGGGTGGATGAGCAGCAGGTAGAAAGTGCACTGTAGTCCTTGGCAAAACAAGGGCACTCCAGAAGGTGAAGATAAACCTTACAAAGCTTCAAGAGTGGCCACTCGGCCAGGCGCAGTGGCTCACGCCTGTAATCCCAGCACTTTGGAAGGCCGAGGTGGGTGGATCACCTGAGGTTGGGAGTTGGAGACTAGCCTAACCAACACGGAGAGACCCCGTCTCTACTAAAAATGCAAAATTATCCAGGCATGGTGGCGCATGCCAGTAATCCCAGCTACTCGGGAGGCTGAGGCAGGAGAATCACTTGAACCCAGGAGGCAGAGATTGCAGTGAGCCAAGATCGTGCCATTGCACTCCAGAGTGGGCAACAAGAGCAAAATTCCATCTCAAAAAGAAAAAAATAGTGGGCATTGAAGTAAAGTTTTATGGGTGAACAATGGCCAAGTGTTTAGGGGAATGCAGGTGTGTCCCCTCCAAGGTAACAGACAAACTGTTTCATCTTGCATCCTCACCAGAAAGAAGGAAGCACACTGCCTGATGAGCCTCTTTCAGTTCTGACAACACCACTTTCCACATCTAGGTATGTTGCTTTGGCCCACACTCTAGGTGACATAGGAGGAGGCCAGCTTCAAGTGGGGCCCACACAGAAAAGGACCCTGCAGCAGATCCAGGCCATGGTGCAAGCAGCCACCATCTCTCAGACCCCCTGGTGCTGGTGATGCCATTGGTGGGGAAAGATGCAGGATGGAGCTGAACCAAGCACCAGTGGGAAAGTCACAGTGAAAGGCCTGGGATTCTGGAGTAAGGTCATGTCATTCACAGCAGAGACATATGCCACCTATTAGAAGCAACTTTTAGTGTCCCTTGTCCTGATTAGATAGAATGTTTGACCACGGGACACCAAGCAACTATGTGGTTCCAAGTGCCTGTGTGACCCACAGAGTCATAGATTGGACAGGCCCAACAGCATCCATCATGAGGTGAAAATGGTCCACCTGGGTTGAGCTTGAATCCCATGTTTACACCCACAGAAAATACCCAAGTCTGAAGTGGCACTGAACAACCAAACAGACAAATGGAAGTTAGCCAGCCTTCACCATGGGTCAGCCCTGGTCTGGTAGGATGAGTTCATGAATGGAGCAACCACAGTGGCAGGCATGAGGCTACATATGGGGCCAACAGCACTGACTCCCCCCTACCAAGGCAGATCCAGCTGTCGACACCTCTGAATGTCCAACTCATCAGCAATTGAGGCCCATGATGTGCCCCAGTGGGGCACTATTTCTTTAGGTGACTAACTAGCCACTAAGTAACAAGTTGACTACATTTAGCTACTTCCATCCTGGAAGGGCCAGAGGTTCATCTTCACAGGGATAGGCTTCTATTCCATGGGTGTTTTCATGTCCTGCTCTCAGAAACTCAGCCAGCACCACTCTCCGGGTGCTGTTGACATTCCTGATCTGCAGGCTAGGAGGTGCTCCTAGCCCATTATCTGCCTGAAGGACCCACTTGGCTGGGAAAGTTTCAGTGTTTCCATGGCTGTGGGTTCCACTAATCCTATCACCATCTGGACCATCCAGAGGCTGCCAGCCACAAGGAATGCTGGACAGGTCTTCTACAGGCAAAACTCAGTGCCAGCCTGGAGGAAGCACTCTGAGAGGTGGGTGCCGTCTTTCAGGACACCGTGCATTGTTTGAATCAGAGATGTCTCTAGAGTGCTGTGTTCTCAATAGGAAGAACATGTGTGTCCAGGAATCAAAAGATGGAAGCAGGTTTGGCTCCACGTCCAATCCCTTAGATTCACCCAATGGGGTATTTTGCACGTTTTATCTTCCAACACTGGGCTGTGCAGGGTACGAGGTCCTGGTTTCCAAGGAGGGTACCCTTAAAAGGATACAAAAGACAGCCCACTGAACTACACATTCCGATTGTCACGAGAGAAGTTTTGATTAGTATGTGCCCAGAGACCACCTGGTGAAAAGAGGATTCTCCTCCTCTCCAGGCCCAGGTAATAGATCCTCATCTTCAGGAGAAGGCATGGCTACTTTCACACAATGAGGGCGGAAGTGTGTGTGGAAACCAGAGATCGACCTGGGGGCCTTCTGGTTTCCCTTACCTCATTGTAAGTGTGAACAGAATCATCCAGCAATTCAGCCTGAGACAGCTTGATTTCCAAGGACCCAGACCCATCAGGGCAGAAGGTTTGAGTAATGCTGGGTAATCTCCCAAGGCCCTGCTCCTGTGCTCTGACATCCTCAGTAGCATTGGTGCTGAGGCCCTGCTTCCAATGGGCTGTTCCCAACCAGTGACAGATCACACCAGTGACACGAAAGCAGGACATTCCTGGGAGACCAGGGACTCCTCTGATAGCCAACTGTAGCTCAAGGACTCCTCCATGGCCTTGCTTAACTCTCCTTAGATTGCCTGTGGTCTAGGGCACATCCAGTAAACTTTCTCTCCTTCTGTCCATCACTGGGGATCACCTTTGCATCTTGTTGCCTTTCCCAGGGTAACCTACCTCCCTTGCCATATCGCCTGACAGGTGTGTCCCCTAATAAAATGCTATAACTTTAATCCCATGATGGAACTTGCTTTTTGGAGCATTTGGACTATAAAATCATTTTCATCTGCCCACTAGTGACCTCTTGCTTATTCCAATGTGTAAAATCTTTTTGTTTATTCAACTTCTACCTGCATTGGCTCCATTTTGCTGGTATTTGTATTATGCTTTTGAGTTCCTCAATGTTTGTTGTTTAATCACTAAATTTGGGGGTAGTTTGTCACAAAGCAATGGATAACTAATGAAGCCCTCTTACATTTCCATTATTCTATAGAAGTTAACTACATCTGTTTTATTTTCTCCTATTTTGATAATATTAGCCACACATATGGTTTCTAGTTTCTTAACACCTATTCTTTTCTTTATTTTAGTTTCTTTTCTCCTTTGTTCCTTCTGTTTTTTGTTTTTTTTTTTTTTTGAGATGGAGTCTCACTCTCTCGCCCAGGCTAAAGTGCAGTGGCTCAATCTCAGCTCACTGCAAGCTCTGCCTCCTGGGTTCATGCCATTCTCCTGCCTCAGCTTCCCAAGTAGCTGGGACTACAGGCACCTGCCACCACGCCCAGCTAATTTTTTTGTATTTTTAGTAGAGACGGGGTTTCACCATGTTAGCCAGGAAGGTCTCTATCTCCTGACCTCATGTTCTGCCTGCCTCAGCCTCCCAAAGTGCTGGGATTACAGGCATGAGCCACCACACCTGGCCTCTTCCTTCCCTTTCTCCTTCCTTCTAGCCCTCCCTCTCTCTCTTTCTTCTCTATTTCCATTCAACCTATCACCTTCCCTCCTTCTTTCTCCCTTTCCTTCCCCTTCCCCTTCCTTCTTTTCTTCTTTCACTTTTTCCTCCATTCCTCCTTCTTTCCCTCCCTTCCTCCAGTTTTTCCTTTTTATTATAAAATTTTCCTAACATATAAAATAACCCTATGTGATTGGGCTGTAAGTAAGCATTTTCTGAATCTATCTGTCAAAAGCATAATGTCTTTTATATGAGAAACAAGTAAACAACAGGAAGTTATTAACAGAATAAAAATGCTTGCTATAATTCTACCACCAAGACAGTGACTTTTAACACAATTCCTTCAACTCAGTGTTTTCAGAACACATCATCAACATCAAGTATTACACATTTATTGTAAAAGTTTAAGTAGCCACAATCACTTTGGAAATCATATTATCATTATCTAGTATGGTTAAAGTCCATACAATGTATCATGCAACCAACCCATTCCTAATCATCCACTCTGGGAGCTTTGGGGCTTTCTTGCCTATGTGCACAGGAGACATGCACACTAATATTTATGGCAAAAACTGGAATCAGCCACATGTACATCAATAGGAAACTGGTGAAATTGTGGTAAAACGATATGTAAGCCTTCAGCAGTAAAAATGAATGAATGACAGCCTCCCACACCACAGATAACTCCTACACATAATGTGCATCATGGGAAAATACATGCAGTAGGAATTTGCTATACAGGAAGCTTAAAAACCAGCAAAACTAACTGAGGTTTGTTTTGGGGAGATATATATATATATATATTTATTGCACAAATCTTTGAAGGAATACAAAGGAATATGTATCAGAAGACTCAGGATGGAGTCTCCTGCTGAGACCAGCTCGGTCAGGGAGACCCTAACCCAGTGGTGCTAGAGGAATTAAAGACACACACACAGAAATATAGAGGTGTGAAGTGGGAAATCAGGGGTCTCACAGCCTTCAGAGCTGAGAGCCCGGAACAGAGATTTATCCACATATTTATTAACAGCAAACCAGTCATTAGCATTGTTTCTATGGATATTAAATTAGCTAAAAGTATCCCTTATAGGAAACGAAGGGATGGGCCAAATTAAAGGAATAGATTGGGCTAGTTAACTGCAGCAGGAACACACCCTTAAGACACAGATCGCTCATGCTATTGTTTGTGGCTTAAGAATGCCTTTAAGCAGTTTTCCGCCCTGGGCAGGACAGGTGTTCCTTGCCCTCATTCCCGTAAACCTGCAACCTTCCAGCTTGGGCGCTAGGGCCATTATGAACATGTTACAGTGCTGCAGAGATTTTGTTTATGGCCAGTCTTGGGGCCAGTTTATGGCCAGATTTTGGGGAGCTTGCTCCCAACATCTCTCCCTTCTTTGATTTGTAAGGAGATAAAAGCAAGGGCTGCTTTGTCACGGTGAGCTACTTCTTGCAGGAATCGGGATCTGCATCTGCAGACTATATGAAGACAAACAACATAGATTAAAAGCACAGTCATCATTGAAATCACAGAGCTTCCAAGTGTTTTTATCCATTTTAATGGGTTACTAGCTGCTAATTTGTCGGCAGCTCCTTTAAGCACTCCAGTTTCTGGCATTAAGTTCAGGTGTTCCTGAGATGCTTTACATATTTCTTCTTTTAATTTTAAATCCTTATGTTAAGCTCCTACAGTGGGCCATATCATTTCAGGTTGAGGTGCCACTATACCGCCATGGTTCCAGATAATAGGAACTTTTGCCATACTTCTTATCATTTCTACCATCTGACCATTTTGTTCAGATCATCTGAATATAGTGTGACCATGGCATGCAGACTGAGAGGTGCAATTCAAGCTAAACATCCCCTTAGGGGACCAATTAATGATTCCATAGGAATTATTGTGCAGCACCTCTGCCTGTTCTGCAAAGCAATCTTCCTAAACAAGTATGTTCATTTTTTCTAACTGGGTCCAATTTTGTTTCCAAATACGTTTTTGAGGGTGGTATGCCTCAATTATAGGAGCAGATTTATTATGGTAAATACTGAGATCAGAAAGCATGTGTAACCATGTCATAGAGTGATTGCATCCAGGCATTATTACAAACCCTTATTGAAGGAATACTCACGGCAGTGGTGATAACCGCTATCATAGCTGCCATTAAATTATTCATTGTGACTGGTTGTCCTGCTTTCCTCAGGTTTTCTTCTGCCATCTGTGACAGCTTCTTCATCTGTCCCCAGGTAGGTGGCTGTGTTTGACAGGTGTTGCTCATGACAGTTGGGGTCCTCCTCAGCATCAGTCTCAACATGGCTGCAACCGAGGGGTCCTCGGGATCCTCCTGGAGTCTCTTCCTTGGCATCTGGCTCATGATAAGGTTTCAGGTATCTTGATGGTATCCAAATTGGCTGTTGATTTTGGCCTGGAGAAATACAAGCATAGCCCCTACCCCAAGTTATTATTTTACCTATTTTCCAATTTTTGTTATCGGATCTCTCCACCAAATCAGTTGTTCTGTTTCTGTCTTTGCAGCTGATTTCTGTAGATGCTGTTCAGCTGCTGATAACATCTGGCCTTTGGGCAGGCTCAAAAAATTTAAAGTTAATAATGATAGGTTCAGTTGCATTTGTGGGGTTCCATATTCTCTGTCTCTCCCTTTCTGCTTTTGCAACTGCTGTTTTAGGGAGAGATTCATTCTTTCCACTATGGCTTGTACTTGAGAATTGCATGGGATACCAGTAATGTGTTTAATAGTCCACATAGAGAAAAATGTAGCTAAAGCTTGGCTAGTAGAGCCTTGGGCATTATCTGTTATAATAGAAGCTGGAATGCCCATCACTGCAAAACACTGCAAAAGATGACGTTTAACACAGGCAGAAGACTCTCCTGTTAGGCATGTAGCCCAGACAAAGTGAGAAAAGGTGTCCACACATACATGTACATAAGCTAGTCTCCCAAGCCAGGGAACATGTGTGACATCCATTTGCCAAACAGAGTTAGATTCCAGTCCTCAAGGATTAACTCCTCCTGTAAAAGATGAGGAACGTACCATTTGGCAAGATGGGCATCGCTGGATAATAGCTTTAGCTTCTTTCCAGGTAATGCTGTATCTGCGTTTGAGACCAGAGGCATTAACATGGGTTAAATTGTGAAAGTGTCTAGCATTAAATATTGCAGTAGCAACTAAGCAATCAGCCATTTGATTCCCTTCAGTCAAAGGTCCTGGAAGAGGTGTATGAGCCCTAATATGAGTGATGTAAAAAGGATGCATTCTACTCCTAACTGCTGTTTGCAATTGGGTAAATAAAGTCATCAGTTGTTCATCTGTATGAAATTGTGAGAATTTTAAATAACTGTGTGGAGTGAACCATCCATGAAGAATCAGAAATCACATTAATAGGCATATCAAAAGCAGTCAATACCTCAATTACAGCTACAAGCTCTGCTTTTTGAGCTGAAGTATAGGGCGTCTGAAAAACTTTACTTTTTGAGCCAGAATAAGAAGCTTTACCATTACTAGACCCATCTGTAAAAACATTCTCAGCACCTTCAATTGGTTTAAGTTTATTTTAGGGAGAATCCAATTAGTTAATTTGAAAAACTGAAACAGCTTCATTTTAGGAAAATGATTATCCAGAATACCCACAAAGTCAGCTAAAATGGGTTTGCTGAGTAAGACTATTTATAAAAGCTTGCGTATTTGTGCCTTCGTGAGAGGGACAAGAATTTTTCCAGGATCATATCCATGTAATTTAACAATCCGAGTTCTCCCAATCCCTATCATAGTAGTGATTTGATCTAAATAAGGAGTTAGAGTCCATAAATTAGTATGTGAAAGAAAAAGCCACTCCACTAAGTCCTGTTCTTGGACAATAACACCAGTAGGTGAATGCTGAGTTGAAAAAATTAGCAAATCTAGAGTCTTCTCTGGATCTATTCTATTTAACTGAGCTTTATGGACTTGCTCCTCAATCAGTTGTAACTCTGCCTCTGCCTCCTTTGTTAATTGCTGAGGGCTAGTGAGACTAGGATTTCCTCTAAGGATAGAAAACAGATTACTCATGGCATAGGTAGGAATGCTTAGAGCAGGTCGTATCCAATTAATATCCCCTAGTAATTTTTGAAAGTCATTTAATATTTTTAGTTGATCCCTACGTATGGTTACTGTCTGTGGCACAATGGTAGTGTCATTTACTAAGGTCCCCAAGTAGGAGTAGGGAGTAGTGGTCTGAATTTTGTCAGGAGCTATAATTAAATCAGCATGAGAAATCGAATTTTGCAAGTGATCATAACATTGAAGTAATATTTCTCGAGTGGGGGCAGCACAAACTATATCATCCACATAGTGAATAATGTAACATTGTGAAAATTTTTTACAAGTAGGTTCAATTGCTTGCCCCACATATGTCTGGCAAATTGTGGGACTGTTTAACATGCCCTGTGGCAACACTTTCCAATGATAACACTTAGCAGGCTGCAGGTTGTTTACTGCAGGAATTGTAAATGCAAACCGTTCACAGTCTTGCTCAGCTAAAGGGATAGTAAAGAAACAGTCCTTTAAATCTATGACTATTAAAGGCCAATTTTTTTGAATTATAGCAGGAGAAAGTAATCCTGGCTGTAATGCTCCCATAGGTTGTATAACTGAATTGATGGCTCTTAAGTCAGTTAACATTCTCCATTTACCTGATTTTTTCTTAATTAAAAAAAACTGGAGAATTCCAAGGGGAAAATATTGGAGCTATGTGCCCATTTTCTAATTGTTCAACAACTAATTTCTCTAAAGCCTCCAGTTTTTCTTTACTTAGTGGCCATTGTTCTATCCAAATTGGCTTATCCATTAACCATTTTAAAGGTATAGGTTCGGAAGGCTTAACAATAGCCACCATAAAAAATGATATCTTAATCTTTGGTGGGAACTTTTTAAACCTTGCAAATTTTTTTCTAGTCCCATACCAGGGACATACCCCATTTCATGCATTGTTTGTTGATTTTCAGGGATATATAATTGATCTGGAATTAGAACTTGTGCTCTCCATTGTTGTAATAAATCTCTTCCCCATAAATGTATAGGTACAGAAGTGATAACTGGTTGAATAGTCCCAGGTTGTCCATCAGGCCCCTCACAATGCAAAATGTAACTATTTTGATATACTTCAGCAGCTTTACCAACTCCAACTATGTTAAATTGAGCGGGTTGAATTGGCCACATGGACGGCCAGTGCTGTAGAGAAATGATTGAAATGTCTGCTCCTGTATCTACCAAACCTTTACATTTCTTTCCCTGAATAGTTATTTCACAGGTAGGATGTTCATTAGTAATTTGATTCACCCAATAAGCTTCTTTGCCTTGTTTATTTGTGCTTCCAAATCCTCCTGTTCATTTAATTTCACTTTTTCCCATTCCCACATATGGCAAAATCAGGAGCTGTGCTATGTGCTCTCCTGGCTCTGCTTTCCAGGGAACAGAAGTAGATACAAGAATTTGAATTTCCCCATTGTAAACTGAATCAATGACTCCTGTATGTATTTGTACGCCTTTTAAACTTAAACTAGGCCTTCCTAAAAGTAATCCTATTTTCCCTGCTGGCAAGGGTCCACAGACTCCTGTTGGGACCTTTTGCTGGGGTTCCCCAGGCAGAAGGCTCACAGATTTTGTGCAGCATAAATCTAATGCGGCACTACCAGCTGTGGCTGGGGAAGGACATTGTACAGGGGTGAGGGAATGGCCTGAGCTGGAAATGCCCTGGTTTAGAATGGGGCCCGGGACGGGCCCCTCATGGTGTTTCCTGAGAATGAGTTCCCTTGTTTATCAAACTTAGAGTGACATTGACTAGCCCAATGTTTTCCTTTTTTACATTTTGGACATATTTCAGGCTCAACAGTTTTCTTTTTTCCTCTGTCTGGCGGCCTGACTCACTGACTTTTTCTACATTCTTTTTTAGTATGAATAGCTTGTTTAAATTCTTTGAGTAATTTAAAAGGGAAAGGCTCAAATGTAGCTATAATATTTCCCTGTTGATCTGGGGGGTGTATTCTAACAGGGAACTGCCAAGCCTCTAAATCACCCTCTTGTCTAGCTTGCTGAATTCCTGCCTGAATAGAACTAAGAGCTGTCACATGAGGCGCTGCTCGAACAGTCACTGGGGCAATTACTTTTTGCCCAGTGTCCTCCAGAAAAGAAAGATGTGGGGGGTCATCTTCATCAAAATAATAAGGAGGGGGTGCAGAAGGGTAGGGATGAATCTCTCCTTCCTTTGCTGCTTTAGCTTTAGCTGGCAAATAAACATGCTCTGTAACCTCTTCTGTTACTTCGCTATACTCTTGTTCCTCCTCATTACCAGTGTGAAAAAGTTCCAAGGTGAAATGAACCAGACCCCATACCTGTCCCATTGTTACCCTGACACTTCCGAGCTCCCCTTCTTACGCACGACAGGGATTGCTTTAAGAGTACTCGGGTGTCCTCCAGCTAGTTTCCCATTCCAACCATTGCTCTGGTGACCCTTCGACCTGGATATGAGCCCCCACAAATGGACACCACTTGCCAAGACCAGGTCAGTCAGAGAGACTCTAACCCAGTGGTGCTAGAGGAATTAAAGACACACACACAGAAATATAGAGGTGTGAAGTGGGAAATTGGGGGTCTCACAGTCTTCAGAGCTGAGAGCCCCAAACAGATATTTACCCACATATTTATTAACAGCAAACCGGTCATTAGCATTGTCTCTATAGATATTAAATTAACTAAAAGTATCCCTTATGGGAAACAAAGGGATGGGCCGAATTAAAGGAATAAGTTGGGCTAGTTAATTGCAGCAGGAACACACCCTTAAGACAGAGATCACTCATGCTATTGTTTGTGGCTTAAGAATGCCTTTAAGCGGTTTTCCGCCCTGGGCAGGCCAGGTGTTCCTTGCCCTCATTCTCGTAAACCCGCAACCTTCCAGCTTGGACGTTAGGGCCATTATGAACATGTTATGGTGCTGCAGAGATTTTGTTTATGGCCAGTCTTGGGGCCAGTTTATGGCCAGATTTTGGGGGACTTGCTCCCAACGGTCTCCTTCTAGGGGGTGACTGGGTAGCAGCCCAGGGTAGCTTTACAGGTTTGTGTTTTACACCAGTGCTGGGCACCCTGGTAGATACTTGATTATAATTCCTTAAACAGAGTTTTCCAAATTAAAATATACCTGTTTTTTATAGAAATGAAAAAGAAAAGAATTTCAAAGTTCATTGCAAAGATTCTTAACAAGAACTACTTACATTGGAAGAAAACCACAGAGAATTGTAAGGAGCCATGTGACAGAGAGGACCAGGATGCCATGAAAATGGCCTTGGCTACAAATAGGTCATTTGATCCTTGGCTCCCTGGCATCTCTCTAGATTTTCAATGATACAATGTTCAATCTGCTGTGCAAGATAATTTCATCTTGCAAAGATTTGATGTTACATTTTACCACACATTAAACTGAAATAAACTTTTACAGATTGGAAATGCACATCATTGATCAAAATAAATGAAACATGAAAAGAGTAGGAAGGAATACCCAGTGATGGAATAGCAAATATGAATGGAAAACAGAATAGGACTGCTAAAAAGAAAAAAAAAAATTCAGAAGCATGTAATAGCAGCGCTATTTAGAATCACAGTGGTGTCCAAATCACTTCTATCACATCTCATTCAATACCACAACAAAAGATGTTAAGTTTATTATAGAATGCCCATCAAATAGCCAGTTTTTGAAAAAAACTTGTTTCTCAATTAGAACTAACCATTTCAGGCTACAGCATCAAGCCAAAATTATTGGCATCATGCTAAGCTAGGTGTGTTTACTGAAGTATGAGATTCACATTTTTGTAAATGAAAAGCAATTTGATTAGGCATTTTTTTCTGCACAGCAAAAGAAACTATCATCAATCACAGTGAACAGACATCCTACAGAATGGGAGAAAAATTTTGCAGTCTATCCATCTGACAAAAGTCTAGTAATCAGAATCCACAAAGAACTTAAGCAAATTTACATGAAAAAAAACTTCAATAAAAAGTAGACAAAGAACTTGAACAGACACTTCTAAAGAAGACATACATGTGGCCAACAAAAATACGAAAAAAAGCTCAACATCGCTGATCATTAGAGAAATGCAAATCAAAACCACAAATGAGGTACCATCTCATGCCAGTCAGAATGGCAATTATTAAAAAGTCAAGAAACACCAGATGCTGGCGAGGTTGCAGAGAAATAGGAATGCTTTTACACTGTTGGTGGAAAAGTAAATTGGTTAATCCATTGTGGAAGACAGTGACAATGTGGTGATTCCTCAGAGATTTAGAATCAGAAATACCATTTGATCCAGCAATTGCATTACAGGGTATATACCCAAAGGAATATAAATCATTCTATTATAAAGATATATGCATGTTTACATTCATGGCAGCACTATTCACAATAGCAAAGACATGGAATCAACCCAAATGCCCATCAATGATGGACTGGATAAAGAAAATGTGGTACATATACACCATGGAATATTATGCAGCCATAAAAAGGAATGAGATCAAGTCCTTTGCAGGGATATGGATGAAGCTGGAAGCCATTATCCTCAGCAAACTCACACAGGAATGGAAAACCAAACACCACATGTTCTCATTTATAATTGGGAACTGAGTAATGAGAACACATGGACACAGGGAGAGGAACAACACACACTGGGGCCTATTGGGGCAGGGTGGTGGTGGGAGGATCATTAGCAAAAATAGCTAATGCATGCCAGGGTTAATACCTAGGTGATGAGTTGACAGGTGCAGCAAACCAACATGGCACATGTTTACCTATGTAACAAACCTGCACATCCTGCACGTGTACCCTGAAACTTAAAAAAAATTAAATTAAAAAACAAGCTTAAAGAAAAAGACAAGCTGAAAGAGTTAATGAAAAATAATTAGATAAAAGAAGTCTTTGATTTTCAAAAACCTGAAACAATAGTTATAATTTTGCTTTTAACATATATTCAAAACATTTGATACTGTTCCCTTCCAGAGGTGCATCTTAATTCCCTCTCCTGAGTGTGGCTTGGACTTAATGAGGCACTTCTGATATGGCCTGGTTCTGTGTTCCCACCCAAATCTCATCTTGAATTGTTATGCGAATTGTAATCCCTACCTATTGGGGGAGGGACCACATGGGAGGTGATTGGATAATGGAGGCGGTGCCCCCATGCTGTTCTCGTGATACTGAGGGAATTCTCATGCAATCTGATGGTTTTATAAGGGGCTTTTCCCTGCTTCATTCTGCATTTCTCTCTCCTGTCATCATGTGAAGAAGGATGTGTTTGCTTCCACTTCTGCCATGACTGTAAGTTTCCTGGGGCAGGCTCCTCAGCCATGCAGAACTGTGAGTCAATTAAACCTCTCTCCTTTATAAATTACCCAGTCTCAGGTATTTCTTTATAGCAGTGTGAGAATGGACTAATATAACTTCTAACTTACAGAATAATGCTGACATAATGGTTTGTGACTCTGGGTGTAGAACCTAAAACTCACTGTGGCTTCCACCTTCTCTCTCTCTGTCTCTGGGATCATGAGCTCTGGGGGAAGCCAGCTGCTGTGCCACAAGCAGCCCTGCAGGAAGGTCCATGTGGCTGAGAACCGAGGCGTTCTGGGAACAGACAACAAAGAACTAGGCCTTTTCCAACAGCCATATGACTGATCCATGTTTCATGTGAATCCTCAGCCCCAGTGAAGCCCTCAGATGATGCAGCCCTTGGCTGACAACTGTACTGCAACCTTGTGAGAGGCCCCGAGCAAGAAGCACTCAGGGAAACCTCTCCTGGACTCCTGACCATTGGAAACTGCGGCAGATGAGGAATATTTGTTGTTTTGAGCTAAGTTTTACATAATTTGTTATGCAATAGTAAATAAATAATACACTTTCACAAGAGAGGATGTATTATTACACATTAAATTGCATTTGCTTTAAATGTATCATCGTCATCATTATTATTTTTGAGACACGGTCTCGCTCTGTCACCCAGGCTGGAGTGCAGTGGCATGATCACCATGTACTGCAGTGTCGACCTCCTGGGGTCAAGGGACCCACTGATCTCAGCCTCCTGAGTAGCTGGGACTACCGTCATGAACTACTATGCCTGGCTAATTTTCTAATTTTTTGTATAGATGGGGGTTTTGCCCAGGCTGATCTTGAACTTCTGGAGTCAACAAATCTGCCTTCCTCTGCCTTCCACAGTGCTAGGATGGCAGGCATGAGCCACCATACCTGGCGTAAATTAATTATAAGATATTAAACACGTAACTTAGTTTTAAAAGGTAAGGAGAATTTCCATGGCTGAAGAGGATGTATTTTATGACCATTCACAATGATCACTTTACTTGAACTTCAATTTCCAACTGTGTCCGAAGTAAACACAAAAGGAAGATCCAACCCTTGCTAGGCTGATTCTATTATGCCCTCAACAACCAGCTCCTGGTCATTCACCATCCTCCAGTTATTCAATCAACTCTAATGTAGGTGCTGCTGTGAAGGGAGTTAGTGGATATAATTAAGGGTCTCAATTAGTTGACTTTAGGCTGGGTTTATCCTGCTTGGACTGTCCTAATCAGGTGAGACCTTGAAAGGACTGGGTTCTTCCTGAGCATAGAGACTCACAGTGTGAGAGGGACTCAGCATGAGGGGTTTCCTCCAGCATGGGCTTTGAAAATGAAGGGGCTGTGGGCCAGGTGCGGTGGCTCACGCCTGTAATCCCAGCACTTTGGGAGGATGAGGCGGGCGGATCACGAGGTCAGGAGATCGAGACCATCCTGGCTAACACGGTGAAACCCTGTCTCTACTAAGAATACAAAAAAAAAAAAAAAAATAGCCAAGCGTAGTGGCGGGTGCCTGTAGTCCCAGCTGCTTGGGAGGCTGAGACAGGAGAATGGCGTGAACCCGGGAGCCATAGCTGGCAGTAAGCCGAGATCCCGCCACTGCACCCAAGCCTGGGCTACAGAGCGAGACTCCATCTCAAAAAAATAAATAAATAAAATTAAAAATGAAGGGGCTGTGTAGGAAAGAATGCTGGTGAGGACCAGGAATCAAGCACAGCCCTCCCTGTTCTCTACATTGACAGCCAGCAAGGAACAGGGACCTCAGTCTTACAACTGCCAGAAACTGCATTCTGCCACCTCTGTATAAGCCTGAAGGAGGATTCAAAATGAAAACACAGCTTTTGGAAGCCCAGAAGAGAGATTCCATCCACATTTTGCCCAGATTTCTGATCAAGGAACTATAAGCAGATAAATGGGTGTTGTTTCGCCAGGCGTGGTAGTGCACGAATGAATTGATGAATTGATATGCACACTAGTTACATAAAATAAAATCTTTCTGAACTTCTTCCGTGTTTTGCACTTTATAATTATCTGTAATGCAATTTAATACACTCATATTTCATTCATTCAGTCGACAAAAATTAATTTAGTCCCTACGATAAACCAGATATCCCCTCATATGCTCACGTGCCTGACACTCCAGAAGTTTCACAAGACCGAGGTGGAGACACTGGAGTGTTTTAAGTGGAGAGATGACACATTCTGACTCCCAGGAGCAGGACCACTGTGAAAAGAACAGTCACGTAACAGGTCATGGGACAGTGCTAGTGTCACAATTCACAAGTGACAGTGTGGTGGGGACTAAGGGGACAGGACGGCCTGAAGGATGAGAAGAATGGAGGGAAGGGTTGGAGAAGCAGGAGGTGAAGAAAAGGAGCAGAGGAAAGAATTCGAAAGCAGCAGAATTCTTAGGTTTAAATACATTGTTTTATGGATTTTAATACATCCATCTACAGAGCCCTGCAGGATGTCCTTGGCAGTTGGCCTTTAATACTTTATGTGGGTCTGCCTAAAAACTAATTTTTTAATGTTAATCAGGTTTAAAAATTACTAAGTGTTCCTATAAAATATACACAACACTTAGCAGTGGATACTTCCTAAAAACAGACAGTGCATGAGCACTAGTGAGGGGCATTGCGACTACATTGAACAGTTGCAACTTTGAGGTGAATAAAGCCTGTACTGACTCCTGGTTGTAACGTACCTGGTTGCAAAGTACACAGTGTGCTACTTTGTATTGAGGAGATATCCTGGACTCACACAGAAACTCAAAGCTATGGAATGATGGCAAATTTAAAATATGACAAGCGGGAGTCACAGGTACACTGCAAAAGTGAAACTTAGAAGCTTTGTGAGTCCTGTTGTAACGCTTTTGGGCACATTTATACATCATGGGGCCAAAGTCACATTTTTTACCGATTAGATTCCTGATCATTCAGGGGTTACCAAGGTTCTGCTATCCAATGTATTTAATAAACAAATAAATAAATAAACTGGTCTCTATTCTGTCTCATGCACTCAGGCACAACTTTTCCCAATAAAAAAAAAAAACAAAAAGGAAAACAAAAAACAGTTTCTACACCTCCATTCCCAGAGCAAGCTCACTCTCTGTCACCAAACTCCGTGGGTGAGTTTTCTTCTAGAAGAGTCCAGGTGGACAGGGAGTCCAGTTCAGGGACGGAGATTCCGGGATGAAAAGTGAAGGGAGAGGGACAGGGCCCATGCCGAGGGTTTCTTCCTGGTTTCTCAGACAGCTCCTGGGCCAAGACTCAGGGAAACACTGAGACAGAGCGCTTGGCACAGGAGGAGCGGGGTCAGGGCGAAGTCCCAGGGCCCCAGGCGTGGCTCTCAGGGTCTCAGGCCCCGAAGGCGGTGTATGGATTGGGGATGCCCCGCCTTAGGGATTCGCCACCTCCGCAGTTTCTCTTCTTCTCACAACCTGCGACGGGTCCTTCTTCCTTGATACTCACGAAGCGGACACAGTTCTCATTCCCACTAGGTGTCGGGTTTCTAGAGAAGCCAATCGGTGCCGCCGCGGTCCCGGTTCTAAAGTCCCCACGCACCCACCGGGACTCAGATTCTCCCCAGACGCCGAGGATGGTGCTCATGGCGCCCCGAACCCTCCTCCTGCTGCTCTCAGGGGCCCTGGCCCTGACCCTGACCCAGACCTGGGCGCGTGAGTGCAGGGTCTGCAGGGAAATGGTCGGGAGGAGCGAGGGGCCCGCCCGGCGGGGGCGCAGGACCCGGGGATCCGCGCAGGGAGGAGGGTCGGGCCGGTCTCAGCTCCTCCTCGCTCCCAGGCTCCCACTCCATGAGGTATTTCTACACCACCATGTCCCGGCCCGGCCGCGGGGAGCCCCGCTTCATCTCCGTCGGCTACGTGGACGATACGCAGTTCGTGCGGTTCGACAGCGACGACGCGAGTCCGAGAGAGGAGCCGCGGGCGCCGTGGATGGAGCGGGAGGGGCCAGAGTATTGGGACCGGAACACACAGATCTGCAAGGCCCAGGCACAGACTGAACGAGAGAACCTGCGGATCGCGCTCCGCTACTACAACCAGAGCGAGGGCGGTGAGTGACCCCGGCCCGGGGCGCAGGTCACGACCCCTCCCCATCCCCCACGGAGGGCCGGGTCGCCTCGAGTCTCTGGGTCCGAGATCCACCCCGAAACCGCGGGACCCCGAGACCCTTGACCTGGGAGAGGCCCAGGCGCCTTTACCCGGTTTCATTTTCAGTTTAGGCCAAAACCCCCGCGGGTTGGTCGGGGCAGGGCGGGGCTCGGGGGACCGGGCTGACCGCGGGGGCGGGGCCAGGTTCTCACACCATGCAGGTGATGTATGGCTGCGACGTGGGGCCCGACGGGCGCTTCCTCCGCGGGTATGAACAGCACGCCTACGACGGCAAGGATTACATCGCCCTGAACGAGGACCTGCGCTCCTGGACCGCGGCGGACATGGCAGCTCAGATCACCAAGCGCAAGTGGGAGGCGGCCCGTCGGGCGGAGCAGCTGAGAGCCTACCTGGAGGGCGAGTTCGTGGAGTGGCTCCGCAGATACCTGGAGAACGGGAAGGAGACGCTGCAGCGCGCGGGTACCAGGGGCCACAGGGCGCCTCCCGGATCGCCTGTAGATCTCCGGGGCTGGCCTCCCACAAGAAAGGGAGACAAATGGGACCAACACTATAATATCGCCCTCCCTCTGGTCTTGAGGGAGAAGAATCCTCCTGGGTTTCCAGAGAGTGACTCTGAGGGTCCGCCCTGCTCTC
Source organism: Homo sapiens (assembly GCF_000001405.40). NCBI lineage: Eukaryota > Metazoa > Chordata > Mammalia > Primates > Hominidae > Homo > Homo sapiens. The sequence goes on from NC_000006.12 coordinate 29,888,917, forward strand.
TGACACAATTAAGGGATGAAATCTGTGAGGAAATGAAGGGAAGACAATCCCTGGAATACTGATGAGTGGTTCCCTTTGACACTGGCAGCAGCCTTGGGCCCCGTGACTTTTCCTCTCAGGCCTTGTTCTCTGCTTCACACTCAATGTGCGTGGGGGTCTGAGTCCAGCTCTTCTGAGTCCCTCAGCCTCCACTCAGGTCAGGACCAGAAGTCGCTGTTCCCTCTTCAGGGACTAGAATTTTCCACGGAATAGGAGATTATCCCAGGTGCCTGTGTCCAGGCTGTTGTCTGGGTTCTGTGCTCCCTTCCCCACCCCAGGCATCCTGTCCATTCTCAAGATGGCCACATGCGTGCTGGAGGAGTGTCCCATGACAGATGCAAAATGCCTGAATTTTCTGACTCTTCCCGTCAGACCCCCCCCAAGACACATATGACCCACCACCCCATCTCTGACCATGAGGCCACCCTGAGGTGCTGGGCCCTGGGCTTCTACCCTGCGGAGATCACACTGACCTGGCAGCGGGATGGGGAGGACCAGACCCAGGACACGGAGCTCGTGGAGACCAGGCCTGCAGGGGATGGAACCTTCCAGAAGTGGGCGGCTGTGGTGGTGCCTTCTGGAGAGGAGCAGAGATACACCTGCCATGTGCAGCATGAGGGTCTGCCCGAGCCCCTCACCCTGAGATGGGGTAAGGAGGGAGATGGGGGTGTCATGTCTCTTAGGGAAAGCCGGAGCCTCTCTGGAGAGCTTTAGCAGGGTCAGGGTCCCTCACCTTCCCCCCTTTTCCCAGAGCCATCTTCCCAGCCCAACGTCCCCATCGTGGGCATCGTTGCTGGCCTGGTTCTACTTGTAGCTGTGGTCACTGGAGCTGTGGTCGCTGCTGTAATGTGGAGGAAGAAGAGCTCAGGTAAGGAAGGGGTGAGGAGTGTGGTCTGAGATTTCTTGTCTCACTGAGAGTTCCAAGCCCCAGGTAGAAGTGCCCTGCCTGGTTACTGGGAAGCACCATCCACACTCATGGGCCTACCCAGCCTGGGCCGTGTGTGCCAGCACTTACTCTTTTGTAAAGCACCTGTTACAATGAGGGACAGATTTATCACCTTGATGACTGTGGTGATGGGACCTGATCCCAGCAGTCACAAGTCACAGGGGAAGGTCCCCAAGGACAGACCTCAGAAGGGCGGTTGGTCCAGGACCCATATCTGCTTTCTTCATGTTTCCTGATCCCACCCTGGGTCTGCAGTTGCACATTTCTGGAAACTTCTCTGGGGTCCGAGACTTGGAGGTTCCTCTAGGACCTTATGGCCCTGGCTTCTTTCTGGCATCTCACAGGACATTTTCTTCCCACAGATAGAAAAGGAGGGAGCTACTCTCAGGCTGCAAGTAAGTATGAAGGAGGCTGATCCCTGAAATCCTTTGGATATTGTGTTTGGGAGCCCATGGGGGAGCTCACCCACCCCACAATTCTTCCTCTAGCCACATCTACTGTGGGATCTGACCAGGTCCTGTTTTTATTCTACTCGAGGCAGCAACAGTGCCCAGGGCTCTGATGTGTCTCTCACGGCTTGAAAGGTGAGACCTTGGGGGGCCTGATGTGTGGGGGATGTTGGGGGGGAACAGTGGACACAGCTGTGCTATGGGGTTCTTTGAATTTGATGTTTTGAGCATGCGATGGGCTGCCAAAGTGTCATCCATTACTGGGACAGATATGAATTTGTTCATGAATATTTTTTCTATAGTGTGAGACAGCTGCCTTGTGTGGGACTGAGAGGCAAGAGTTGTTCCTGCCTTCCCTTTGTGACTTGAAGAACCCTGACTTTCTTTCTACAAAGGCACCTGAATGTGTCTGTGTTCCTGTAGGCATAATGTGTGGAGGAGGGGAGACCAACCCACCCTCATGTCCACCATGACCCTCTTCCCCACGCTGATCTGTGTTCCCTCCCCAATCATCTTTCCTGTTCCAGAGAGGAGGGGCTGAGATGTCTCCATCTTTTTCTCAACTTTATGTGCACTGAGCTGTAACTTCTTACTTCCCTCTTAAAATTAGAATCTGAGTAAACATTTACTTTTTCAAATTCTTGCCATGAGAGGTTGATGACTTAATTAAAGGAGAAGATTCCTAAAATTTGAGAGACAAAATAAATGGAACACATGAGAACCTTCCAGAGTCCATGTGTTTCTTGTGCTGATTTGTTGCAGGGGAGGAGAATAGATGGGGCTGTGCCTAGTGGGTGCTCAGGCCAGTATGGACTTTATGTGGTCACTGCTCAGCTGGGTCATCTTTGCTCCTTCATTCTCCTTGGCCCTTCAGTAGAACCTTGTCCTACCACCACCTGTGATCACAGGGACTTGGATGTCACCTACGGTGGTCCCTGCATACAAATCTCATTGTGGTATCAAGAGACTAATTTTCAGACCTGTCCAGCTCTTGCCCTCCTCCCAGGGCTCTTTCCTGGATTGTATTTTTCATCTTGCCTCCAATCTTTTTAAAGGAAGCAGATTCTAAAATTTGCAGAGAGGAGGGGTCCCATAGTTTCTCATCATAGTGAACTTTTTGTTGGAGCTCCTCTTCTGCTCTCTTACTCTTCTTCCTTCCCTGAGTTGTAGTAATCCTAGTGCTGGCTCCAATCCAAACTCATGGATTTACAAAGCAGAGTCTAATTTAGATTCATACGTGGTTGGAAAATTGTACCCATAAGCCTAGGGTTATCTTTCCTGAAGAGAAAAATATGGTTGTGTGCTGCAGTGTGCAAGAGGGTTGGTGTGGGAGGAGGTAGGGAGGGAGGGAGGACACACAAGCAGTCCTAGTGAGAAAAGCACTGGCGGCATCGATGTCCACATGAGATGATGTTGTTCTTTAGCTGCCACAAAACAGCATTTGCCCTGAGGCTACCTTAACAAAGATATTGGCTTCAGAATAGAGAAGTGCTTTACAGTGATCATTCATTCAACTGACATTTGTTGTCTGCTAGGGATATGACTGCTTTTGCATTTAGAAAGCATCATTAAGGTGAAAATAGAAAAATTTCTGGCGTTGTGGTACATATGTTCTAGATGCTAGCTTGTCCAACCCATAGCTCGCAGGCTGAATGTGGCCCAGGACAGTTTTGAATGTGAGGAGTTTTTGCTTTTCTGTGGCGGACCTGAGACCTGGAGTGAGTGCACCCACCTCCCTCAGGATCAGGAGTGAATGCTTTAGGAACCCTCCTTTGCAGTGACCTGCAAAAGATAGAGGGCACAGTTACTGTGAGAACCCAGAGTAGCAGCCAAAGGGGCTCAACCTTCATGGAGTTTTGGGAAAGGTTAGTAAAAGGTGGTGTCCCAGCGTCAGAACAGATGGGCAGCCAGCGAGGGCACTGCTTCATATCTATGATGGGAATGCAAGAATTGAGGAGCAGGAGACTGAGGGTGTTTGACTAAATACAAAGTCATGATCCCAGTCTCAATTCCTAGACTTCAGCCAAGCTTCAGATTCAGAATCCACAGTGGGGCTTAAGGAGGCCAGGAAGTAAACCTGGACACATTATGGCCCACTGTGGGACCACTGGGTTCATAAACCCAGTCCTGGTTATCTCCCCATTCTCCACATGCATAATTGGCCTTGATGCACTGGCAAAGAGGGTCACCCCCACACTACATCCCTAGTCTGGAGAGTAAGGGCTATCATTGTGCTGAAGCCCAAAGGGAATCATCATCTAAAACTTCCCTCATCCCAACCAAGCCAGAAGCAATATTGCGCCCCAGGTGGGACTTCAGGAGGGTACTGCAGATATTGTAGGGGTGGCACTGCCATTAGAGAGCTGAAGGATGGGGGGTGGTGTTGGGATTGCCTATTATCTCCATATAATTCAGCAGTCTATCCCTGAAGAAGCCTGATAAAGAATGAATGGAATTACTCCAGACTTGACCAAGTAGGAGTCCTGATTGCAGCTGCCATGCTGGCTGGATATCACTGCTTGGGGAGATTAATAAGGCCTCAGGCACATGGCAAACAGCCATGCATTTGGTGAGTGCATTCTTTCCCATTCCATTTAGAAAATGGATATGGAATGATTCACATTCACATGGGATTTATAATACATTTATTGATAGCTTGCCTCAGGGCTACTTTAACTCCTCAACCTTCTATAAATATCACCTTAAGAGATCTGGACAAATCAGACATCTCACAGAATACTAAATCTCTTCATTTCATTGGCAATATCACATAGATTGGGATGGATGAGCAAGAGGAGGAAAGTATGCTGAGTTCTTTGGCAAAACATGTGCACTACAGAAGGTGAAGATTAACCTTACAGAGCTTCAAGAGTGGCCACTGCAGTGAAGTGTTATGGGTCCAGTGGTTAGGGGCATGCAGGGCTGTCCTCTCCAAAGTAAAAGACAAACTTGCATCTTGCATCCTCAACAGAAGGAAGGAAGCACACTACCTGGTGAGCTTCTCTGTGTCCTGGCAACACCACATTCCACATCTAAGTATATTGTTTGGCCCACTGTCTGGGTATAATATAGGAAGAGGTCAGCTTTGAGTGCGGACTAGACAGGAAAGGACACTGCAGCAGATCCAGGCGGTGGTGTACCAGGTCATCAACCCTCAGTCCCCTGGTGCTGGGGGTGACAGTGTGGGGAAAGATGCTAGATGGAGCTGAACCAAGCAGCTGAGATCAAGTGAGCTGAGATCCCGCCCCTACACTCCAGCCTGAGCAACAAGAGTGAAACTCCATCTCAAAAAGAAAAAAAAAAAATTAAAAGGATAAGCACCCTCCCACATCAGAGATAACTCTCCAACACATAATGTACATGCGGTGTGAGTTCTCTGTATGGGGAAGTTAAAAAAAAAACAGGTCAAACTGTGATTTGGGTATATATATACTTATTGTAAAAATCTTCAGTGACAATGCCAAGGAATAGCAAATACAAGACTCAAGACATAGGTTCCTTTTAGGGGATAGGATTGGACAACAGCCTAGGGTGGCTTCATAGGTTCTGTTTCTTATGCCAGGAGGGGATATCCAGGTAGTTAGTTACTTGATCATAAAACTTTATTTATTTATTTATATATTTTGAGTCTCGCTCTTGTTGCCCAGGCTGGAGTACAGTGGCATGAACTCAGTTCACTGCAACCTCCGCCTCCCAGGTTCAAGGGATTCTCCTGCCTCAGCCTCCTGAGCAGCTGGGATTGCAGGCAAATGCCACCACTCCCAGCTAATTTTTGTATTTTTAGTAGAGACGGGCTTCACCATGTTGACCAGGTTGGTCTGGAACTCCTGACCTCAGGTGATCCACCCACTTCAGCCTACCAAATTGCTGAGATTACAGGCATGAGCCACCACTCCTGGCCCACAAATCTTTAAAGTGGTATTTTTCAAAATGCACCTTGTGTGCCATTCCTGATTGATTATTTGGAAATGAAAGAGAAAAGAAAATGCCAAAGTTCATCACAAGCATCCTTTGCGATAACTACTCATAGTAAAACAAAGCCGCAGCTGGCCGGGCACGGTGGCTCACTTCTGTGATCCTAGCACTTTGGGAAGTCGAGGCCTGTGGATCACGAGATCAGGAGTTCGAGACCAGCCTGACCAACATGGTGAAACCTTGTCTTTACTAAAAATACAAAAATTAGCTGGGCGTGTTGGTGCGTGTCTGTAATCCAAGCTACTCAGAAGGCTGATGCAGGAGAATCGTTTGAACCTGGAAGGCAGAAGTTGCAGTGAGCTGAGATCCTGCCATCGCACTCCAGCCTGGGTGACAGAGCCATACTCCATCTCAAAACGAACAAACAGACAACTACAAAAAACAAGCCACAGCCAATTTTAAGGAGCCATGTGAGAGGACCAGGATGCCATGAAAAACAGCCTTGGCTACAAATAGGTCATTTGATCCTTGGCTAGTTGGCGACTCTCTACATTTTCTGATACACAGTGTTCAATCTGATAGGCAAGGCAATAGTATCTTGCAAAGAATTTGAGAATTTGATATGTTGCTCACATTTTACCACACAAACAAGTGAACTAAACTTTTACAGAATAGAAAAAAAGCATTGTTGAGCAAAATAAATTAAATGAAAAGACATAAATGAATAACTAGTGATGAAATAGCAATAAGAATGGAAAACACGAAAGAGCTGCTTTTAAAGCAACATTAGAAGCACAAAATAACAGTGTTTTTCAGAATCATACTGGAGTCCAAATCACTTCTACCACATCTAATTAAAAACCACAGTGAAAGATGTTAAACTGATCACAGGATGCCCACTGAATAGCCAGTTACTGAAAAATCTTGTTCCTAGATTGAAGTTAACCATTTCCACCTACCACATCAAACCAAATCATTGTCATGATGCTAAGCTAGTTGTACAGACAAAGATGTGAGACTCACATTTTTCTAATTGCAAAGCACCCTGATTAGGCAAATATTTTTGTAGATGCTTGAGTCAGAAAATTGTCATTTTGGGCATTCTTTTTTTTTTTTTTTTTTGCCTTCAAGCATCTGTTTAACAAAGCACATCTTGCACCGCCCTTAATCCATTTAACCCTTAGTGGACACAGCACATGTCTCAGAGAGCACGGGGTTGGGGGTAAGGTTATAGATTAACAGCATCCCAAGGCAGAAGAATTTTTCTTAGTACAGAACAAAATGGAGTCTCCTATGTCTGCTTCTTTCTACACAGACACAGCAACAATCTGATTTCTCTGTCTTTTCCCCACATTTCCCCCCTTTCTATTCGACAAAACCGCCATCATCATCATGGCCCGTTCTCAATGAGCTGTTGGGTACACCTCCCAGACAGGGTGGCGGCCGGGCAGAGGGGCTCCTCACTTCCCAGACGGGGTGGCCAGGCAGAGGTGCCCCCCACCTCCTGGACGGGGTGGCTGGCCGGGCGGGGGCTGCCCCCCACCTCCCTCCCGGACGGACGGCTGGCCGGGCAGGGGCTGCCCCCCACCTCCCTCCTGGACGGGGCGGCTGGCCGGGCGGGGGCTGCCCCCCACCTCCCGGACGGGGCGTCTGCCGGGCGGAGACTCTCCTCACTTCCCAGACTGGGCGGCTGCTGGGTGGAGGGGCTCCTCACCTCTCAGACGGGGCGGCCGGGGAGAGACGCTCCTTACCTCCCAGACGGGGTCGCGGCCGGGCAGAGGCGCTCCTCACATCCCAGACAAGGCGGCAGGGCAGAGGCGCTCCCCACATCTCAGATGATGGGCGGCCGGGCAGAGACGCTCCTCACTTCCTAGACGGGATGGCGGCCGGGAAGAGGCTGCAATCTTGGCACTTTGGGAGGCCAAGGCAGGCGGCTGGGAGGCAGAGGTTGTAGCGAGCCGAGATCACGCCACTGCACTCCAGCCTGGGCAACATTGAGCACTGAGTGAGTGAGACTCCGTCTGCAATCCCGGCACCTCAGGAGGCCGAGGCTGGCAGATCACTCGCAGTTAGGAGCTGGAGACCAGCCTGGCCAACACAGCGAAATCCCGTCTCCACCAAAAAAATATGAAAACCAGTCAGGCGTGGTGGCGCGTGCCTTCAATCCCAGGCACTCGGCAGACTCTAAATTATTCAATGCCTCAGACACTAACTTTCCAAGGAATAGGAGATTATCCCAGGTGCCTGTGGCCAGGAGGTGTCTGGGTTCTGTTCTCCCTTCCCCACCCCAGATGTCCTATCCATTCTCAGGATGGTCACATGGGTGCTGCTGGAGTGTCCCATGAGGAATGCAAAGTGCCTGAATTTTCTTACTCTTCCCCTCAGAATCCCAGAATACATGTGGGATCCACTACCCCATCTCGGACCATGAGGCCACCCTGAGGTGCTGGGTCCCGGGCTTCTACCATGTGGAAATCACAGTGACCCAACTGTGGGATGGGGAGGACCAAATTTAGGACACAGAGCTTGTGGGGACCAGACCTGCAGGGTATAGAACCTTCCAGAAGTGGGCAGCTGTGGTGCTGTCTTCTAGAGACAAGTAGAGATACACATGCCATGTGCAGCAGGAGGCACTGCCAGAGCCCCTCACACTGAGATGGGCTAAGGAGATGAATGAGGGGCCATGTCTCTTCTCAGGGAAAGCAGGAGCCTTTCTGGAGGCCTTCAGCAGGGTCAGGGCTGAGGCCTGGGGGTCAGGACCCCTCACGTTCCCCTCCTTTCTTAGGGCCATCTTCCCAGCCCACATTCCCCATCGTGGGCATTGTTACTGTCCTGGTTGTTCTAGGTGCTGTGGTCACTGCTGTGATGTGGAAGAATAAGACCCCAGGTAGGAAAGGGGTGAGTTCCAAGATTTCTTCTTCCATTCGTGGATTTCAAGCTCCAGATGGAAGTTGGCTCATTTCCTGCCTAGTTGTGAGACACTATCTCCACACACATTTACCCTGTTCAGATGCCATGTCAACTCTCACTCTTTTGTAAAGCACCTGTGAAATTGAAGGACAAATTTATCACCTTGATTGTGATCATGGGAACCTGACTCCCAGCAGTCACAAGTCAGGAGAATGTTCCTGCTGAGGACAGATGTCAAAAGGACATTTGGTTCAGCTTCAACACATCCTCTTCCCTCGGGTTTCCTGATCCTGACCTGGGTCTGCAGTCACAGTTCTGGAAACTCCTCTAGGATTTCATGGCCCTGCCTCTTCCCTGGCGTCTCACAGTTTGTTTTCTTTCCTCATATGGAAAAGGAGTCAGCTATGCTCAGGCTTCAAGTAAGTGTGGTAGGGGTGGGAGAATGATTCCTGAGATCCTTGGAATAGTGTAGACAGGAGCCCATGGGGGAGCACAGCCACCCCAAAATTCCTCCTTTAGTCACATCACCTGTGGGCTCTGACCAGACTTTGTTTTTGTTCCACCCCAAACAGGAACAGTACCCAGGGCTCTGATGTGTCTCTCAAGTCTTGTAAAAGTGGCACCTTAGAGGGCCTGAAGTGAAGGAGGAGTTGGGGCAGATGGGACACAACTAGGCTCTAGAGAGTCTTTGATTTGGAATTTTTCAATGTGTGGTGGGCTGTTCAGTGTCACCACTTACCATGACTGACTTGAATTTGTTCATGACTATTTTCTTTCTAAGACTGCCTTGTGAGGGACTGAGATGCAAGATTTGTTCATGGCTCCACTTTGAGACTTCAAGGGCCTCTGTCTTCTCTTTCTGCCAAGGCATCTGAATGTGTCTATGTCCCTGGTAACATGTGAGAAGTGGAGAGACCAGCCCACCCTCATGTCCACCATGACCCCTGATACTGTTTGGATCTGTGTCCCCACCCAAATCTCATGCTCACTTGTAATCCCTAATGTTGGAGGTGGTGCTTGGTGGGACGTGATTGGCTCATGAGGATGGATCATTCATGAATGGTTTAGAATCATCTCTTTCATGCTGTTCTTGTGATAGTTCTTGGAGGCATTGTGCCACCTCCCTAGGGATCTGTGGAACTTTAAACTTGAGAGTGATGATTAAGGGTATCTGATGGAAGAAATTTCTCAGTAGCATAGAATTCAGGATTTGGTCTGGCTGCCTGTAATAGCCTATGTGCATATGTGTGAGCAAAGAAACGACCCAAAACTGGAACTGATATTTAAATGGGGAAATTTAATACCCAGGACAATTCTTAGCAGAGCTGCAGCAGTAGGACCCCTGCCAGGACTACTAAATGGTAGAGCCACTGGCTATGTGCAACCTCAGCCTGGAAAAGCCATAGGCATTCAATTTTCTCCCATGACAGCAGCTATATGGGTTATGTTCAGCAAAGCCATAAATGTGGAGCTGCAAATGGCATTAGGAGCCCAGCAGTTGCACCAGCCACTGTGCTCTGGATTCAAAATATACAGTCAAAGGAGATTCTTTTAGACCTTTAAGTTTTAATGTCTGCCATGATGAGTTTCAATCTTGTGAGGAAACTGCATTCATTTCTTTTGGCCCATTTATATACCTTTTGGAATGGAAATGTACAAGAAATGTCTCTTCCACTGTTGTATTAATATTTTAGATGTAAATAACATTTTTTAAAAAAAATTTTACAGGCTCAAAGCTATAAGAATTTATCTTGAGTCTCAGATGAGACTCTGGAATTTTGAGTTGATGCTGGAACAACCTAACACATTTGGGACAATTGGGAGAAGATTATTATATTTTGCAATGTGAGAAGAACATGACCTTTGGCTGGCTAGGGAGGGGATGCAATGATATAAACATTTATCCCCTGATACCTCATGTTAAAATCTGATGCCCACTGTGGGACGTGGGGCCTAATGGCCACCATTTGGGTCATGGTGACCAATCTTTTATGAATAGAGAGATACTGCCCTCTCTTGGGAATGAATGAATTGTTGCTTTATTATTTTCCAAGAGAGCTAGTTGTTAAAAAGACCCTGGCAACTTCCTACTCTCTCTGTTCCTCTGTTACCATGTGTTCTCTGCATATACCAGCTCACCTTTGTCTTCTGCCATGAGTGGAAGCAGCCTGAGGCCCTCACTAAATGCGCAAACATTTCCAGACATCAGAATCTTGAGCCACATGAACCTTGTTTATATAAATTAGTCAGTCTCAGACATTTCTTTATAGCAACACAAAATGGAAAAAGATAACACTCGCATCACAGGTATGTGTCTCTGGCAGCTAGCCACCGTTCTTAAGATATCCAGGATCCACTCAGCCAAGAGTCTTCTCATCAGTACTCTAAAGACACTTATCACTCAAGAGAGTCTAAGGTTTTTAGGAGAAACCAGGGACAAAGTCTAAATGTTTTTGTGATAACTCAGATTGCCCACTTTTCTTTGACCACATATCTTTTACAGGAAAAAGGATTGTAACAGTAAAGAGGTATTGGCATATTATCAGAGTCTCATCCATTCATTCAAAATTAGGCCAGTTTATCATCCTCTTGTATGAATATGTCTCCCAGAATGAAATCACTCAGCTTTGCTGACAACACTCAATCTTACCAGGTTCCAAAAACAAGAATGGTCTCAGGGACATACAGCTTCACTCTTTTAGGCATCCAGTATAATTGACCTAAGTGACAATATCTTCTCTTGCTCACACCACCTTTGAGGAGTTAAGCTAATATTGAATTTTTCTCATTATATAACCCTTTGATTTATTCACTTGCCCTCAGCCACTATTCCTCCCTCTGTCCCTTTATATCAGTTGTTTCCAGGTTTGGGAGTGACATTAGGTTTGTCTGCTGGGCTGGCCTAGACTGCAGGCAGCAATAGTATTCTAGCATGTCTTCCCTCAGTCTAGTCTTGATCATAGAGGGTAGGTTATATAGGTAAGGAACTAGTGGGGGCTATCAAGACCACCAGGCTATATAACTCTACTTACTGTTAATCCTAACTTTTCCAGATGAAATGAATACTTGAGAATTCTTACATAAAGGTATAAAAATATAGTTATGGTTTTTGGCTTAGGGATAATTCCTGTTTCTGGCACTTTTATTTACATCCCTATTCCTGGTACTATGGCATAACATATGAAAAAATAAATTTGAGGTGAAGTGTAGTCTTTATTCCAGCATCCTCTCCTCTTCAGAAGAATTGTATGTATCGTCATAACAGCATCGTCCTGATCCATCAGGTAAAAGAGAGGATGCTACCTAGTGGAGTTATTCTTGCAGCCCCACTCATGTTGACAGCGAGCACATTCATGAAGATATAAAAGCCAGTCCTTCATGTTTATATTGCCCAACAATTAGATTGGCAGTTTTTAGACAAACAATGTTTCAATTGACCATTTCAATTTTCTATCAAATTTTCCCCTGAGGAGGACATGTCCCTCTGCATTGTTGGCCATTTGAGGCTGTAAAGTGTGTTTTCTTGTGTAAAGAAGTGTGACTCGGCAGTCCAAATTGGTGCAATCTCTTCTTTTCTGGTTCTTGTATAGCCCTTGAAGCATTGACATCTACCCCTGGTTGAGCATAGCCCAATCCAGAGTCAGTGATTTTCCTGTCAAGATCCATTGGCAGCTCCTTTGGGGTTGCTGGCATCATTCTGGCTTGCCAGGTATTATGATCAAAGCCTTCCCACTAGAGAATCTGTCACATCTCCATCTGCTGCCTCTGTCTGTTTTCTTGACCAACAGTGAAAAAAGAGATTATGAGAAATAAGATAAATTACCAAAATTGTGAACAAAAGAGAGATTATCACTAATGACCCTTAGGAAGTTAAAAAACATTATAAGTGAATACTCTGAAAAACCTGAAGCCAATAAGTTAGACCACTTGGATAAAAAGGACCAATTCGTGCAGAGATAGAAATTGCCAAAACTGACCCAAATTAACTGGAAAACCTGAAGAGAACTGTGAACTAAGTCAGAAATTGAAAAACCTTCTCAAAAAGAAATGCCAAAGCCCAGATATCTTCACTGGTGAATTCTATCAAATATTTTGAAAGCTCTTTCAGACAAGAAGAGAGGAGGGAAGACTTTCCAGCCCATTTACAGAACTGGCATTACCCTCATATCAAAGTCACAGCAAGACTCACAGGAAAAGAGTGCCATACACCAGTGTCACCAATAAACATAAATGAAAACATCCTTAACAAACATTGGCAGATAATACAAAGCCACATAAAAAAGGATTACACTCCATGACCAATGGGATTCATCCCAGGAACATATGGTTGGATTAACATTTGAAAATCAGTTCATGGAATGCACTGTATTAATGGAAAAAAAGACATAATTATCTCAAAAGATGCAGGAGAAACAGTTGACAAAAATGTTAACATCACTCATGTTCATAAGTTTCAACAAAATAGGAATGGAGGAGACCTTCTTCACTCTGATAAAGGGCGTCTATAAAAAACCCACAGCTAAAATCAAACTTAATGAAGAAAGACTGAAGACTGAATGCTTTTCTCCTAAGATGGGGATCAATGCAAGGATGTCCAATCCCACCACTTTTATTTAATATTATACTGGAGATTGTAGCCAGTGCAATAAGGCAGAAAATTAAAAATTAAAGGCATCCAGATAAAAAGGAAAACATACAATTCTATTCACAGATAACATGACCCTGTCTGTAGAATTCACAAGCAGATAAAAACTGGCTAGCACTAATAAATGAATCCAGAAGGGCCCATAGGATATCAAATCAATATAAAAATTAATTATTAACATATTTCTCTATAGAAGCAATGAAAATCTCAACTTTCCTATCACAGTAGTTACCAGAAGAGCGAAATAGGAATAAATTTAGGAAGACAGCAGTGTTTGTTCACTGAAAATAAAAAAACATTCCTCAGAGAAATTAAAGGTCTAAATAAATGGAGAGATGCGAGTTGGAAAGCTCGATAATACTGTTAAGATGGCAGTTCTCCCCCAGTAGATCTATAGGTTCAACACAATCCCTATCAAAATCCCAGCAGGGATTTTATAGAAAATTGACAAAATAGGCCGGGCGCGGTGGCTCATGCCGGTAATCCCAGCACTTTGGGAGGCTGAGGCGGGCGGATCATGAGATCAGGAGATCCAGACCATCCTGGCTAACACGGTGAAACCCCGTCTCTACTAAAAATACAAAAAATTAGCCGGGCGTGGTGGCAGGCTCCTCGGGAGGCTGAGGCAGAAAAATGGCATGAACCCGGTAGGCAGAAGTTGCAGTGAGCGGAGATCGTGCCACTGCACTCCAGCCTGGGTGACAGAGCGAGACTCCGTCTCAAAAAAAAAAAAAAAAAAAAAGAAAAGAAAAAAAGAAAAGAAAATTGACAAAATAATCCTAAAAATGTATATGAAAATGCAGAGGATGCAGAAGGGCCAACACAAATTTGGAAAAAAAAATGGAATGTCATATGAAACTACAATAATCCAGACAGTGTGAAACTGAGAGACACAGAGATCAATGAACAGAAGTGAGAATCTAGAAAGATATTCTTACTTTTTTTGTCAGTTGATTTTCAATGAAGTTGCATAGGTAACACAATGTTACATTTAACACCATATAAAATATCAGCTCAAACAAATTAGAGACCTAAACAGCTAAAATTTATGAGTTAAAACTATAAAATTTCTAAAAGAAAATACAGGAGAAAATTTTTGTTACTTTGGGTAGTTAGGCAAAAGATTCTTAGTTAAAATACCAAAAGCATGATCTACAAATAAAAAAAAGAGAGAGAGAAATTGGGCTTAGTTAAAATTTAAAACTTGAGTGCTCCAAAAGACATTGAGAGAATGAGAAGACAAGCTATAGACAGGGAGAAAATATTTCACAATTTATCACAAATTACATTTGTGTTGAAAAACATGTTTCCAGAATAATGTGGCAAGTTCTTAAACTCAATGTAAGAAGATGAGCAACTCAACTGAAAATGAGCAAAACACACAAATATGCTCAACTGACATTTACAAAAGCACAAAAACAATTCAATGAAGGAAGGAGAGCTTTCCCAACAAACGGTGCTGGAGCAACTGGACAACCACAGTGGAAAAAAAATAAGCTGAGCCCAAACCTCACGCTTTATACAAAAAAAAAAAAAAAAACCTCAAAATGAATCACAGGCTTTAATGTAAAACACACAGTTAAAATTACAAACATTGAGCCAGGTGTGGTGTCACAGGCCTGTACTCTCACCTACTCAGGAGACTGAGTGGGAGGATCCCTTGAGCCCAGGAGTTCAAGGCCAGCCTAGGCAAGATTTTTTTTTAAATAAATAACAAATACATTAAAAAATTAAAATTACAAATCTTTTAACAAAAAGCCATCAGAACTAAGACTAGACAAAGAGTTCTTACACATAACACCAAAAGTATGATCCGTAAAAGAAAAAGTTACTAAACTGGATCTTTTCAAAATTAAAACTGTTGCTCTGTGAGAGACCTATGAAGAGCATAAAAAGACAAGCTACAGAATGAGAGAAGATATTTGCAAACCACATATTCAATAAAGACTTGCATTCACAATATATGAAGAAATGTAAAAACTCAACAGTAAAAATGAAATCCAAATAAACAATAGGCAATGAGCAAGACATGAACAGACGTTTCACTGAAGAGGATAAACACCAGGCTAACAAGCAGATGAAAAGACACTCAACATCACTATCCAGTAGGAAAATACAAATGAAAACTGCAGTGATGAGAATGGCTGAAATACAAAATAAAGGTAGCAACAGATGCTGGCAAGGTTACAGAGAAACTGGATCATTCATATTGCTGGTAGGAATGGATTTTAAAATGGTACAGCCACTCTGGAAATGGATATTGCAGTTTTCTTCAAACTGAACATGCAATTTACCATATGACTAGCAATTGCCCTCCTAGGCATTTATTTCAAACAAGGGAAAACTTTATGTTCATGAAAAACCTGTATACAAATACTCTTGCAGCTTTATTCATAATACTCCTGGAAGTAATTATTCATAATTACTTCCATAAACTGGAAATAATGCAATTGTCTTTCAGTGGGTGAAGGAGATCTGCTGGTTGAACTCATAACTGAGTCTACACAAGTGCCCTTTCTCAAGACTACTATCCTGCTTCTCTTTGCATATCTCCCATTTTCTCACAAAGAATATTAAAGACATGTACTCAAGGATCAAAATTTAATGAACATAAATATTTTACTGCTCCATCAAAGGCATTCTTAAATGGGACTGCAGTTTGGAGCCACTGCCTTGGTTCTGCTAAGGTGCTGGGTGTGCTACCGACCTTGGCATTTGCAGCATTAATGGAAAAGTCAACATAATGAAACAGGCAAATGGCATCTTGGTATTACTGTGAAAACAGGTTTCCCTCCAGGACTCTCTGAAGGCAGCTCAGGGGGCCATACTTTCAAAATGGCAGAGATCAATTATGGTTCCTAGTGAGACCCAACCCCTAGCCTATTCAGATTCAGCACTCTCTCTCGCTCTTTTTTTTCCCTCATTCTTCCAACTTATAATTGTATATATTTTCAAATGTGCAAAGAAGCTGAAAGAATAGTGCAGTAAAATTCAAGTTATCACTCTGATATATCTGATTAATATCTCTTTATATGCATGAAAGCAGCGTGTGGAATGATAGACAATAGAGACCCAGAAGGGTAAGAGTGGTTGGCAGTGGGTGTATCGTAGAGGAGTTTCTTGTTGGGGTCAATGTATCTGTCTCCAGTGCTGGATGCACTGAAGGCCCTGACTTTACCACAACTCAATATAGCAATGTAGCAAAACTGCACCTGTGCCCCATAAATATATACGAATTTAAAAATTTAAAAATAAAATAACATCTCTCTTTATAGATACAGGTAGACATGTTTGCATAGCATGTGTGTGAATGTGTGTGTATGTGTGTGTAGAGAGGCAGCAGGAATGAAGAGATTAAGCTTTTGTGACTGAGCCATTCTAAAGTAACAAACATAAAACACGCATGGATAAATGTCTATGTGACAACAAACCTGAATATAAACATGAAAGAATATGTCTATAAACATATCTCTGGCTAGATAACCTATGAAAGAATTCCCTACCCCAGCTCCCTTACTGGTTACCCTGTGAACACAGGCAGGCAGGGAACAGGACCCAACTAGGTTCCCTCATCCTCTTGCTTCCAGGCAGGTCCTGCATCCACTCCTGCTGCACAGAGGGCTCCCATCCCTGCCTTGGTCGGTTTCACAGGTGCTCCTCTAACTCTCTCTGCCACCACTGCCTTACCTGGGTGGAGCTGAGGCTGCCCTGACCAGGAACAGCACCACCCATCTGTGCCCCAAGACCAGGAAGTTAGGGGGAACCACGCAACAGAGTCAATAACTATCCCACCTCCCCAGTCAGTCTGAACTGATGGCGGGAGATGCTGATGCTTGCTTATCCTCATTCCCCGTTTATTTATTCTTCATTAATTCAATCCAAACTCCCCTCAGTCTGAACTGATGGTGGGAGATGCTGATGCTTGCTTATCCTCATTCCCCGTTTATTTATTCTTCATTAATTCGATCCAATCTCCCCAGCAGTCACTTCACCCAGGAAGCAGACTGACCTCTGCTCTTCATAATCAGGAAACCCCAAAGCACTCTTCATCACCTCCCTGATATCACCCTTCATCTCTACGTCATCACATGTGGGCTCTAACTCTGAAGGCAGGTGTCCTCCCACAGGGTCAACCCCTGAACATTGGCCCCAGATGTCTCCCCATCTCTTCCCAGCCCTTTCAGTACTGCTGTGAATCTGTCCCTCACTGAGAACTGGCGGGGCGATGTGGGGGAGGAGGGGAAATTTCTTGGTGCTGTGTCAAAGCATCAAGACAGACCTCTCCTTCTCTCCTGAACCTCACACTCTATCCCTTCCCAGACACTTGAAATAAAACACAGACCAGAAATGTTTATTTAAGAGTCAGCACAATTTCTTTTTCTAGACAAGTTTCTCTTATTCTCAGGGCTCAGCCATGACTGTGGGTGACCAAACAACTATTCACAAAGGACAGAGCTCACTTCAATGCCAGCTTATGAATCCACACCTTGCCACCTGCAGAGGTGGAAAAAGGCACCTAAATCCACGATCCAATAGTTCTTCCTGCCCTTAACTCCTCACACACATCAGGACACTTGGAGAGTGTGGAGGGCACCCAGGGTGCATGGTGGCAGTGGAGGCCTTGGGAAAACTGGCCAGGAAGCCAAGATATGCACCTCAGGTGACTACATTTTTTTACTGTTCTGCACTTGCTGGAGAATGACCCCAAAAGATAAGATCAATTTGTTGACTACCAACTTATTTGGCTGAGCCATGGACATGGAGCAGATGAGCATTGCCTTTACCTACGACATGCATGAGGATTCTGAGACCTACCTGCAGCAGTTAAGCCCCACACCCAGAGGGACACCCACTCTCCCACCTCCTTACTTTCTGTATCTTTTCACACTTTACATCCTCATCCTTCCCTCTGGGAGTCTTCCCTCTTTGGGTCTTCTAGTCCTATCCTACCCTCTATCCCCTTCCAGGTGGCACAGGGCTTGACCATCACATTTGTGTCAGGTGACAATAATGCCAGAATCCTCAGTATGGGCAGCATCGCTTTGAGGTGAGTGATAGTGAGCTGCCTGATGAGACAGACATCTCCTCCACAGTGAGTGCTGATGTCATGAAGCCCTTTAGGTCTTCCTAGTTCCTTAATATGTTTGTCTTCAATCCTGTCATGGGCACCTGATGCATAATGGACACTTGGCTGGTTCATGCACCCTGGTCTTTGATGCTGTGTTGGGATGTTTTTCTGACTGTTATGTGGGGTATCTGTTTTCTTTCATCATATTACATCTCTTTCCCCACTCCCAAGTCTGTCCTCTAAATCCACACAGTACACCAGCATCTGCATGTGTGCTGTGTGTTCCTGCCTCACTTTTTCCTTTTCATGCCTTATTCTCACCATGCCACATTTTCCCCTCAGTTGAACAGACACAGTAGGGGACTAGCCCATTCTGGCATGTGACCACGCTTCAGGAGGAGACTGCAGGTTGGGGGTGAAGGAGACTCTACTGACCCCACCCCTGACATCCTCTTCCCCCACCCCCTGGCTTCTGTCCTCTGCCTCAGCACCACTCCTGAACCCCCATTCCTGATTGTCAGAATTTTTAACATAACTAAAAATGAAACACAAGTGCCTCTGCATTATGTGTGGGTGCTCTCTCCCTTTATTTTATTTGGGGTGAGGTTATTTTAGGGCATGGCCCAGGGTAAATTCCTGCAAGGCCTTGGTGCCCTGCTGTGAGGTCAAAGAGGGATGGGACTAAGACTGCAGAGCCCTGGCTCCCCCACTACCTGCCAATTGCCAGCCCTTTGTGGGGTCTCTTCTGCTTTCTCTGGCCTGGGAGATGCTGGGGTGTTTCTGATCCTGGGGTTCCTGGGGGGTGGTGCACATTAGTTCCAGGCATGGAGGGTGCTGTGGGCACTGCTGGGAAGCTTGGCTGTCCCCTCCCAGGCTCTCTCCTCCCAGGCTCTCTCAGTGCCTCCTCATCTGTTTCTTTAGCTTTTGGATCTTGAGCACCAGGGCCCGGGCCCCCACCCACTCCTTCCCTTCCAGGAGGGCCTGGTCCAACTCCAGCTGCTGTGCAAGCAACTCCTCGGCTTGGGCCAGCTCAGCTGTGTGGGGGGCTCAGGGCCCTGGTCAGAGGGAGTGGAGGAGGGAACATCAGCCAGGGTAGAGGGGTTGAGGCCCTTGGAACCTGTGTTGCAAGATCTCATGGTAAGTGAGGAATTCGACGTTGTTTTCTCTTTTTCCAGCCCATTAGCTTAAGTCCACCTGTACTGAGAATCCCAGGGAGCAACCTGTCCTGGGCATAGGCCTCTGGAGGGCAGATACAGATCCCTGGCTCAGGGGCTATATCTGGATGCCTTGAATGAGGATGTGGGGTCACTGGAAAGAGACGACCAGGTGTCTGTCCCCACTAATAAATGATTAACTGTTAGATGAGGGGGAATTCCTGTTCAAGGACTCTGGACTGTGCTGCTCTGGGCAGAGGGAGGGCTGGAGAGAGGGAGCCCGGAGGGCTGGGTTGGGGTGGGGGTGGAAGGAGCTGAGAGTTGGAAATAGGCAAAAAGCTGCAGAGGTGAGGGTAGTGCAGGGTGGGATTGAGAGAATTTCCCCCGACTACTGTACTGATCCCTTCATCTCCTCCACCCGAGCACTTGGAGCCACCTAGGGGGTGGCCTCATCTTCCCACTGTCCCAGAAGCTGTTCTGCCCTTCCATACTTGCCTTGGAGTTTTGGGAGCAGCATGTTTATGAGCCCTGGGGTGCCAGGGACCAGGAGGGCAGGAGGAGGTGAAGAAAACAGCACCGAGAGAGCCAGGGGAGTGGGAGGACTGTGGCAGGTGAGGCAAAGAGCTGTCTGAGCCGCTCAGCAGCCTTCAGGAGGCTCTCTCCAGGCCTGTCTTCACTCCAGTGCCTGGCCCTACCCAGGCCCCCACTCCTACTCTGCTCTCAACCTGGCCCCAGACAGGATCCCAAACAACTCCTGTTCCTAATGTGAAAAATGTTTCTGCCGCTTTAGGCAGAACTTGCTTTAGAGCACTGGCACAGCCTTCCGCCGGTCGTGTGTCTGATTCTCTTGGCACTGTGCCTTTTTTCACTTATTCTTCTGCAAGGAAGGAATTATATCACTGGTTGGGTGAGGCAACTGGCTCAGATGGGTTCATTGAGCACTCACCCGCTGGGAGAGTGTCTGTCGGGGCCAGCTATGGCCAAGATGTGTCCAAGGCTCTATAGCTAGTTGGTGGAAAGGCCTGGAGGGTTCATATTCAGGTCCACCTAACTTGAAAACTTATATTGACCTTACTTAAGTACTGATTCCCCCTTTATAATCCATGCCGCAAACTTCATTGTCTTATTTTAAGAAGTTGCCATAAGAGCCTTTAGCAACCACCCTCCTGATCAGCCAGCAATCATCAACATTGAGGCAAGACCGTGCCCCAGCAAAAAGATTAAGATTAGCTGAAGCCTCAGATGATCCTTAGCATTTTTGAGCAATAGAGTAATTTTAAATTAAGGTATATACATAGTTCTTTTATACATAATGCTATCATACACTTAATAGGCTACAGTAGAGTGTGAATATAACTTTTCTATGCACTGGAAAAACAAAAATTTGTGTGACTTGTTTGTTGCCATGGTCTGAAACCAAATCTGCAGTGTCTCTGAGGTACGTCTGTAGTTTCCCTTTCTCTCTTCCTGCTGGCCCGGAATGACCTTGTTTCTTGCCCCTGTCTAGCCCTGCATGCTGCAAGGGTTTGCCTTCTCTGGTAGGTCTGGGAACTTTGCATCCTTGTAACCTTGGCTCCTGGCATACGACACTGGTACCAAGCTCTGTTGGACTAGTGAGCCTCCTCCCCACACACCTCCTGAACTAGAACCAAAGCTCTGTGCATGCACCGTGCATGTGTGAGCCAATGACAAGATGTTGTCTTCCTGCAGGTGTTCTGAAGGAATGTTCTGTTGTGACTGGAGGACACAGCCACGGGCCCCCCAGGCAGAAGTGGCTCAGAAGGGAGTGGATGGCCCCGGTTTTGATCATCTGGGGACAAGAAGGTCCTGAGATAAAAACCCATGTTTTGGAAAACAAAACTGCCTGAGACTGAAAAGTGGCTAACCAATTCGCTATCTGGGACATCACTGCACACTGGGATGGAAGATGGCTTCTGCCATGGTGTAGGGTCCTGGACCTAGACAAAGAGGCCTTCCTATGGCTCAGTGCTTCTGAAGCACCTTTAAATGAGGCCAAAGACCTCATGTTCATGATTAGCTGACTTGTTCCCACTCAGTGGAAAAAAAACCCAGAACTTTTGCAAAATTTTAGGAGAGAGGGATTTCCCTCTTGTCTCTTAGTGCTACGGTTATGCATGACTCATACTTGAATTGCAATGTGTACACAGCTTAAGGACTTAACTATTAGAATACAAGAGGCCCAAACTACTGTTGTTATAGATATGTAAAACTATATGGTATAAGGTTAAACAACCCACAACTAATTAACAGTGAAGATAAATTAACTACATTGCAAATTTAAAACAAGATTAGCAGCCTTTTAGAAAAAAAAACAAAACACATGGGAGGTTGCAAAGGCAATCTAAATGATACTCTAATAAAAATCCTTCATGAAAATGACATTTCAACCATCTGAGTTTCTGCTTTAAGTTATGAACTCCAGAATGGACTAACACCCAATAATTTACAGTAGGGAGGTCTAAGCCACAAAGAAAGGTGTCAGGGCAGACCTGAAACCTGGAATGAACACGCCCCCTCTCTCAGGGTAATGAGTAAATCCTCTAAGACCCGTTCTATCTCAGACAGACCATCCACTCATAAGGAGGTCAAAAACAAGTTCCACACAGCACTGAGACACAACCACCTCATTGTCCTCACCTCCACGGACAGAGCCCAGGTGAGAGCCACCCCTGCTCCTCCTCCCTCATCTCCCACAGCCTCAGCACCATTGTCTGCGCCGAGTCCACCAGGACTCAGCTCATCATGTCCTTTCCCTGTTTGTGTCAGTGACACTGGGTCCCCCACATACTCTGCACTCACATCCCCACAAGGCTCTGAACACCACTATTCTGTCTCCCCAACCTCCTGAACCACAGAAATCTTCCCAGTGCACCCCCTGGAATCTCAGTCAATGATCAGCAAAACCTCCACACCCTCCCTCAGGATGTTCCTGCACCTCACAGCTCCAGCAGCAACCTGGTCTCCCTGAGGACATGACCCCCTCCAAAGTCCTCCCACATAGGGGAGTTTCCCCCATGGACTTGTACCCCTGGGTTCAGAGGTGAGGTGGGGTCCTTTCTCCTCACTGTGGTTCTCAGAACTTTCTGCCTCCCTCCTCCCTAAAACCCCTAAGCTGTCATCAGATTAGACCCCCATTCCCCTCATTGTAGCCATTCCCTGTGGGCCCCTGGCCTTTCCTCTCAATCCTGACTCTTGTAGCTCTTGGTTCACTGTCACCCTCTCCAGCAGTCTCCTTGACTGTTGATGACTTCAACATGTGGTGGGTTGAGTAATGGTCCCGAAAGAGGTCCAGTCTTAGTCCTTGGAACCTGTGAACAGGTTGCATTACATGGTAAAAGGGACTTTACTCATGTAATGATGATTAAGGACCTTAAAATAGGGAGATTCTCCTGGACAATCTGTGTGGCCCCAATCAAATCAAATGAGCCACTAAAAGCAGAGAACCTGCCCTGGCTGGAGTCAGATTCTGCAGAGGAGGAAGGCAGAGGAGACATAGAAGAGGGGAGGTCAGACGTTCCAAGCAGGAGGATTGGATGTGCCTTAGGCACCATGTGTGAGTAGCTGAAAGAAGATTCTAGGAGCTAAGGGTGGCTCTTAACAAGGAAGTGGAAACCTCTGTTCTATGTGCAAGAAAGTGAATTCAGACAAGAACCTGAATGAGCTTGGAAGTGGATTCTTCCCCAGAGTCCCCAGGAAGGAACACAGACCTGCCCATACCTTGACCTTAGCCCCATAAGACTGTGCGGACTTGCAACCTACAGGACTGTAACATGATAATTAGGTGCTGTTTAAAGCCACTTGGTTTGTGGTAATTTTTATGGCAGCAATAGACACCTATACAGCAGAGAAGATGCCCTTGCTCCCTGGACTCTCAGATCCTGGAACTCCTCTCCTCCATGACCTTCTCCTCTCTCTGCCTGAATCTCATGCCCCTGTCATCCCCTAGGCCTCATCATGCCCAAGGACCCCAGCCCTTCCATACTCTCAATTTCACACTTCCCACTCTCTGGCCATCTTTCCACTCATCCCATGCAAGGTGGCCACAGGCTCTGAGGACACAGACTCTATCACTTTATCATATGCTGTGAGGTAATATCAGTGACTACTCATTGCATATGTGCCTGCATTCCAGGCTTGAAGTCCACCCTTTAGCACATCAATTCCAACAATCCTTCGACCCCCACCCTGGGAATACCAATCCAGTGATTCTGCCATCTACTCACTGTCCCTCATCGTTGGTGTCTTCTCTAACTTCATGACCCAAACCACATGGGGAGCCCCCACCAGGGCCAGCAATCACCCTCTCCCTGCATGGCTCACCCTCAGCCTCCTCCTGGCCTAGGTGACCCTTACACACCTTCTCTCTGTGCTCACACATCCAACCCTCCTTCCCCATTCTTATCTCAGCTGACAACCTTGGT
The DNA here is from genome assembly GCF_000001405.40 of Homo sapiens. Classification (NCBI taxonomy): domain Eukaryota; kingdom Metazoa; phylum Chordata; class Mammalia; order Primates; family Hominidae; genus Homo; species Homo sapiens. Next base: position 29,912,485 of record NC_000006.12, read on the forward strand.
TCCTACCTCACTGAGAAAACTGAACACATTAGAAGACAGATTCCATCACCATCTGCTCATGCATTTGCAGCTGCAACACATGTCAGGTGTTTTACCATGTCGGGGACTGTTGTGGGTAAACCATTCTGCTCCCAGCCAGAGCCAATCCCTCTTCTGGTGCCCCAAACATCATCCCTTATCATCTACTTAAAGGTGTCAGTTCATCAATTAATACCTTTTTTTCTCTTTATCATCAACCTTTTTCCTCTCTCCCCACTGGATCATTGTGGCAGTCATGAGAATGCACATCCCAGCCCCTCAGCTAGAGTAAGCAGAATTGATAGTGGCCTCAACTTTTGAATCCTGAAACCTATTGCCACATTTGCTCTGAGACCACACCTGCCCCCTGTCTTTTCCTGCCAATGACTGAGGAAAGCAGGGCAGAAACTAAGGCAGGAACATTTCTTCTCTGAAGGCTGACTGAAGCTCTAGGGCTTCCTGCCACGCTTACTGAACTTCTGTTAGCCTGCACAGGGTCTAGGATGCTTCCAGCTGACCTTCCTGCACTGTTTACCTCACTGGGGTTCAGAGTTGCTTTGTGGTCTGATGACATTCCCAGCATTTTCCGTCTGTGTCCTGAATTTCTCTCATAACTATTTCCTCCAATAAATCCTTGCACATTGAATACTGTATTGGGGTCTGCTCCTCAGGGGACCCTAACTAACACAAGTAGTATGAAGGGTGATCCATGAAAACAGGCAAAAATGAGAATTTGAAAAAAGCTTGCCCACTGCCTGGCAGGCCAAGAGGATGCCACCAGGGTTGTGGGAGACACAGAAATTCCATAGCACAGGATGCAGCTGAGCTGCTATGGGTCTCACCCGTGCTGAGCTGAGAGGATGCCCTGGTTAGGGGAAGCTATGGCAGGTGGGGTGATAGAATGCCCTGCACAATAATGACGGGGTTAGGGGGAAACCTACAAAGACAGTGGAGTTGGCTGGTTGCTGCTCAGCTGCAATGATGCCCTATGAAAGTATCATGAGAATCTGCAGATTGTTAACAGCTGTCACTGGCTACATGTGACAGCCTCTGCAGTGTCTCATGCAGAGGTCTTTATCTCTTGTAGCGAAAGGGCAGATACCGTGGAATGGTAGCTGAAGACATCATTATGAGGGCCACAGTGCTCCAGAGAGGTTTGCCACTCAGCCAAGGCAGGCCTGTTACAGGAAAGTCAGGACCCTGGTGGGGAAACCTGAGATTCTGCAAACAGGAACAGGGTTATCCGATGGGTGCCCTCCAGGATCCTCTGGGCATGCATAGGAGGCTCACCCTTCTCTAGTAATGGTTCCCACTTCCTATGCTGGAAGATGCTACAGAAGTCTCACCCCCATGATACAGCAGGAATCCCACTGAAGAGCTTTGCAGGAACTAGCTGGCACGTCCCCATAGGAGGCTGAGGAGCACTTCTGGGATTGGAATTTGAGGGTGTTTGATCAAGGAACCAGAATTTCAATCTGGAAGAATAAAAATCCTTTGGCTTGGAGGCACTTTCTCAAGGCATGGGTTTATCAAACACCCCAGGACTTTGATAAGCGGGGGGCCAAACCCACCGCTGGGGTGAATCCATATAGACTAGAAAAAATGATGCCTAACTCTCAACAAGGTAGACGTGACTTAGTTGCCCTGGAACTTGCACAGGATGGAATAACAAGGCTGAGGGAAGTGGGCATGGTGAAGGCCCACCAGTACCATGCTCCACAAGACAGTCCAAAGGAAACACCTTCCACCAGAGCCTCAGAAACGTGATGGTGAGAGGGACCTGCATCATTAAGAAGTGTCGGGGTGTTGTCCTCTGCAGGCTGGATGTGATGGTAGTAAAGATGACCCAGAGTTACATTTATTAATAACCCTGGGGAGAGTGTGGCCCTGAAGACACAAAGACCAAATGGTGGCAGTGACCTGAAAAAGCCAGAGGGCAGAGTTACTATGGCAAACTAAAAGGAGTAGCCAATAGGACTCAAGCTGCAGGGAATGTGGGGAAGGATAGTAGAGGGTGTTGTCCCAGGATTAGGACAGGAAGCCAACAAGGGCGCTGCTTGATATCTATGATAAGAAAGCAAGAATTGAGAAGCAGGAGGGTGAAGGTGTTTGACCCAATACAAAGTCATGATCCCATCCTCAATGCCTAGACCTCAGCCAAAGTTCAGATTCAGATCCCAGTGACAGAGGAGGAGTCCATATCCCTAGGAGGAATACCCTGCAACCCCGTGGAAGTAAATGCTGGCACAATTCCCTCAGTCCTTCAGCAAAGGAACCTATAGCCATTTACTCAGGAGATTGTACACTGGCGAAAGGAAAGATGCAGAACTGGTCAGATTATTGACACTGAGTGAGAGCTGACATTGATGCCCAGATGCCCACAGCACTATCATGTCTCCCATCACAGTGGGGCTTACGGAGGTCAGGGAGTAAACCTGGACACATTACAGCCCACAATGGAACTACTGGTTCCATAGACCCAGCCCTGGTTATCTTCCAATTCCCTGAGTACATAATTGACACTGATGCACTGTTAAGTGGAGTCACCCCCACACTGGGTCCCTAGTCTGTGGAGTCAGGACTCTCATTGTGCTGAAAGCCAAAGGGAAACCTCTGACGCTGCCCACATCCTGGCAAAAAAAAAAAAAAAAAATCATAGTGTGTCCCAGGGTGTGTCTTGAGGAAGACACTGAAAGTAATGTGGGAGTCACACCACCATTAGAGAGCTGAAGGATGTGGGATGGTGTTGGGGTTGTCTATTGTCTCTACATAATCCAGCAACCTGTCCCTGAGGAACCCTGATGAGGACTAAAGAATGAATGAGATTACTCCAGGTCTGGCCAAGCAGGAATTATAATTGCAGCTTTTATGTTGTCTGGATATCACTGCAGAGCAGAATAATAAAGCCTCGGGCACACAGCGTGCAGCTATGGATTTGGTGAGTGCATTTCTTTCCACTCCAATTAGAAAGGGGATATGGAGCGATTCACATCCATGTGGGATCCACAACACATTTATTTATAGTTTTTTCTCAGGGCTATTGTAACTCCCCTGCCCTATATAGTATGGTCTAAAGACAATACTAGACATACTGGATATTCTATAGGATATTAAATCAGCTCATTTCACTGACAACTTCATGTTGACTGCGGTGAATGAGCAGCAGGTAGAAAGTGCACTGGAGTCATTGGCAAAACACACGCACTCCAGTATGTGAAGATAAACCTTACAGAGCTTCAAGAGTGGCCACTGAAGTGAAGTTTTATGGGTTAACAAGTGCCAAGTGTTTAGGGGAATGCAGGTGTGTTCCCTCCAAGGTAAAAGACAAACTGTTTCATCTTGCATCCTCACCAGAAGGAAGGAAGCACACTGCCTGATGAGCCTCTTTGAGTTCTGACAACACCACATTCCACATCTAGGTACGTGCTTTGGCAAACACTCTAGGTGATATAGGAGGAGGCCAGCTTCAAGTAGGGCCTACACAGGAAAGGACCCTGCAGCAGATCCAGGCCATGGTGCGAGCAGCCAGCGTCCCTCAGACCCCCTGGGGCTGGTGGTGCCAGTGGTGGGGAAAGATGCAGGATGGAGCTGAACCAAGCACCAGTGGAAGAGTCACAGTGAAGGGCCTGGGATTCTGGAGTAAGATCGTATCATCCACAGCAGAGACATATGCCCCCTGTTAGAAGCAACTTTTAGTGTTCCTTGTCCTGATTTGATAGAAAGCTTGACCACAGGACACCAGGCAACTATGTGGTTCCAAGTGCCTTTGTGACCCACAACATCATAAATTGCACAAGCCCAACAGCATTCATCATGAAGTGAAAATGGTCCACCTGGGTTGAGCTTGAATCCCACGTTTACACCCACAGAAAACACCCAAGTCTGAAGTGGCACTGAACAACCAAACAGACAAATGGAAGTTAGCCAGCCTTCACCATGGGTCAGCCCAGGCCTGGTAGGATGAGTGCATGAATGGAGCAACCACAGTGGCAGGCATGAGGGCCAGCAGCACTGACTTCCCCCTACCAAGGCAGATCCAGCTGCTGCCACCTCTGAATGTCCAACTCATCAGCATTTTAGGCCCATGATATGCCCTAGTGGGGCACTATTTCTTTAGGTGACTAGCCATTAACTAAGAAGTTGACTACATTTACCTACTTCCATCCTGGAAGGACCAGAGGTTCATCTTCACAGGGTTAGGTACCTATTCTAGGGGGGTTTTTCTGTCCTGCTCTCAGACATAGCCAGTACCATTCTCTGGATGCTGTTGACATTCCTGGTCTGCAGGCTAGGTTGTGCTCCTAGCCCATTATCTGCCTGAAGGACCCACTTGGCAAGGGAAAGATTCAGTGTTTCCATGGCTGTTCCTTCCACTAACCCTATCACCAGCTACTCTCCCCAGGGGCTGCCAGCCACAAGGAATGCCCCATATGTAGCCTCACACCTGCCACTGTGGTTGTTCCATTCATGTGCCCATCCTATCATGCATGGGCTGACCCATAGTGAAGGCTGGCTAACTTCCATTTGTCTGTTTCGTTGTTTAATGACACTTCAGACTTGGCTGTTTTCTGTGGGTGTCAACATGGGATTCAAGCTCAACCCAGGTGGACCATTTTCACCTCATGATGAATGCTGTTTGGCCTGTGCAATCTATGACTTTCTGGGTCACACAGGCACTTGGAACCACATAGTTGCTTGGAGTCCCGTGATCTTCCACAGGCACAACTAAGTGCCAGCCTGGAGGAAACACTCTGAGGGTTGCATGCCATCTTTCAGGACATGGTGCGTTGTTTAAATCAGAGATGTCTCTACAGTTCTGTGTTCGCAAGAGGAAGAACATGTGGGTCCAGAAATCAAACGGTGGAAGCAAGTATGGCTCCATGTCTAATGTTTTAGATTCACGTAATGGGGTATTTGACATGTTTTATCTCAGAACACTGGGCTGTGCAGGGTACGAGGTCCTGGTTTGCAAAGGAGGGTACCCTTAAAAGCAGACAAAAGACAGCCCACTGAACTACACATTAAGTGTGTCACCAGAGAAGTGTGGACAGTATATGCCCAGAGACCACCTGGTGAGAAGAGGAGTCTCCTCCTCTCCAGGCCCAGGTAATAGATCCTCATCCCCAGGAGGAGGCATGGCTACTTTCACACAATAAAGGCAGAAGTGTGGAAACCAGAGATCCACCTGGGGGCCTTCTGTTTTCCCTCACCCCATTGCAAGTGTGAGTAGAATTATCCAGCAATTCAGCCTGAGAGGATTTGATTTCCAAGGGCCCAGACCCATCAGGGCAGAAGGTTTGAGTCACACTCCTGGGTAATCCTCCAAGGCCGTGCTCCTGTGCTCTGACATCCTCAGTGGCATTGGTGCTGAGGCCCTGCTTCCCATGGACTATTCCCAACCAGTGATGGGTCACACCAGTGACACTAAGGCAGGACATTCCTGGAAGACAGGGGACTCCTCTGATGGCCAGCTGTGGCTGGAGGACTCCTCCATGGCCTTGCTCAACTCTCCTTAGATTGCCTGTGGTCTAGGACATGTTAAGTAATCCTTCCTTCCTTCTTTCCATCACTGGGGGTCACACTTGCATCTTATTCTATTGCCTTTCCCAGGGTAACCTACCTCCCTCACCATATCGTCTGACAGGTGTGTCCCCTAATAAAATGCTGTAACTTTAATCCTATGATGGCACTTGCTTTTTGGAGCATTTGGACTACAAAATCATTTTCGTCTGCACACCAGTGACCTCTTACTTATTCCAACGTGTAAAATCTTTTTGTTTATTCAACTTCTTCTACCTGCATTGGCTCCATTTTGCTGGTATTTGTATTATGTTTTTGAGTTCACCAATGTTTGTTGCTGTAAGTCACTAAATTTGGGGGTAGTGTTTTACACAGCAACAGATAACTAATGCAGCCTTCTTACATTTCCGTTATTCTATAGAGGTTAACTACGTCTATTTTATTTCCTCCTATTTTGATAATATTAGCCATACAGAGGGTTTCCAGTTCCCAACGCCTATTCTTTTCTTTATTTTAGTTTCTTTTCTCCTTTGTTCCTTCTTTTTCTCTTTCCTTCTGTCCCTCCTTCCCTCTTTACTTCCATTCTATCTCTCACCCTCCTTCTCCCTTCCTCCTTTCCGTCCTTTTTCTTCCCCTTCCCCTTCCTTCTTTTCTTCTTTCACTCCTTCCTCAATTCCTCCTTCTTTCTCTCCCTTCCTCCATTTTTTCCTTTTTATTATGAAATTTTCCTAACATATTAAATAACCCCTACGTGATTGTGCTATCAGTAAGCATTTTCTGAATCTATATGTCAAAAGTATAATACCATGGTATATAAGAAACAAGTAAACAACAGGAAGTTATTAACAGAGTCTGAATAAAAATGCCTGCTATAATTCTGCAGCCAAGACAGTGGCTTTTAACTCAATTCCTTCAACTAGGTGTTTTCAGAACACATGAGTTTAAGTTGACACAATCACCTTGGAAATCATATTATCATTATCTAGTATGGTTAAAGTCCATACAACATATCGTCCAACCCTCCCACTCCTAACCATACACTCTAGCGGGCTTTCTTGCCTATGTGCCCAGGAGACAGGCACACTGATGTTTATGGCAAAAACTGGAATCAGCCACATATACATCAATAGGAAATATACATCAATAGGAAATTGTGGCATAAAATGTAAACCTTCAGCAGTGAAAATGAATGAATGACAGCCTCCCACACCACAGATAACTCCTGTACGTAATGTGCATCATGGGAAAATAAACGCAGTAGGAATTTGCTGTACAGGAAGCTTAAAAACCAGCAAAAGTAAATAATTTTTTTTTGGATATATATATGTACATATATATATATATACTTATTGTGCAAATCTTTAAAGAAATACAAAGGAATAAGGATCACAAGACTCAGGATGGAGTCTCTCTCTCTGGGGGATGTGACTGGGCAGCAGCCCAGGGGAGCTTTACAGGTTTGTGTTTTACACCAGTGTTGGGCATCTTTTTAGTTACATGATTGTAATTTGTTAAACAGAGTTTTCAAATTAAAATATACCTGGTATTTATAAAAATGAAAGGAAAAGAATACCAAAGTTCATTGCAAGGATCCTTAACAAGAACTACTTACATTGAAAGAAAACCACAGAGAAATGTAAGCAGCCATGTGACAGAGAGGACCAGGATGTGATGAAAATGGCCTTGGTTAATAATAGTTCATTTGATCCTTAGCTCACTGGCATCTCTCTGGATTTTCAAGTATACAATGTTCAATCTGATGTGCAAGGTAATTCCTTCTTGCAAAGGATTTGGTGTTACATTTTACCACACATACAACTGAATTAAACTTTCACAGAAATGGAAATACACATCACTGATCAAAATAAATGAAACAAGAAAAGAGTAGAAAGGAACAACCAGTGATGGAATAGCAAATATGAATGGAAAGCAAAATAAGACAGCTAAAAAAAAAAAAAAGAAAGCTTCAGAAGCACATAATAGCAGTGCTATTTAGAACTGTAGTAGTGTCCAAATCACTTCTACCACATCTCATGCAATACCACACCCAAAAATGTTAAGTTTACAATAGAATGCCCCTGAGCCATTTTTGGAAAAAATTTGATTCTCAATTCGAGTTAAGCATTTTGGGCTACTGCATCAAACCAAAGTTACTGGCATTATGCTAAGCTAGATGTGTTGACTGAAGTATGAGATTCCCATTTTTGTAAATGAGAAGCAATCTGATTATGCAATTTTTTCTAAGTGAAAGCAAGTTTATTAGAGAAGTAAAGAAACAAAAGAATGGCTACTCCATAGACAGAGCAGTGTGTGTGTATTTTTTTTTAAGTGTAGGCAAATGTTTTCTGAAGATGATATGTCAATAAGAAAATTGGCACTTGGGGCATACTTCCACTAAATTTGAGACATCTTAGACAAAACAAAGACTTATTTTCAAGGCATGATTCTTATGGCACTGAAGTCTTGGAACTATTTGATCTAGTTACTCTATGTTCTCAACTGTGTTAACTTATTGAAAAACATTGTTATTAAAGGTATTTACAAGAGAAACGCAGAGATACTGTTGTTTCTCCTTTCTCTGTCTCAAACTGTTTTCTCTGCAGCACCCAAGGCTCTGTCATGTCTCAAACATTTAATCATTAATTTAAAAAGAGAAGCTTATCACAGAATTAGAAAAAAAAATTTGAAAATTCATATGGATCCAAAAAAGAGGTTGTGTAGCCAGGAGAATGCTAAGCAAAAAGAATAAAGCTGGAGGCATCAGGCTATCCTACTTAAAACTATACTATAAGGCTAAAGTAACCAAAACAGCATGGTACTGGTAGAAAAACAAGCATATAGACCAACAGAACAGAATAGAAAACTCAGAAATAAGACCTCACATCTACAACCATGTGATCTTCAACAAACCTGACAAAAACAAGCAATGGGGAAAGGAAACGCTATTTAATAAATGGTGCTGGGAAAACTGGCTAGCCATATGCAGAAAATTGAAACTGGACCCCTTCTTTACACCTTACACAAAAATTAACTCAAGATGGATTAAAGACTTAAATGTAAAACCCAAAACTAGAAAAACCCTGAAAGAAAATCTAGGCAATACCATTCAGGACATAGGCATGGGCAAAGATTTTATGATGAAATTGCCAAAAGCAACTGCCACAGAAGCAAAAATTGACAAATGGGATCTAATTAAACAAAAGAGCTTCTGCACAGGAAAAGAAACTATCATCAGAGCGAAAAGGAGACAACCTACAGAATGGGAGAAAATTTATGCAATCTATCGATCTGACAAAGGTCTAATATTCATAATCTAAAAAGAACTTAAGCAAATTTACATGAAAAAAACAACTTCATTAAGAAGTGGACAAAGCACATGAACAGACACTTCTCAAAAGAAGACATACAGGTGGCCAAAAAACATATTTTAAAAAGCTCAATATCACTGATCGTTAGAGAAATGCAAATCAAAACCACAATAAGATACCATCTCATGCCAGTCAGAATGGCAATTATTAAAAAGTTAAGAAACAACAGATTCTGGCGAGGTTGTAAAGAAATAGGAATGTTTTTACACTGTTGGTGGAAATGTAAATTGGTTCAACCAATGAGGAAGGCAGTGTGGTGATTCCTCAAAGATTTAGAACCAGAAATACCATTTGACCCAGCAATCCCATTGCAGGGTATATACCCAAAGGAATATAAATCATTCTATTATAAAGATATGTGCATGTGTTTGTTCATTGCAGCACAATTCACAACAGCAAAGACATGGAATCAACCCAAATGCCCACCAATGAGGGACTAGATAAAGAAAATATGATACATATATGCCATGGAATATTATGCAGCCATAAAAAGGAATGAGATCAAATCCTTTGCAGGGATATGGATGAAGCTGGAAGCCATTATCCTCAGCAAACTAACACAGGAACAGAAAACCAAACACCACATGTTCTCACTTATAATTGTGAGCTGAACAATGAGAACACATGGACACAGGGAGAGGAACAACACACACTGCGGCCTGTTGGGGGAGGGCGGTGGTGGGGGGAGCATTAGGAAAAATGGCTAATGCATGCAGGGGTTAATACCTAGGTTATGGGTTGATTGGTGCAGCAAACTGCCGTGGAACCCGTTTACCTGTGTAACAAACCTGCACATCCTGCATATGTACCCTGGAACTTAACATTAAACTAAATTAAATTAAAGGACAAGATTAAAATGTTAAGGAAAAATAATTAGATTAAAAGCCTTTAACTTAAAAATCCTGAAATAATAGTTTGAATTTTGCTTTTAACATATATGCAAATCCTTTAATACTGCTCCCTTCCAGAGGTGCAGCTGAATTCCCTCTCTTGAGTGTGGCTTGGACTTAATGATGCACTTCTGATATGGCCTGGTTCTGTGTTCCCACCCAAATCACATCTTCAATTGTCATGCGAATTGTAATCCCCAGTATTGAAGGAGGGACCTCATGGGAGGTGATTGGATCATGCTGTTCTAATGATAGTGAGTGAATTCTCATGAGATCTGATGGTTTTATAAGGGGCTTTTCCCCGCTTCGCTCTGCATTTCTCTCTCCTGCCACCATGTGAAGAAGGACGGGTTTTCTTCCACTTCTGCCATGATTGTAAGTTTCCTGGGGTGGCCTCCTCAGCCATGCAGAACTGGGAGTCAGTTAAACCTCTTTCCTTTATAAATTACCCAGTCTCAGGTATTTCTTTATAGCAGTGTGAGAACAGACTAATACAACTTCTGATGGAGCAATGCCGACATAACAGCTTGTGACTCTGGGTGTAGAACCTAAAACTCCCTGCAGCTTCCACCTTCTCTCTCTCTGTCTCTGGGATCATGAGCTCTGGGGAAAGTCAGCTGCTGTGCCATGAGCAGCCCTGCAGCAAGGTCCATCTGGCTAAGAACTGAGGCCTTCTGGGACCCAATTACAATGAACTAGGCCTTTTCCAACAGCCATGTGACTGATCCATGTTTCATGTGAATCCTCAGCCCCAGTGAAGCCCTCAGATGATGCAGGCCTAGACTGACAACTGGACTGCAACCTTGTGAGAGGCCCTTAGCAAGAAGCACTCAGGGAAACTTCTCCTGGATTCCTGACAACTGGAAACTGTGGGAGATGATCAATATTTGTTATTTTGAAATGGTACATTTTACATAATTTGTTATGCAATAGTAAATAACTAATACATTTTCACAAGAGAGGATGTATTATTACATGTTAATTTGCATTTGCTCTAAATTTATCATCATCATTATTATTATTTTTGAGACAGGGTCTCACTCTGTCACCCAGGCTGGAGTGCAGTGGCATGATCACCATGCACTGCAGTGTAGACCTCCTGGGCTCAAGGGACCCTCTGACCTCAGCCTCTTGAGTAGCTGGGAGTACAATCATGAACCACTGTGCCTGGCTAATTTTCTAATTTTTTGTAGAGATGGGGGTTTCCCCATGTTGCCCAGGCTGATCTTGAACTTCTGGAGTCAACAAATCTGCCTTCCTCTGCCTTCCACAATGCTAGGATTGCAGGTGTGAGCCACCAAATCTGGCCTAAATTAATTAAAAGATATAAATATGTAACTTAGTTTTAAAAGGTAAGGAGAATTTTCATGGCTGAAAAGGATGTATTTTATTACCGTTCACAATGATTACTTTACTTGAACTTCAATTTGCAACTGTGTCCCAAGTGAACACAAAAAGAAGATCCAGCCCTTGCTAGGCTGATTCTATGATGGCCTCAACAACAAGCTCCTGGTCATTCACCTTCCCCCCATTATTCAACCAACTCTAATATAGGTGCTGCTGTGAATGGATTTAGCAGATATAATTAAGGGCCTCAATTAGTTGACTTTAGGCTGGGTTTATGCTGCTTGGACTGTCCTAATCAGGTGAGTCCTTGAAAGGATTGGGTTCTTCCTGAGCATAGAGATTCACAGTGTGAGAGGGATTCAGCATGAGGGGTTTCCTCCACTGTGGGCTTTGAAAATGAAGGGGCTGTACAGGGAAGAACACTGGTGGGCATCAGGAATTGAGCGCAGCCCTCCCTGTTCTCTACATTGACAGCCAGCAAGGAACAGGGACCTCAGTCTTAGAACTGCAAGAAACTGCATTCTGCCACCTCTGTATAAGCCTGAAGGAGGATTCAAAATGAAAACACAGCTTTGGGAAGCCCGGAACAGAGATTCCATCCACATCATGCCCAGATTTCTGACTAAGGTACTATAAACAGATAAATGGGTGTTGTTTGGCCAGGCGTGGTAATGCACACCTGCAATCCTAACATCTGAGGAGCTGACACAGGAGGATCACTTGCATCCAGGAATTTGAGACCAGCCAAGATCAAACAGTGAGACACTCATCTCTACAATTTCTTTTTAATTAGCTGGGCGTGGTGGCACTTGTCTGCAGTCCTATCTATTCTGAAGACTGAGGCAGGAAGATCCCTTGAGCCCAGGAGTTTGAGGCTGCAGTGAGCCATGATCATGTGACTGCACTTCACCCTGGATGACAGAGGGAGACTCTGTCTCTAAAAACAAATAAATCAACAATAATTGGGTGTTGTTTAAAGTCAATGTTTGTGATAATTTGTTATGCAATCTTATAAAATTCATACACAGGCTCAACAGACTCGGAATGAATTGATATGCACACTAGTTACATAAAATAAAATATTTCTTAATTTTTCAGTGTTTTACATTTTATAACTTTCTGTGATGCAATTTAATACATTCATATTTCATTCATTCAGTCAACAAAAATTTAGTGCCTAAGATGAACCAGGTATGCCCTCATATGCTCACGTGCCTGACATTCTAGAAGCTTCACAAGACCGAGGTGGAGCCACTGGAGTGTTTTAGGTGAGGAAATGACACACTCTGACTCACAGGAGCAGGACCACTGTGGAGAGAACAGTCACGTAGCAGGTAATGGGACAATGCTAGAGCCACAATTTAGAAGTGACAGGGTGGTGGGGACTAAGGGGAGAGGAGGGCCTGAGGGATGAAAGGGACAGAGGGAAGGGCTGGAGAAGCAGGAGGTTAGGAAAAGGAGCAGAGGGAAGGAATTGGAAAGCAGTAGAATTCTTAGGTTTAAACACATTGTTTTATAGATTTTTATTACATCCATCTACAGAGCCTCGCTCAGTGTTCTTTGCAGTTGGCCTTTAATACCTAATGTAGGACTGCCTAAAAACTAATGTTTTTTATGTTAATAAGGTTTAAAAAACACTTAGTGTTCCTTCTTTGCAGTTGGCCTTTAATACTATATTTGGGACTGCCTAGAAACTAATTTTTTTTAATTAATCAGGTTTTAAAAATACTAAGTGTTCCTATAAGATATACACACCACTTAGACGTGAATACTTCCTAAAAACAGGCAGCACATGAGCACTGCTGAGGGGCATTGTGACTGCATTGAACACTTGCAACTGTGAGGTGAATAAAGTCTGTACTGGCTCCCGGTTGCAACATATAGTAACGCAGTGTGCTACTTTATATTGAGGAGATGTCTTGGACTCACCCAGTAACTCAGGGCTGTGGAATGAAGGTAAATGTAAAAAACAAGCGGGAGTCACAGATACATTGTCTGCGAAAGTCAAACTTAGTAGCTTTGTGAGTCCTGTTGTAATGCTTTCAGACACATTTATGTATCAAGGGGCCAAAGTTACATTTTTTTACCGATTAGATACCTGATCATTTAGGGGTTGCCAAGATTCTGCTACCCACTGTAGTTAATAAACAAAGAGAAAACTTGTCTCTATGCTGTCTCATGTACTCAGGCACAACTTTTCCGGATTTAAAGAAAAAAAAAACAAAAACCTGTCTCTACGCCTCCATTCCCAGGGCGAGCTCCCTCTCTGGCATCGAGCTCCCTCTCTGGCGGCGAGCTCCCTCTCTGGCGGCGAGCTCCCTCTCTGTCACCAAGCTCCCTGGGGTGAGTTTTTTTCTAGAAGAGTTCAGGGAAATAGGTAAGGAGTGGGAGGCAGGGAGTCCAGTTCTGGGACGGGGATTCCGGGATGAAAAATGAAGAGGGACGGGGCCCATGACGAGGGTTTCTCCCTGGTTTCTCAGACAGCTCTTGGGCCAAGACTCAGGGAGACATTGAGACAGAGCGCTTGGCACAGGAGGAGCGGGGTCAGGGCGAAGTCCTATGGCCCCAGGCGTGGCTCTCAGGGTTTCAGGCCCCGAAGGCGATGTATTGATTGGGGAGGCCCAGGGTTGGGGATTCCCCATCTCCGCAGTTTCTCTTCTCCCTCTCCCAACTTATGTAGGGTCCTTCTTCCTGGACACTCAGGATGTGGACTCAGTTCTCACCCCCATTTGGTGTCGGGTTTCTAGCGAAGCCAATCGGCGTCGCTGGGGTCCCTGTTCCAGAAGTCCCCGCGAACCCATTGGGACTCAGATTCTCCCCAGACGCCGAGGATGGGGTCATGGCGTCCCGAACCCTCCTCCTGCTGCTCTTGGGGGCCCTGGCCCTGACCGAGACCTGGGCGGGTGAGTGCGGGATCCGGAGGGAAATGGCCTCTGCGGGGAGGAGGTAGGGGCCCGCGCACTGGGGCGCAGGACCCGGGGAGCAGCGCAAGGAGGAGGGTCGGACGGGTCTCAGCCCCTCCTCGCCCCCAGGTACCCACTCCATAAGGTATTTCAGCACCGCCGTGTCCCGGCCGGGTCGCGGGGAGCCCCGGTACATCGCAGTGGGCTACGTGGACGACACGCAGTTCGTGCGGTTCGACAGCGACGCGGCGACTCCGAGGATGTAGCCGCAGTCGCCGTGGTTGGAGCAGGAGGGACCGGAGTATTGGGACCGGAGCACACGGAACATCAGGCCCGCGCACAGACTGACAAGAGTGAACCTGCCCATGCCGCGCCGCTACTACCACCAGAGCTAGGCCGGTGAATGACCCCGGCCTGGGGCGAAGGTCACGACCCCTCCTCATCCCCCACGGACGTCCCGGGTCCCCCCCGCGAGTCTCCGGCTCCAAGATCCACCCCGAGGCTGCGGGACCCGCCAGATCCTCGACCCGGGAGAGGCCCAGGCGCCTTTACCAGGTTTCATTTTCCGTTTAGGCCAAAATCCCCGCGGGTTGGTCGGGGCGGGGGCGGGGCTCGGTGGGCGGGGCTGACCGCGGGGGCGGGGCCAGGGTCTAACACCCTCCAGATAATGTATGGCTGCGACTTGGGGCTGGAAGGGCGCCTCCTCCGCGGGTATGAACAGCACGCCAACGATGGCAAGGATTACATAGCCCGGAACTAGGACCTGCGCTCCTGGACCGCGGCGGACATGGCGGCTCAGATCACCAAGCGCAAGTGGGAGGCAGAAGAATTTGCAGAGCAGATCAGGGCCTACCTGGAGGGCACGTGCGTGGAGAGGCTCGCAGACACCTGGAGAACGGGAAGGAGACGCTGCAGCTCACGGGTACCAGGGAACACAAGACGCCTCCCTGATCGCCTGTAGATCTCCTGGGCTGGCTTCCCACAAAGAGAGAAGGAAAATGGGACCAACACTAGAATGTCGTCCTCTCTCTGGTCCTGAGGGAGAGGAATCCTCCTGGGTTTCCAGATCCTGTACAAGAGAGTGACTCTGAGGGTCTGCCCTGCTCTCTGATACAATTAAGGGATGAAATCTCTGAGGAAATGAAGGGAAGACAATCCCTGGAATACTGATGAGGGGTTCCCTTTGACACCAGCAGCAGCCTTGGGCCCCGTTACTTTTCCCCTCAGGCCTTGTTCTCTGCTTTACACTCAATGTGTGTGGGGGTCTGAGTCCAGCTCTTCTGAGTCCCTCAGCCTCCACTCAGGTCAGGACCAGAAGTCACTGTTCCCTCCTCAGGGACTGGAATTTTCCACGGAATTCGGAGATTATCCCAGATACCTGTGTCCAGGTTGGTGTCTGGGTTCTGTGCTCCCTTCCCCACCCCAGGTGTCCTGTCCATTCTCAGGATGGCCACATGCGTGCTGCTGGAGTGTCTCATGAGAGATGCAAAGTGCCTGAATTTTCTGACACTTCCTGTTAGACCTCTCCCCCAGACACATATGATCCACCATTCCGTCTCTGACTATAAGGCCACCCTGAGGTGCTGGGCCCTGGGCTTCTACCCTGTGGAGATCACACTGGCCTGGCAGCAGGATGGAGAGGACCAGACTCGGGACATGGAGCTTCTAGAGACCAGGCCTGCAGGGGATGGAACCTTCCAGAAGTGGGCAGCTGTGGTGGTGCCTTCTGGAGAGGAACAGAGATACCCGTGCCATGTGCAGCATGAGGGGTTGCCCAAGCCCCTCACCCTGAGATGGGGTAAGGCAGGAGATGAGTGGAGGGGGGGTCATGTCTCTTAGGAAAGCAGGAGCCTCTCTGGAGAACTTCAGCAGGGTCGGTGCTGGGGGCTGAGGGTCAGGGACGCTCACCTTCCCCTTTTTTCCCAGAGCAGTCTTCTCAGCCCACCATCCCCATCGTGGGTATCGTTGCTGGCCTGGTTCTCCTTGGAGCTGTAGTCACTGGAGCTGTGGTTTCTGCTGTGATGTGCAGGAAGAAGAACTCAGGTAAGGAATGGATGAGGAGTGGGGTCTGAGATTTCTTGTCCCACTGAGGGTTTCAAGCCCCAGTTAGAAGTGTGTCCTGCCTGGTTACTGGGAAGCACCATCCACACTCATGGGCCTACCCAGCCTGGGCCCTGTGTGCCAGCACTTACTCTTTTGTAAAGCACCTGTGACAATGAAGGACAGATTTATCACCTTGATGATTATGATGATGGGGACCTGATCCCAGCAGTCACAAGTCACAGGGGAAGGTCCCTGCTGAGGACAGACCTCAGGAGGGCAGTTGGTCCAGGACCCACACCTGCTTTCCTCATGTTTCCTGATCCTGTCCTAGATCAGCAGTTACACTTTCAGGAAACTTCTCTGGGATCAAAGGCTAGGGGGTTTGTTTAGGGCCGTATGGCCCTGACTCCTTTCTGGCCTCTCATAGGACATTTTCTTCCCACAGATAGAGTGAGCTACTCTGAAGCTGCAAGTAAGTATGAAGTGGGCTGATCCCTGATCCTTGGGATATTGTGGTCGGGAGCCCATGGGGGAGCTCACCCAACCCCAGATTCCTCCTCTAGCCGCATCTCCTCTGGGCTCTGACCAAGTCCTGTTTTTGTTCTACCCCAGGCAGCGACCATGCGCAGGGTTCTGATGTGTCTCTCACGGCTTGTAAAGGTGAGACACTGGGGGACCTGATGTGGGGGGGTGTTGGGGGCAATAGTGGACGCAGCTGTGCTATGGGGTTTCTTTGAATTGGATGTATTGAGCATGTGATGGGCTGTTTAAAGTGTCACCCCTCACTGTGACGGATATGAATTTGTTCATGAATATTTTATTTTATAGTGTGAGACAGCTGCCTTGTGTGGGACTGAGAGGCAAGATTTGTTCACGCCTTCCCTTTGTGACTTCAAAAACCCTGACTCTCTTTCTGCAAAGGCACCTGAATGTGCCTGTGTTCCTGTAGGCATAATATGAGGAGGTGGGGAGACCAACCCACCCCCATGTCCACCATGACCCTCTTCCCTCATGCTGACCTGTGTTCCGTCTCCAATAATTAATCATTCCTGCTCCATAGAGGTGAGGCTGAGATGTCTCCATCTCTGTCTCAACTTTATGTGCACTGAGCTGTAACTTCTTACTTCCCTATTAAAATTAGAATCTGAGTATAAATTTACTTTTTCAAATTCTTGCCATGAGAGGTTGATGGGTTAATTAAAGGAGAAGATTCCTAAAATTTGAGAGACAAAATAAATGGAAGACATGAGAACCTTCCAGAGTCCACATGTTTCTTATGCTGATTTGTTGCATGAGAGGAGAGTAGATGGGGCTGTGCCCAGTGGGTGCTCAGGCCACCGTGCGCTTTATGTGGTCACTGCTCAGCTGGGTCATCTTTGCTGCTCTGTTGTCCTTGGCTGTATGATCCGTCCCTACGGGGCTTAGCGGGTTTTCTCCCCGTGTGCGGAGATGAGAGATTGTAATAAATAAAAGCACAAGACAAAGAGATAAAGAGAAAACAGCTGGGCCCGGGGGACCACTGCCATCAAGATGCGGAGACCGGTAGTGGCCCCGAACAGCTGGGCTCGCTGATATTTATTGCATACAAGACAAAGGGCAGGGTAAGGAAGGTGAATCTTCTAAATGATTGACAAGGTGAAGCAAGTCACGTGATTACAGGATAGGGGGCCCTTCCCTTTTAGGTAGCATATGTCACCATTTTCTTTTCTGCACTTAAGATCAAAGACTTTAAGACTTTCACTATTTCTTCTACCGTTATCTACTACAAAATTCAAAGAGGAACCAGGAGTACAGGAGGAGCATGAAAGTGGACAAGGAGCATGACCACTGAAGCACAGCACCACAGGGAGGGGTTTAGGCCTCTGGATGACTGCAGGTAGCTCTGGATAATATCCAGCCTTCTACAAGAAGCTGGTGGAGCAGAGTGTTCCCCGACTCCTCCAAGGAAGGGAGACTCCCTTTCATGGTCTGCTAAGTAACAGGTGCCTTCCTAGACACTGGTGTTACCACTTGACCAAGGAGCCCTCAAGTGGCCCTTATGCGGGCGTGACAGAAGGCTCATATCTTGCCTTCTAGGTCACTTCTCACAATGTCCCTTCAGCACCTGACCCTATACCCGCCGGTTATTCCTAGGTTATCTTAGTAATGCAACAAAGAGTAATATTAAAAGCTAATGATTAATAATGTTTATAATAATGATTGATAATTGTTCATGATCATCTCTATATCTAATTTGTATTATGACTATTCTTATTCTAACTATTTTCTTTATTATACTAAAACAGTTTGTGCTTTCAGTCTCTTGCCTCGGCACCTGAGTAATCCTCCACCCACACTTGGCCCTTCAGTAGAACCTTGTCCCACCATGACCTGTGATCACAGGGACTTGGATGTCACCTACGGCAGTCCCTGCATACCAGGGTCCTTGTGGTATCAAGAGACAAATTTTCAGATCGTTCAAGCTCTTGCCGTCTTCCCAGGGCTCTTTCCTCATTGTATTTTCCATCTTTTCTGCAATCTTTTTAAAGGAACCAGATTCTGAAATTTGCCAAGAGGCAGGGTCCCATAGTTTCTCATCATAGGTAACTTTCTGTTGGAACTCCTCTTCTGCACTCCTACTCTTCTTCCTGCCCTGAGTTGTAGTAATCCTAGTGCTGGCTCCAATAGAAACTCATCAATTTATAAAGCAGAGTCTAGTTTAGATTCATATGTGGTTGGAAAATTGGACCCATAAGCCTAGGGTTATCTTTCCTGAAGAGAAAAATATGGTTGTGTGCTGCAGTGTGCAGTAGAGTTGGTGTGGGGGGAGGGAGGGAGGGAGGGAGGACACACAAGCAGCCCTGGTGAGAAAAGATCTGGTGGCACTGATGTCAGTGTGAGATGATGTTGTTCTGTAGCTGCCACAAAAATAAAGCATTTGTCCTGAGGCTACATTAATAAAGATATTGCCTCTAGAATAGAGTGGTTCTCTATGATCATTCCTTCAACTGACATTTGTTTCTGCTAGGTATATGACTGTTTTTGCATTTAGAAAGCATCATTAAAGTAAAAACAGAAAAATTTCGGGCCTTATGGTGTATATGTTCTAGATGCAAGCTTGTCCAACCCGCAGCTCGTGGGCTGCATGTGGCCCAGGACAATTTTGAATGTGAGGACTTTTTTGCTTATCTGTGGTGCACCTGAGTCCCGGAGTGAGTGCACCCACCTCCCTCAGGGTCAGGAGTGAATGCTTTAGGAACCCTCCTTTTCAGTGACCTGAAAAAGATAGAGGGCACACTTACTGTGATAACCCAGAGTATCAGTCAAGGGGGCTTGACCTTCAAGGAGTTATGGGAAAGCTTAATAAAGGGTGGTGTCCCAGGGTCAGAAAAGATGGGCAGACAGCAAGAGCACTGCTTGATATCTATGATAAGCATGTAAGAATTGAGGAGCCCTCTCCCTCTCCCTCTCCCTCTCCCTCTCCCTCTCCCTCTGCCTCTCCCTCTCCCTCTGCCACGGTCTCCCTCTCCCTCTCTTTCCACGGTCTCCCTCTGATGCCGAGCCGAAGCTGGACTGTACTGCTGCCATCTCGGCTCACTGCAACCTCCCTGCCCGATTCTCCTGCCTCAGCCTGCCGAGTGCCTGCGATTGCAGGCGCGCGCCGCCACGCCTGACTGGTTTTCATATTTTTTTGGTGGAGAAGGGGTTTCGCTGTGTTGGCCGGGCTGGTCTCCAGCTCCTAACCGCGAGCGATCCGCCAGCCTCGGCCTCCCGAGGTGCCAGGATTGCAGACGGAGTCTCGTTCACTCAGTGCTCAATGGTGCCCAGGCTGGAGTGCAGTGGCGTGATCTCGGCTCACTACAACCTCCACCTCCCAGCCGCCTGCCTTGGCCTCCCAAAGTGCCAAGATTGCAGCCTCTGCCCGGCCGCCACCCTGTCTGGGATGTGAGGAGCCCCTCTGCCTGACTGCCCAGTCTGGAAAGTGAGGAGCATCTCTGCCTGGCCGCCATCCCATCTAGGAAGTGAGGAGCGTTTCTGCCCGGCCGCCCATCATCTGAGATGTGGGGAGTGCCTCTGCCCCGCCGCCCCATCTGGGATGTGAGGAGCGCCTCTGCCCGGCCGTGACCCCGTCTGGGAGGTGAGGAGCGTCTCTGCCCGGCCGCCCTGTCTGAGAAGTGAGGAGCCCCTCCGCCCGGCAGCCACCCCGTCTGGGAAGTGAGGAGCGTCTCCGCCCGGCAGCCACCCACTCCGGGAGGGAGTTGGGGGGTCAGCCCCCCGCCCAGCCAGCCTCCCCGTCCGGGAGGTGAGGGGCGCCTCTGCCCGGCCGCCCCTACTGGGAAGTGAGGAGCCCCTCTGCCCGGCCAGCCGCCCCATCCGGGAGGGAGGTTGGGGGGTCAGCCCCCCGCCCGGCCAGCCTCCCCGTCCGGGAGGTGAGGGGCGCCTCTGCCCGGCCGCCCCTACTGGGAAGTGAGGAGCCCCTCTGCCCGGCCAGCCGCCCCGTCCGGGAGGGAGGTGGGGGGGGTCAGCCCCCCGCCTGGCCAGCCGCTCCATCCGGGAGGGAGGTGGGGGGGTCAGCCCCCCGCCCAGCCAGCCACCCCGTCCGGGAGGTGAGGGGCACCTCTGCCCGGCTGCCCCTACTGGGAAGTGAGGAGCCCCTCTGCCCGGCCACCACCCCGTCTGGGAGGTGTACCCAACAGCTCATTGAGAACGGGCCATGATGACAATGGCGGTTTAGTGGAATAGAAAGGGGGGAAAGGTGGGGAAAAGATTGAGAAATCGGATGGTTGCCCTGTCTGTGTAGAAAGAAGTAGACATGGGAGACTTTTCATTTTGTTCTGTACTAAGGAAAATTCTTCTGCCTTGGGATCCTGTTGATCTGTGACCTTACCCCCAACCCTGTGCTCTCTGAAACATGTGCTGTGTCCACTCAGGGTTAAATGGATTAAGGGCGGTGCAAGATGTGCTTTGTTAAACAGATGCTTGAAGGCAGCATGCTCGTTAAGAGTCATCACCACTCCCTAATCTCAAGTACCCAGGGACACAAACACTGCGGAAGGCCGCAGGGTCCTCTGCCTAGGAAAACCAGAGACCTTTGTTCACTTGTTTATCTGCTGACCTTCCCTCCACTATTGTCCCATGACCCTGCCAAATCCCCCTCTGTGAGAAACACCCAAGAATGATCAATAAAAAAAAAAAAAAGAATTGAGGAGCAAGCTTCACATTCAGAATCCAGTGGCTGAGGAAGTATCCATATCCCTAAGAGAAAGAACCTTGGGACACCATGACTGTTACATGCTGGGACAATTCCATCAGCCCTTCTGCAAAGGAGCCTATAGCCATTTAATCAGGAGATGGGATAAGTGTTAACATTGGGTGTGAGCTAACATTGCTGCCCAGATTCCCACAGCACCATTATGTCCCTATCACAGTGGGGCTTACAGAGGCCAGGGAATAAACCTGGACAAATTATGCCCCACGGTGGAATCACTGGGTCCATAAATCCTGTCCTGGTTATCTCCCCATTCTCTGTAAAAAGGATTCTCTGTAAAAAGATTACATCGCCCTAAACCAGGACCTGAGCTCTTGGACTGCGGCGGCCATGGCGGCTCAGATTACCCAGCGCAAGTGGGAGGCGGCCCATGAGGCGGAGCAGCAGACAGCCTACCTGGAGGGCAGGTGCGTGGAGTGGCTCCGCAGATACCTGGAGAACAGGAAGGAGACACTGCAGCACACCTGTACCAGGGACCACGGGCGCCTCCCTGATCGCCTGTAATCTCCCGGGCTGGCCTCCCACAAGGATGGGAGACAGATGGGACCAACACTAGAATATCACCCTCCCTCTGGTCCTGAGGGAGAAGAATCCTCCTCAGTTTCCAGATCCTGTACCAGAGAGTGACTCTGAGGTTCCACACTGCTCTCTGACACAATTAAGGGATAAAATCTCTGAGGCAATGACGGGAAGACGCAATTAAGGGATAAAATCTCTGAGGGAATGACGGGAACACGATCCCTCATTTAGTGATCCCAAGTCACTAAATTTGGGAGTAGTTTGTTACACAGCAATGGATAACTAATGAAGCCCTCTTACATTTCCATTATTCTCTAGAGGTTAACTACATCTGTTTTATTTTCTCCTATTTTGATAATATTAGCCACACATAGGTTTCTAGTTTCTCAACACCTATTCTTTTCTTTATTTTAGTTTCTTTTCTCCTTTGTTCCATCCTTTTTTTTTCTTTTTTCTTTTCTTTTCTTTTTTTTTTTTTTTTTTTTTGAGACAAAGTCTCGTTCTGTCGCCCAGGCTGGAGTGCAGTGGCTCGATCTCGGCTCACTGCAAGCTCTGCCTCCCAGGTTCATGCCATTCTCCTGCCTCAGCTTTCCAAGTAGCTGGGACTACAGGCACCTGCCACCATGCCCGGCTAATTTTTTGTATTTTTAGTAGAGACAGGGTTTCACCATGTTAGCCAGGATGGTCTCTATCTCCTGACCTCGTGATCTGCCTGCCTCAGCCTCCCAAAGACTGGGATTACAGGCATGAGCCACTGTGCCTGGCCTCTTCCTTCCCTTTCTCCTTCCTTCTAGCCCTCCCTCCATCTCTTTCTTCTCTATTTCCATTCAAACTATCGCCTTCCCTCCTTCTTTCTCCCTTTCCTTCCCCTCCCCTTCCTTCTTTTCTTCTTTTGCTTTTTCCTCCATTCCTCCTTCTTTCTCTCTCTTCCTCCATTTTTTCCTTTTTATTATGAAATTTTCCTAATATATAAAATAACTCTATGTGATTGGGTTGTAAGTAAGCATTTTCTGAATCTATATGTCAAAAATATAATGTCATGTATATGAGAAACAAGTAAACAACAGGAAGTTATTAACAGAGTCTGAATAAAAATGCCTGCTATAATTCTACAGCCAAGACAGTGGCTTTTAACTCAATTCCTTCAACACAGTGTTTTCAGAACACATCATCAACATCAAGTATTACACATTTATTGTAAAAGTTTAAGTAGCCACAATCACTTTGGAATTTGTATTATCATTATCTAGTATGGTTAAAGTCCATACAACGTATCATCCAACCAACCCATTCCTAATCATCCACTCTGGGGGGCTTTCTTGCCTATGTGCACAGGAGACATGCACACTAATATTTATGGCAAAAACTGGAATCAGCCACATATACATCAATAGGAAACTAGTGAAATTGTGGTATAACCATATGTAAGCCTTCAGCAGTAAAAATGAATGAATGACAGTCTCCCACACCACAGATAACTCCTACACATAATGTGCATCATGGGAAAATAAAGGCAGTAGGAACTTGCTGTACAGGAAGCTTAAAAACCAGCAAAACAAACTGATATTTGTTTTGGGGATATATATATATACACACATACATATATATATGTGTGTGTGTATATATACACATACATATACACATATATACATATATGTGTATATATACACATATATACATATATGGATACATATATGTGTATATATACACATATATACACATATATGTATATATATACACATATATACACATATATGTGTATATATATACTTATTGCACAAATCTTTGAAGAAATACAAAGGAATAAGTATCACAAGACTCAGCATGGAGTCTTCTGCTGAGACCAGCTCGGTCAGGGAGATCCTAACCCAGCGGTGCTAGAGGAATTAAAGACACACACACAGAAATATAGAGGTGTGAAGTGGGAAATCAGGGGTCTCACAGCCTTCAGAGCTGAGCCCCAAACAGAGATTTACCCACATATTTATTACAGTCATTAGCATTGTTTCTATAAATATTAAATTAGTTAAAATATCCCTTATGGGAAACGAAGGGATGGGCCGAATTAAAGGAATAGGTTGGGCTAGTTAACTGCAGCAGGAACATGCCCTTAAGACACAGATCACTCATGCTATTGTTTGTGGCTTAAGAATGCCTTTAAGTGGTTTTCCACCCTGGGCGGGCCAGGTGTCCCTTGCCCTCATTCCCGTAAACCCACAACCTTCCAGCTTGGGTGCTAGGGCCATTATGAACATGTTATGGTGCTGCAGAAATTTTGTTTATGGCCAGTCTCGGGGCCAGTTTATGACCAGATTTTGGGGGACTTGCTCCCAACAGTCTCCTTCTGGAGGATGACTGGGTAGCAGCCCAGGGTAGTTTTACAGTTTTGTGTTTTACACCAGTGCTGGGCCCCCTGGTAGTTACTTGATTATAATTCCTTAAACAGAGTTTTCCAAATTAAAATATACCTGTTTTTTATAGAAATGAAAAAGAAAAGAATTTCAAAGTTCATTGCAAAGATTCTTAACAAGAACTACTTACATTGGAAGAAAACCACAGAGAATTGTAAGGAGCTATGTGACAGAGAGGACCAGGATGCCATGAAAACGGCCTTGGCTACATATAGGTCATTCGATCCTTGGCTCACTGGCATCTCTCTAGATTTTCAATAATACAATGTTCAATATGCTATGCAAGGTAATTTCATCTTGCAAAGATTCTACGTTACATTTTACCACACATACAACTGAATTAAACTTTTACAGAATTGGAAATGCACATCACTGATCAAAATAAATGAAACATGAAAAGAGTAGGAAGGAATACCCAGTGATGGAATAGCAAATATGAATGGAAACAGAATAGGACTGCTAAAAAGAAAAAAAATTCAGAAGCACATAATAGCAGTGCTATTTAGAATCATAGTGGTGTCCAAATCACTTCTATCACATCTCATTCAATACCACAACAAAAGATGTTAAGTGTGTTATAGAATGCCCATTGGATAGCCAGTTTTTGAAAATAACTTGTCTCTCAATTCAAGCTAACCATTTCGGGCTACAGCATCAAGCCAAAGTTATTGGCATCATGCTAAGCTAGATGTGTTAACTGAAGTATGAGATTCTCATTTTTGTAAATGAAAAGCAATCAGATTAGGCAATTTTTTTCTGCACAGCAAAAGAAACTATCATCAATCAGAGTGAACAGACATGCTACAGAATGGGAGAAAAATTTTGCCATCTGTTCATCTGACAAAAGTCTAGTATTCAGAATCCACAAAGAACTTAAGCAAATTTACATGAAAAAAAACTTCATTAAAAAGTGGACAAAGAACATGAACAGACACTTCTAAAGAAGACATACATGTGGCCAACAAAAATATGAAAAAGAAAGCTCCCATCACTGATCATTAGAGAAATGCAAATCAAAACGACAAATGAGATACCATTTTATGCCAGTCAGAATGGCAATTATTAAATAGTCAAGAAACAACAGATGCTGGCAAGGTTGCGGAGAAATAGGAATGCTTTTACACTGTTGGTGGAAAAGTAAATGGTTAATCCATTGTGGAAGACAGTGACAGTGTGGCGATTCCTCAAAGATTTAGAACCAGAAATACCATTTGACCCAGCAATCCCATTGCAGGGTATATACCCAAAGGAATATAAATCATTCTATTATAAAGACATATGCATGTTTACATTCATGGCAGCACTATTCACAATAGCAAAGACATGGAATCAACCCAAATGCCCATCAATGATGGTCTGGATAAAGAAAATATGGTACATATACACCATGGAATATTATGCAGCCATAAAAAGGAAGGAGATCAAGTCCTTTGCAGGGATATGGATGAAGCTGGAAGCCATTATCCTCAGCAAACTCACACAGGAACAGAAAACCAAACACCACATGTTCTCATATATAACTGGGAACTGAGCAATGAGAACACATGGACACAGGGAGAGGAACAACACACACTGGGGCCTGTTGGGGGAGGGTGGTGATGGGAGGATCATTAGCAAAAATAGCTAATGCATGCCAGGGTTAATACCTAGGTGATGAGTTGACAGGTGCAGCAAACCAACATGGCACACATTTACCTATGTAACAAACCTGCACATCCTACACATGTACCCTGGAACTTAAAAAAAAATTAAATTAAAAGACAAGCTTAAAGAGTTAATGAAAAATAATTAGATACAAGAAGACTTTGATTTTCAGAAACCTGAAACAATAGTTATAATTTTGCTTTTAACATATATTCAAATCCTTTGATACTGTTCCTTTCTAGAGGTGCAGCTTAATTCCCTCTCTTGAGTGTGGCTTGGACTTAATGAGGCACT
The DNA here is from genome assembly GCF_000001405.40 of Homo sapiens. Taxonomy (NCBI): domain Eukaryota; kingdom Metazoa; phylum Chordata; class Mammalia; order Primates; family Hominidae; genus Homo; species Homo sapiens. Next base: position 29,938,690 of record NC_000006.12, read on the forward strand.
TCTGAAATGGCCTGGTTCTGTGTTCCCACCCAAATCTCATCTTGAGTTGTTATGCAAATTGTAATCCCTACCTATTGGGGGAGGGACCTCATGGGAGTTGATTGGATCATGGGGACGGTGCCCCCATGCTGTTCTCCTGATGCTGAGGGAATTCTCATGAGATCTGATGGTTTTATAAGGGGCTTTTCCCTGCTTCATTGTGCATTTCTCTCTCCTGTCACCACATGAAGAAGGACGGGTTTGCTTCCACTTCTGCCATGACTGTAAGTTTCCTGGGGCAGCCTCCTCAGTCATGCAGAACTGTGGGTCAATTAAACCTCTTTCCTTTATAAATTACCCAGTCTCAGGTATTTCTTTATAGCAGTGTGAGAATGGACTAATACAACTTCTAACTTATAGAATAGTGCCAACATAACAGTTTGTGACTCTGGGTGTAGAACATAAAACTAACTGCGGCTTCCACCTTCTCTCTCTCTGAATCTGGGATCATGAGCTCTGGGGGAAGCCAGCCGCTGTGCCATAAGCAGCCCTGCAGGAAGGTCCACATGACTGAGAACTGAGGCCTTCTGGGAACAGACAACAAGGAACCAGGCCTTTTCCAACAGCCATGTGACTGATCCATGTTTCTTGTGAATTCCCAGCCCCAGCGAAGCCCTCAGATGCTGCGGCCCCTGGCTGACAACTGGAGTGCAACCTTGTGAGAGGCCCTGAGCAGGAAGCACTCAGGGAAACCTCTCCTGGATTCCTGACGATTGGAAACTGTGGGAGATGAGAAACATTTGTTGTTTCGAGCTAAGTTTTACGTAATTTGTTATGCAACAGTAAATAATATATTTTCACAAGAGAGGATGTATTATTACACATCAAATTGCATTTGCTCTAAATGTGTCATCATCATCATTATTATTTTTGAGACAGGGTCTTGCTCTGTCACCCAGGCTGGAATGCAGTGGCATGATCACCATGCACTGCAGTGTCGAACGCCTGGGGTCAAGGGACTCTCTGACCTCAGCCTCCTGAGTAGCTGCGACTACCATCATGAACTACCATGCCTGGCTAATTTTCTAATTTTTTGTATAGATGGAGGTTTTGCCCAGGCTGATCTTGAACTTCTGGAGTCAACAAATCTCCATTCCTCTGCCTTCCACAGTGCTAGGATGACAGATGTGAGCCACCACACCTGGCCTAAATTAATTATAAGATATTAAACATGTAACTTAGTTTTAAAAAGTAAGGACAATTTCCATGGCTGAAGAGGATGTATTTTATGACCATTCACAATGATCACGTTACTTGAACTTCACTTTCCAACTGTGTCCCAATTAAACACAAAAGGAAGATCCAACCCTTGCTAGGCTGATTCTATGATGGCCTCAACAAGCAGCTCCTGGTCATTCACCTTCCTCCAGTTATTCAACCAACTCTAATGTAGGTGCTGCTGTGAAGGGATTTAGCAGATATAATTAAGGGTCTCAATTAGTTGACTTTATGCTGGGTTTATCCTGCTTGGACTGTCCTAATCAGGTGAGTCCTTGAAAGGACTGGGTTCTTCATGAGCATAGAGACTTACAGTGTGAAAGGGACTCAGCATGAGGGGTTTCCTCCACCATGGGCTTTGAAAAGGAAGGGGCTATGGGCCGGGCGCGGTGGCTCACGCCTGTAATCCCGACACTTTGGGAGGCCGAGGCGGGCGGATCATGAGGTCAGGAGGTCGAGACAATCCTGGCTAACAAGGTGAAACCCTGTCTCTACTAAGAAAAAAAAAATTAGAGCATAGTGGTGGGCGCCTGTAGTCCCAGCTACTTGGGACTGAGACAGGAGAATGGTGTGAACCCAGGAGGCGGAGCTTGTAGTGAGCAGAGATCATTGGGCCACTGTACCCCAGCCTGGGCTACAGAGCCAGACTCCGTCTCAAAAAAAAAAAAAAAAAGAAAAATTAAGGGGCTGTGTAGGAAAGAACGCTGGTGAGCACCGGGAATTGAGCCCCTCCCAGTTCTCTACATTGACAGCTAGCCAGGAACAGGGACCTCAGTCTTACAACTGCAAGAAACTGCATTCTGCCACCTCTGTATAAACCCGAAGGAGGATTCAAAATGAAAACACAGCTTTTGGAAGCCCAGAATGGAGATTCTATCCACATCTTGCCCAGATTTCTGACCAAGGAACTATAAGCAGATAAATGTGTGTTGTTTTGCCAGGCATGGTAGTGTGCGAATGAATTGATGAATTGATATACACACTAGTTGCATAAAATAAAATCTTTCTGAACTTTTTCAGTGTTTTACAGTTTATAATTATCTGTGATGCAATTTAATACACTCATATTTCATTCATTAAGTCAACAAAAATTAACTTAGTCCCTACAATGAACGAGGTATCCCCTCATATGCTCAAGTGCCTGACACTCCAGAAGCTTCACAAGACCGAGGTGGAGACACTGGAGTGTTTTAAGTGGAGAAATGACACACTCCGACTCACAGGAGCAGGGCCACTGTGAAAAGAACAGTTACGTAGCAGGTCATGGGACAGTGCTAGTGTCACAATTCATGAGTGACAGTGTGGTGGGAACTAAGGGGAGAGGAGGGCCTGAAGGATGAGAAGGATGGAGGGAAGGGCTGGAGAAGCAGGAGGTGAGGAAAAGGAGCAGAGGAAAGAATTTGAAAGCAGCAGAATTCTTAGGTTTAAAGACATTGTTTTATGGATTTTAATACATCAATCTACAGAGCCTAGGAGGGTGTCCTTGGCAGTTGTCTTTTAATACCTCATGTGGGTCTGCCTAAAAACTATTTTTTATGTTAATCAGGTTTAAAAATTACTAAGTGTTCCTATAAAATATACACAACACTTAGAAGTGGATACTTCCTAAAAACAGGCAGTGCATGAGCACTAGTGAGGGGCATTGTGACTGCCTTGAACAGTTGCAACTTTGAGGTGAATAAAGCCTGTAATGGCTTCTGGTTGCAACATATAGGAACACAGTGGCTACTTTGTATTGAGGAGATGTCGTGGACTCACACAGAAACTCAGAGCTAAGGAATGATGGCAAATTTAAAGTAAGACAAGCAGGAGTCACAGATACATTGTCTGGGAAAGTGCAACTTAGTAGCTTTGTGAGTCCTGTTGTAATGCTTTTGGACACATTTATACATTAAGGGGCCAAAGTCACATTTTTTACCTATTAGATTCCTGATCATTCAGGGGTTACCAAGATTCTGCTACCCACTGTAGTTAATAAACAAAGAGCAAATTGGTCTCTATTCTGTCTCATGCACTCAGGCACAACTTTTCCGGATTAAAAACAAAAACAACAACAACAAAAATCTACACCTCCATTCCCAGATCAAGCTTACTCTCTGGCACCAAACTCCATGGGGTGATTTTTCTTCTAGAAGAGTCCAGGTGGACAGGTAAGGAGTGGGAGTCAGGGAGTCCAGTTCAGGGACAGAGATAATGGGATGAAAAGTGAAAGGAGAGGGACGGGGCCCATGCCGAGGGTTTCTCCCTTGTTTCTCAGACAGCTCCTGGGCCAAGACTCAGGGAGACATTGAGACAGAGCGCTTCGCACAGGAGCAGAGGGGTCAGGGCGAAGTCCCAGGGCCCCAGGCGTGGCTCTCAGAGTCTCAGGCCCCGAAGGCGGTGTATGGATTGGGGAGTCCCAGCCTTGGGGATTCCCCAACTCCGCAGTTTCTTTTCTCCCTCTCCCAACCTACGTAGGGTCCTTCATCCTGGATACTCACGACGCGGACCCAGTTCTCACTCCCATTGGGTGTCGGGTTTCCAGAGAAGCCAATCAGTGTCGTCGCGGTCGCTGTTCTAAAGCCCGCACGCACCCACCGGGACTCAGATTCTCCCCAGACGCCGAGGATGGCCGTCATGGCGCCCCGAACCCTCCTCCTGCTACTCTCGGGGGCCCTGGCCCTGACCCAGACCTGGGCGGGTGAGTGCGGGGTCGGGAGGGAAACCGCCTCTGCGGGGAGAAGCAAGGGGCCCTCCTGGCGGGGGCGCAGGACCGGGGGAGCCGCGCCGGGACGAGGGTCGGGCAGGTCTCAGCCACTGCTCGCCCCCAGGCTCCCACTCCATGAGGTATTTCTTCACATCCGTGTCCCGGCCCGGCCGCGGGGAGCCCCGCTTCATCGCCGTGGGCTACGTGGACGACACGCAGTTCGTGCGGTTCGACAGCGACGCCGCGAGCCAGAGGATGGAGCCGCGGGCGCCGTGGATAGAGCAGGAGGGGCCGGAGTATTGGGACCAGGAGACACGGAATGTGAAGGCCCAGTCACAGACTGACCGAGTGGACCTGGGGACCCTGCGCGGCTACTACAACCAGAGCGAGGCCGGTGAGTGACCCCGGCCGGGGGCGCAGGTCAGGACCCCTCATCCCCCACGGACGGGCCAGGTCGCCCACAGTCTCCGGGTCCGAGATCCACCCCGAAGCCGCGGGACCCCGAGACCCTTGCCCCGGGAGAGGCCCAGGCGCCTTTACCCGGTTTCATTTTCAGTTTAGGCCAAAAATCCCCCCGGGTTGGTCGGGGCTGGGCGGGGCTCGGGGGACTGGGCTGACCGCGGGGTCGGGGCCAGGTTCTCACACCATCCAGATAATGTATGGCTGCGACGTGGGGTCGGACGGGCGCTTCCTCCGCGGGTACCGGCAGGACGCCTACGACGGCAAGGATTACATCGCCCTGAACGAGGACCTGCGCTCTTGGACCGCGGCGGACATGGCGGCTCAGATCACCAAGCGCAAGTGGGAGGCGGCCCATGAGGCGGAGCAGTTGAGAGCCTACCTGGATGGCACGTGCGTGGAGTGGCTCCGCAGATACCTGGAGAACGGGAAGGAGACGCTGCAGCGCACGGGTACCAGGGGCCACGGGGCGCCTCCCTGATCGCCTGTAGATCTCCCGGGCTGGCCTCCCACAAGGAGGGGAGACAATTGGGACCAACACTAGAATATCACCCTCCCTCTGGTCCTGAGGGAGAGGAATCCTCCTGGGTTCCAGATCCTGTACCAGAGAGTGACTCTGAGGTTCCGCCCTGCTCTCTGACACAATTAAGGGATAAAATCTCTGAAGGAGTGACGGGAAGACGATCCCTCGAATACTGATGAGTGGTTCCCTTTGACACCGGCAGCAGCCTTGGGCCCGTGACTTTTCCTCTCAGGCCTTGTTCTCTGCTTCACACTCAATGTGTGTGGGGGTCTGAGTCCAGCACTTCTGAGTCCCTCAGCCTCCACTCAGGTCAGGACCAGAAGTCGCTGTTCCCTTCTCAGGGAATAGAAGATTATCCCAGGTGCCTGTGTCCAGGCTGGTGTCTGGGTTCTGTGCTCTCTTCCCCATCCCGGGTGTCCTGTCCATTCTCAAGATGGCCACATGCGTGCTGGTGGAGTGTCCCATGACAGATGCAAAATGCCTGAATTTTCTGACTCTTCCCGTCAGACCCCCCCAAGACACATATGACCCACCACCCCATCTCTGACCATGAGGCCACCCTGAGGTGCTGGGCCCTGGGCTTCTACCCTGCGGAGATCACACTGACCTGGCAGCGGGATGGGGAGGACCAGACCCAGGACACGGAGCTCGTGGAGACCAGGCCTGCAGGGGATGGAACCTTCCAGAAGTGGGCGGCTGTGGTGGTGCCTTCTGGAGAGGAGCAGAGATACACCTGCCATGTGCAGCATGAGGGTCTGCCCAAGCCCCTCACCCTGAGATGGGGTAAGGAGGGAGATGGGGGTGTCATGTCTCTTAGGGAAAGCAGGAGCCTCTCTGGAGACCTTTAGCAGGGTCAGGGCCCCTCACCTTCCCCTCTTTTCCCAGAGCTGTCTTCCCAGCCCACCATCCCCATCGTGGGCATCATTGCTGGCCTGGTTCTCCTTGGAGCTGTGATCACTGGAGCTGTGGTCGCTGCCGTGATGTGGAGGAGGAAGAGCTCAGGTGGAGAAGGGGTGAAGGGTGGGGTCTGAGATTTCTTGTCTCACTGAGGGTTCCAAGCCCCAGCTAGAAATGTGCCCTGTCTCATTACTGGGAAGCACCGTCCACAATCATGGGCCTACCCAGTCTGGGCCCTGTGTGCCAGCACTTACTCTTTTGTAAAGCACCTGTTAAAATGAAGGACAGATTTATCACCTTGATTACGGCGGTGATGGGACCTGATCCCAGCAGTCACAAGTCACAGGGGAAGGTCCCTGAGGACAGACCTCAGGAGGGCTATTGGTCCAGGACCCACACCTGCTTTCTTCATGTTTCCTGATCCCGCCCTGGGTCTGCAGTCACACATTTCTGGAAACTTCTCTGGGGTCCAAGACTAGGAGGTTCCTCTAGGACCTTAAGGCCCTGGCTCCTTTCTGGTATCTCACAGGACATTTTCTTCTCACAGATAGAAAAGGAGGGAGTTACACTCAGGCTGCAAGTAAGTATGAAGGAGGCTGATGCCTGAGGTCCTTGGGATATTGTGTTTGGGAGCCCATGGGGGAGCCCACCCACCTCACAATTCCTCCTCTAGCCACATCTTCTGTGGGATCTGACCAGGTTCTGTTTTTGTTCTACCCCAGGCAGTGACAGTGCCCAGGGCTCTGATGTGTCCCTCACAGCTTGTAAAGGTGAGAGCTTGGAGGACCTAATGTGTGTTGGGTGTTGGGCGGAACAGTGGACACAGCTGTGCTATGGGGTTTCTTTGCATTGGATGTATTGAGCATGCGATGGGCTGTTTAAGGTGTGACCCCTCACTGTGATGGATATGAATTTGTTCATGAATATTTTTTTCTATAGTGTGAGACAGCTGCCTTGTGTGGGACTGAGAGGCAAGAGTTGTTCCTGCCCTTCCCTTTGTGACTTGAAGAACCCTGACTTTGTTTCTGCAAAGGCACCTGCATGTGTCTGTGTTCGTGTAGGCATAATGTGAGGAGGTGGGGAGACCACCCCACCCCCATGTCCACCATGACCCTCTTCCCACGCTGACCTGTGCTCCCTCCCCAATCATCTTTCCTGTTCCAGAGAGGTGGGGCTGAGGTGTCTCCATCTCTGTCTCAACTTCATGGTGCACTGAGCTGTAACTTCTTCCTTCCCTATTAAAATTAGAACCTTAGTATAAATTTACTTTCTCAAATTCTTGCCATGAGAGGTTGATGAGTTAATTAAAGGAGAAGATTCCTAAAATTTGAGAGACAAAATAAATGGAAGACATGAGAACCTTCCAGAGTCCACGTGTTTCTTGTGCTGATTTGTTGCAGGGGAGGAGAGTAGATGGGGCTGTGCCCAGTTTCTGTTCTGGCCACCATGGGCTTTATGTGGTCACAGCTCACCTGGGTCATCTTTGCTGCTCCATTGTCCTTGGCCCTTCAGTAGAACCTTGTCCCACCAAGACCTGTGATCACAGGGAGTTGGATGTCACCTAGGGTGGTCCCTGCATACAAATCTCCTTGTGGTATCAAGAGACAAATTTTCAGACCTGTCCAGGTCTTGCCTTCCTCCCAGGGCTTTTTCCTTAATGGTATTTTCGATTTTTCTCCAATCTTTTTAAAGGAACCAGATTGTGACATTTGCAGAGAGGAGGGGTCCCATAGTTTCTCATCATGGTTAACTTTCTGTTGGAACTCCTCTTCTGCCCTCCTACTCTTCTTCCTGCTCTGAGTTGTAGTAATCCTAGTGCTGGCTCCAATCCAAACTCATAGATTTATAAAGCAGAGTCTAATTTAGATTCATATGTGGTTGGAAAATTGTACCCATAAGGCTAGGGTTATTGTTCCTGAAGAGAAATATATGGTTTTGTGCTGAAGTGTGCAGGAGGGTTGGTGTGGGAGGAGGGAGGACATACAAGCAGCCCTGGTGAGAAAAGCACTGGCGGCATGGATGTCCACGTGAACTTATGTTCTTTAGCTGCCACAAAACAGCATTTGCCCTGTGGCTACATTAATAAAGATATGGGCTTTAGAATAGGGAGGTGCTCTACAGTGATCATTCATTCAACTGACATTTGTTGTCTGCTAGGGATATGACTGCTTTTGCATTTAGAAAGCATCCTTAAAGTAAAAACAGAAAAATGTCTGGGGTTATGGTGCATACGTTCTAGATGCAGGCTTGTCCAACCCGCGGCTCGTGGGCTGCATGTGGCCCAGGACAATTTTGAATGTGAGGACTTTTTTGCTTATCTGTGGTGAACCTGAGTCCTGGAGTGAGTGCACCCACCTCCCTCAGGGTCAGGAGTGAATGCTTTAGGAACCCTCCTTTTCAGTGACCTGCAAAAGATAGAGGGCACATTTACTGTGATAACCCAGAGTATCAGCCAAGGGGGCTTGACCTTCAAGGAGTTGTGGGGAAGGTTAATAAAGGGTGGTGTCCCAGGGTCAGAAAAGATGGGCAGACAGCAAGGGCACTGCTTGATATCTATGATAAGCATGTGGAATTGAGGAGCAAGCTTCAGATTCAGAATCCAGTGACTAAGGACATATCTATATCCCTAAGAGAAAGAACCTTGGGACACGATGATGGTTATATGCTGGGACAATTCCATCAGCCCTTCTGCAAAGGAGCCTATAGCCATTTAATCAGGAGATGGGATAAGTATTAACATTGGGTGTGAGCTGACATTGCTGCCCAGATTCCTACAGCACCATTATGTCCCCCATCACACTGGGGCTTACAGAGGCCAGGGAATAAACCTAGATACATTATGCCCCATGGTGGAATCACCAGTTCCATAAATCCTGTCCTGGTTATCTCCCCATTCTCTGAGTGCATAATTGGCCTTGATGCACTGGCAACTGGAGTCACCCCACACTGTGTCCCTAGTCTGGAGAGTAAGGGATCTCACTGTGCTGAAGCCCAAAGGGAAACATCCCTCATCCAAGCCAAACCAGAAGCAATATTGTGCCTCAGGGTGGGTCTTGTGGAGGGTACTGCAGGTATTATAGGGGTGGCACTGCCATTACAGACCTGAACGATGTGGGGTGGTGTTGGGATTGCCTGTTATCTCCATATAACTCAGCAATCTGTACCTGCAGAAGCCTGATATGGCTAAAGAATGAATGGAATTACTCCAGACTTGACCAAGTAGGAGTCCTGATTGCAGCTGCCATGCTGGCTGGATATCACTGCCTGGGGAGATTAATAAGGCCTCAGGCACATGGCAAGCAGCTGTGGATTTGGTGAGTGCATTCCCTCCCATTTCATTTAGAAGATGGATATGGAATGATTCACATTCACATGGGATTTATAATACATTTATTGATAGCTTGCATCAGGGCTACCTTAACTCCTCAACCTTCTATAAATATCACCTTAAGAGACCTGGACGAATCAGACATCCCACAGAATACTAAATCTCTTCATTTCATTGGCAATATCACATAAATTGGGAAGGATGAACAACAGCAGGAAAGTACGCTGAATTCCCTGGCAAAACATGTGCACTACAGAAGGTGAAGATAAAACTTACAGAGCTTCAAGAGTGGCCACTGCAGTGAAGTGTTATGGGTCCAGTGGTTAGGGGCATGCAGAGCTCCCCGCCGCCACACACACACACAAAGTAAAAGACACACTTGCATCTTGCATCCTCACCAGAAGGAAGGATGCACACTACCTTGTGAGCCTCTCTGGGTTCTAGCAACACCACATTCCACATCTAAGTTTATTGCTTTGGCTGACACTCTGGGTGATATAGGAGGAGGCCAGCTTTGAGTGGGGCCTGGACTGGAAAGGACACTGCAGCAGACCCAGGCTGTGGTGCAGTCAGTCACCATCCCTCAGACCCCTGGTGCTGGAGGTGGCGGTCTGGGGAAAGAAGCAGGATGGAGCTGAACCAAGCATCAGTGGGAAAGTCAGAATGCAGGGCCTGGGATCAGGAGTAAGGCCATGGAGTCCACAGCAGAGAAACATGCTCCATGTTAGAAGCAACTTTTAGCATGTTACTGGCCCTGATAAGATAGAATGCTTGAGCATAGGACACCAAGCAACCATGTGATTCCAAGTGCCCGTGTGTATTGGCTTCTATGTGACCCATAGAGTCATTCACTGGACAGGCCCAGCGGCATCTATCATGAGACGAAAACGGTCCATGTCGGTTGAGCCTCAATTCCATGTTAACACCCACAGAAAACACCCAGTCCTGATGTGGCCCTGAATAACCAAACAAATTGAAGACAAATTGAAGTTAGCCAGTCTGCATCATGGATCAGCCCAGGCCTGATAGGAAGGACCCGTGAGTGGAGCAACCACAGTGGCAGGGATGAAGCTACAAATGAGTCCAGCAGCACTGTCTCTCCACTACCAAGGCCCACCCAGCTACTGCTTCCTCTGAATACTCTGCTCGTGAGCATTGCAGACCAATGATAGGCACCAATAGGGCACTATTTCTTAAAGTAACTGACTAGCCCCTAAGTGACAAGTTGAATAGCTTGAGCACCATCCATCCTGGAAGGGGCAGAAGTTTATCCTCACAGGGATAGGCTCACAGGGATGCGATGTGGTGTGGTTTTCCTCTCTGCTCTCAGACCCTCAGTCAACAACACTATTGGCATTCCTGATCCACTGGCTCAGAATTTCAGTACACTATCTGCCTGGGGGACACACCTGTTGGGGAAGGGGATGAAGTGTGGGCCCTGACCATGGGATCCCCTGGTCGTATCACCACCTGCGCCTCTCAAGTGCTGCCAGGCACACAGAGTCATGGACAGGACTCTACAGGCACAATTCAGTACCAGCTTGGATGAAACCCTCTGAGGAATGGGTGCCATCTTTCAGGATGTGATGCATGTATTGAATCAAAGACGTCTCTAAGGCACTGTTTTCAGAAGGAAGAATACGCGGGTCCAAAAACCAAGAAGTCAAAGCAGGTGTGTCTCATTCCTTATATTCACCCCCAGGGTGATTTACTTATAAGTAAATAAATACATAACATGAATACTTAAATAAATTTATTTATGCATGTATGTATGTATGTATTTATTTTATTCATTATATTCACCCCCAGGGTGATTTTGCTCTTCTTACTTCCAAAATCTGGACTCTGCAGGGTAGGAGGTCCTGGTTTCCCAAAGAGGGCACCCTGGCAAGGAGACAAATGAGAGTCCATGGAACTACACATTGTGGTTGCACCCAGGGATATTTGAATAGTATGTGCCCAGAGACAAGCAGGTGAGAAGAGGAGGAGGCAGCGCTGCTATCACACAATGAGGGCAGGAGAAGTGTGTGTGGAAACCAGGAATCCACTTGGGGACGTCCTGGTTTCCCTTGTCCGTTGTGTGAGCGGAATCATCCAGCAACCCAGCCTGAGAGGGTTTGATATTCAAGAGCCCAGAACCCTCAGGAAGGAAGGATTGAGTGATACTCCTAGGTAATGTCCCACGTCTCTGCTTCTGTGCTCTGACATCCTCAGCAGGATTAGTGCAGAAGCCCTGCTTCCATGAGTTGTTCCCAGCCAGTGACCGGTCACAGCAAGCACACTAAGGCAGGCCATTACTGGGAGACATGGGACTCCTCTGATGGCCAAATGTGGCTCCAGGACTCCTCCATGCCCTTCCTCAACTCTCCTTAGACTGCCTCTGCTCTAGGATGCGTCGAACAGACCTTGTCTCCTTCTGTCCAGCACTTGGGGTCACACTTGCATCATTGTCTGCCGCCTTTTCCAGGGATTTCTGGCTCGCGTCTCATATTCCCTTACAGGTGTGTCCCCTCATAAGATGCCGTAGACTTTAAGCTCATCTTGGCATCTGCTCCTTGGAGGACTTGGACTAAAAAGCATTGCCATGTGCACACCAATAACTCTTACTTATTCCAACCTGTAAAATCCATCTCTTTAACCAACTTCTGCCACCCCCATAAAATCTATTTTGCGCGCGTTCGTAGTATCTCTTTGAATTAACAGATATTTGTTGTATTAAGCCACTAAATTTTGAGGTAGTTTGTGACACAGCAGTTAATAACTATTAAGGCTTTCTTAAGTTTCTGTTATTCCATGGATGTTATCTACATCTTTTAATTTCCTGCATTTTAATAATATTAGCCACACTTGCTGTTTCTAATCCTTTCCTCCTATTCTTTTTTGAAAATGTTCATTTTGTCTTTCTCTGTCCTTCCATCTTTCTTTCCTCCTTTCCTCCCTCAGAGCTTTCTCCCTCCCTCCACTTTTTCATAAACTCTATGTGGTTAGGCTAAAAAGAATCACTATTTGAATCTTATGCTTAAAGTATAATGCCATAATTTACAGGATAAAAGTAAAGAAAAGGAAGGTATTAATGGAATATGAAAAAATGCCTAGGGTGATTCTGTAGCCAAGACAATGGTTTTTTAACATGTAATCTCCACCTTCAACTGAATGTTTTCAGAACACATGAGCAACATAAGTTCTTTCCCATTCTTGGTACAAGCACTTGGGAAATCAAATTAGCCTTATCTTGTATGATTAATGTCCATACACTGTATAATCCCACCATCTGCTCCTGATCATACACTCTGGGGATATCTTTGGCTATGTGTCCCAGAGACGTGTACACCAATGTTTATGGCAAAAAAACTGGAAACAATCACATATGCATCAATGGGAATTAACAAAATTCTGATATAATTACGAAAAGTAAAATTTTAGCAGTAAAAATGATTGAACAGCACCCTCCCACATCAGAGATAACTCTCCTACACATAACATGCATCACAGAAGAATACATATAGTGTGAGTTCTCTGTACAGCGAAGTTAAAAAAACAGGTCAGACTGTGATTTGGGTATATATATTTATTGTAAAAATCTTTAGAGACAGTGCAAAGGACTAGTAAATACAAGACTCAAGATAGAGGTTCCTTTTGGTGGATAGGATTGGGCAACAGTCTAGGGTGGCTTCATAGGTTCTGTTTCTTATGCCAGGAGAGGATGTCCAGGTAATTAGTTACTTGATCATAAATCTTTATTTATTTATTTATTCATTTATTTTTGAGATGGAGTCTCACTCTTGTTGCCCAAGCGGGAGTGCAATGGTGTGATCTCGTCTCACTGCAACCTCCGCCTCCCATGTTCAAGCGATTCTCCTACCTCAGCCTCTGAGTAGCTAGGATTACAGGCACCTGCCATGATGCCCGGCTAATTTTTGTATTTTTCGTACAGACTGTGCTTCACCATGTTGGCCAGGCTGGTCTCCAACTCCTGATCTCAGGTGATCCACCCACTTCGGCCTCCCAAAATGCTGGGATTAGAAGCATGAGCCACCACTCCTGGCCCACAAATATTTATAGTGGCAATTTTCAAAATGCACCTTGTGTGCCATTCCTGATTATTTGGAAATGAAAGAGAAAAGAAAACACAAAAGTTCATTGCAAGGATCCTTAGCAATAACTACATGAGTTAAAACAAAGCCACAGCCAATTGTAAGGAGCCATGTGACAGAGAGTACCAGGATGCCATGAAAAAATAGCCTTTGATAGAAATAGGTCATTTGATTCTTGGCTAATTGGCAACTCTCTACATTCTCTGGTGTACAATGTTCAATCTGATGTGCAAGGCAATTGTATCTCGCAAAGAATTTGAGAATTTGATATGTTGCTCAATTTTACCACGGATACAAGTGAATTAAACTTTTACAGAATAGAAAAAAAGCACTGTCGAGCAAAATAAATTAAATGAAAACACATAAAGGAATAACTAGTGATGAAATAGCAATACGAATGGAAAACACGAAAGAGCTTCTTTTACAGCAACATTAGAAGCACAAAATAACTGTATTTTTCAGAATCATACTGGAGTCCAAATCACTTCTACCACATCTAATTAAAAAACACAGCGAAAGATGTTAAATTGATCAATGGATGCACACTGAATACCCAGTTATTGAAAAATCGTGTTCCTAGATTGGAGTTAACCATTTCCGCCTACCACATCAAACCAAATCTTTGTCGTGATGCTAAGCTAGCTGTACAGACAAAGATGTGAGACACATTTTCTCTAACTGCAAAGCACCCTGATTAGGCAAATATTTTTGTAGAAGCTTGAGTAAGAAAATTGACATTTTGGGCATTCTTAAAAGGAATTAGTAGCTTCTGAGGAAAAAGAAAGATAGTTATGATTGTAAAGGCATTATTATACGGCACCAGTCGTGGGACTCTTTGGTCTAGCTACTGTATTTTCTCAACTTTCTTGCAACTCATCAAAGAGAACATTAATATTAAAGGCATTTGCAAAAAAAATCTGAGATATTGTTGTATCTCCATTCTCTGTCTCAAAGTTTTATTCATTACTTTACAAAAGATAATTTTAAAGTATTAAAGAAAATTAGTCAGATACAAGAAGTATTTGATTTACAAAATCCTGAAACAATAATGTTAATTGTGGTGCCAGCTACTTGGGAGGCTGAAGGAGGAGCATTGATGGCATGAGCCCAGGAGGTTGAGGCTTCAGTGAATCATGAGCATGCCACTGCATTCCAGCCAGGGCAACAGAGTGTTACTTTGTCTAAAAATAACTAACTAGCTAACTAACTAACTAAATAAATAAATAATGGAGGCAGTGCACGAGCCCTGGTGAAGGGCACTTTGGCTGCATTGAGCACTTGCAGATTTGAGGTGATTACATTCTGTACGTTACTTAACATGCATACTGTACATACTTAACATGCATATAAATTCTTTGATACTCCTCCTTGCAGAGGTGCAGCTTCATTCCCTTCCTGTGAGTGTGGCCTGAACTTAATGACTCACTTACAGACTGATAGAGTAATGTTGAGATAATAGTTTGTGACTCTGGGTGTAGATCATAAGACTCACTAAGTCTGGGAGCGGTCACTCACGCCTGTAATCCCAACACTTTGGGAGGTCAAGAGGGCAGATCATGAAGTCAGAAGTTCGAGACCAGCCTGGCCAAGATGGTGAAACCCCGTCTCTACTAAAAATACAAAAATTAGCCAGGTGTGGTGGTGCATGCCTGTAATCCCAGTTGCTCAGGAGGCTGAGGCAGGAGAATCACTTGAACCTGGAAGTCGGAGGTTGCAGTGAGCCAAGATCCAGCCACTGCATTCCAGCCTGGGTGACAGGGTGAGACTCTGTCTCAAAAAACAAACAAACAAACAAACAAACAAACAAACAAACAAAAAACTCACTGCAGCTTCCTACTTTGGTTCTGGTTTTCTCTTTCTCTGGGATCATGAGCCTTGGGGGAAGCCAGCTGCTGTGTCATAAGCAGGCCTGTGGAAAGCTCCAAGTGACTAGGAAGTGAGGCCTCCTGGGGCCAGACAATAAGAAGATGAAGCCTCTTCCAACAGCCACGTGGGATATTCTTGTGACTTGTGAATCCCCAGCCCCATTTGAGCCCTCAGATGATAAAGCCCTGGATGACAATTAGACCGCAATTTTGTGAGTGGCCCTGAGCCAGAAGAACTTTGAGAAAACTTTCCTGGATTCCTGACCACTAGAAACTGTGGGACATGATAAATATTTGTTGATTTTAGTTGCTAAGTTTTAAGTGACTTGTTATGCATCAGTAGATAACTAACACACCTTCACAAGAGAGGATGAATCATTGAATTTTTCATTTGCTCTAAATTGATTATAAGATATTAAACATGTCATTTGCTTTTAATATTTAACAAGAATTTTCATGGTTATATAAGATATATTTTATTATCACTAACAATGATCAATTTTTTTTACCTTCAATTTGTATGTTCTATTCAAACACAAAAGGAAGAGCCAGGCTATGCTAGGGTGATTCTATGATGACACCCCAATAACCACCCTTGGTTGCTCACATTACCCCAGTTACTCGGTTGACACTAATGTAGGTGCTGCTGTGAAGGGATTTTGCAGATGTATTCCAGGTCCCCTGTCAGTTGGCTTTAAGATGGGGATTATCCTGCTTGGACTGTCCTAATCAGGTAAGCTCTGAAAAGGACTGGGTTCTTCCTGAGAATAGAGACTCACAGTGTGAGAGGGATTCAGTGTGAGGGGCTTCCTCCATTGTGGGCTTTGAAAATGGTGGGATCATGGTGAAAGAACACTGGTGGCCAATAGGAAGTAGAAGCCCTCCCCACTGTCTACTCTGATAGCCTGAAGGAAACAGGGACCTTAGTCCTACAATTACCAGAAACCGAATTCTGCCAACGAGCTCTATATAAGCTTGGGGGAGAATCCCAATCTTAAGATGAGGATACAGCTTTGCGAAACCCTGAACAAAGAATCTCTGACACTAGGCCTGGATTTCTGATGAAGGAAATGCAGAAAAATAAATGAGTGCTCTTTTAAGCCACTAAGTTTGTGGTAATTGGTTATGTACTAATAGAAAATTCATAAACAGATTCAACAGCTAAGCATATGACATTTCCTCCAATGGAATGAATTTATGAACTGATATGCATAGTAGTTGCATAAAACCAAATGTTTCCTAACTTGCTTTGCATTTTTCATTTTGTGATTTTTGTGTGATACAATTTTTAACACAATCATATTTCATTCACTCAAGAAAATTAACTTAGTGCCTACTATGTGCCAGATATGCTTTTAGATGCTGCAGACACAACTTTGATCAAAACAACCCAAAGCCCCTGTGCTTGTGCCTTCCATTTTAGAGGCTTCTTGAGAGTGAGATGGAGCCATTGGAGTGTTTTAAGTGAAGAAATGACACAATCTGACTCACATTAGCAGGATTTCTGACCATTGTTGGGAGAACAGTCATGGGCAGCAGGCGAGGGGACAGAGCTAGGGCCGCAATTCAGTAGTGACAGAGTAGTAGAGACTAAGGGGAGAGGAGGGCCTGATGGGTGACAGGGACAGAGAGAAGGGCTGGAGAAGCAGGAGGTGAGGTAAAGGAACAGAGAGAAAGAATTCTAAAGCAATGGAATTCTCAGACTTAAACACAGGGTTTTATAGATTTTTAATCCATTTATCCTCAGAGCCTGGCACAGTGTTACTTGCACCTTGGTCTTTAATACATTCTGTGGGGCTGTCTAATAACTAATTGCCTCCTTATGATAAACAGGTTAGAAAAGAATACCAGGTGTCCCAATAAAATATGCACATAGCTTAGATGTGAATAATTCCTAAATATAGGCAGGTGCATGAGATGGTCATTGTGGCTCATGCCTGTAATACCAGCATTTTGGGAGGCTGAGGCAGGAGGATCATTTGAGCTCAGGAGTTCAAGACTAGCGAGAGCAACATAGGGAGACCTCATTTCTACAAATTTTTTTTTAGAAAAATTAGCCAGGAGTGGTGGTACAAGCCTGTGGTGCCAGATACTTGGAGGCTGAAGGAGGAGCATTGATCGCATGAGCCCAGGAGGTCGAGGCTTCAGTGAGTCATGAACGTGCCACAGCACTCCAGCTAGGGCAACAGAGTGATACTCGGTCTAAAAATAACTAACTAACTAAATAAATGATAAATAAAGGCGGTGCATGAGCACTGGTGAAGGGCACTTTGGCTGCATTGAGCACTTGCAAATTTGAGGTGATTAAATTCTGTACAGGCTCCTGGTTGCAATATACGGTAACACATTGTGCTTTGTATTGAGATGTCCTGGACTCGCGCACACAAACTCAGGGCTATAAGATAAAGATAATTTAAAAATACAACAGACCAGAGTCACAGATACACAGTCTGGGAAAGTAAAACTTAACTTTGTGAGTCTAACTGCAATGCGTTTAGACACATTTATATATAATGGGGCCAAAAATCACCTCTTTTACAAATTAGATTCGTGACCATTCAGGGGCTACCAAGATTGTGCTAGCCACTGTACTGCGCTACCCACTGTTACTAAGATTGTGCTACTCCGCTGCGGGACCAGCGGAGATCCTCCACCCAATAAAAGCCCCAGGCGCCTATACCGGATTCCATTTTCAGTTCAGGCCCAAATCCCCGGGGGTTGGTCGAGGCTGAGGCGGGGCTCCGTCGAGGCTGAGGCGGGGCTCAGCGGCCTGGGCTGACCGCAGTCGCTGGGAATGGGTCTCACACCCTTCAATGGGTACACAGCTGCGACGTGGACTCGGACTGCAGTCTCCTCAGTGGGTATGAACATACCCTATCACGGCGCCAGTTACCTCGTCCGAAACCAGGAACTGCGCTCTTGGACTGCAGCGGACAAGGCGGCTCAGATGCCCTGGCGGAGGAACAGGCAGAGCTGCTCAAAACCTACCTGCAGGGAAGGTGGGCGGAGTGGCTCAGCAAAGTCCTTAAGAATGGGAAGGAGAGGCTGCAGTGCCCAGGTACCAGTGGCCACGGGGTGCCTCCCTGATCTCCTGCAGATCTCCTTGAGTCACATTCCAAAAGAAGGGAAGGAAAATGGGACCAACGCTAAAATATCCCTCTCCCTCTTGTGAGGAGGAAGAGTCCTCCCGGGTTTTCAGATCCTATACTAGAGAGTGACTGAGGGCCTGCCCTGCACTCTGGGACAGTTAAAGGATGTAGTCTCTGAGGGAAAGGAGGGGAAGACAATCCCTGAAATACTGATCCGCGGTCCCCTTTGTCCCCACAGCAGCCTTGGGCACCAGGAATTTTCCTCTCAGGCCTTGTTCTCTGCCTCACACTCAATGTGTATTTGTGGGTCTGATTCCAGCTTTTTTGACCTCGGCCTCCGCTCAGGTCAGGACCAGAAATCTCTGTTCCGGCCTCAGACACTAAAACTTTCTAAGGAATAGAAGATTGCCCCAGGTGCCTGTGTCTAGACTGGTGTCTGAGTTGCTCCCTTCCCCACTTCAGGTGTCCCGTCAATTTTCAGGATGGTCCCATGAGGTGGAATGTCCCATGAGGAATGCAAAGTGCCTGAATTTTCTGACTCTTCCCCTCAGAACCCCAAAGACTCACATGACCCACCACCCCATCTCTGACCATGAGGCCACCCTGAGGTGCTGGGCTCTGGGCTTCTACCCTGTGGAGATCACACTGACCCAGTAGTGGGATGGACAGGACCAAATGTAGGATGCAGAGGTTGTGGAGACCACACCTGCAGGGTACAGAACCTTCCAGAAGTGGGCAGCTGTGGTGGTGTCTTCTGGAGAGGAGCAGAGATACACATGCCATGTGCAGCACGATGGGCTGCCAGAGCCCCTCACCCTGAGATGGGTAAGGAAGGGGATGAGGGGTCATGTCTCTTCTCACGGGAACTAGGAGCCCTTCTGGAGCCCTTCAGCAAGGTCAGGGTTTGAGGCCTGATGGTCAGGGCCCCTCACGTTCCCCTCCTTTCTTACAGCTGTCTTCCCAGCCCACCAGCCCCATCATGGGCATCGTTACTGTCCTGGTTGTTCTTGGTGCTGTTTTCACCAGAGCTGTGGTCACTGCTGTGATGTGAAGAATAAGAGCCCAGGTAGGAAAGGGGTGAGCTCCGAGTTTTCTTCTTCCATTGGTGGATTCCCAGCCCCAGATGGGAGTTGGCTTGTATCCTGCCTAGTCATGAGGCACCATCTCTGTCTATCAACACTTACTCTTTTGTAAAGAACTTGTGAAAATGAAGGACAAATTTATCACCTTCATTGGAGTCATGGGAACCTGACTCCCAGCAGTCACAGGTCAGGGGAAGGTACCCGCAGAGGACAGACCTCACTAGGACAATTAGTCCAGTTTCAACACATCCTCTTACCTAGGGTTTCCTGATTCTGACCTGGGTCTGCAGTCACAGTTCTGGACACTCCTCTGGGATCTCATGACCCTGCTTCCTCCCTGGCCTTTCACAGTTTATTTTCTTTCCACAGATGGAAAAGGAGGCAGCTATGCTAAGGCTTCATGCAAGTGTGGTAGGGGTGGGAAGAGTGATCCCTGAGATCCTTGGGATAGTGTAGACAGGAGCCCATGGGGGAGCTCACCACCCCAAAATTCCTCCTTTAGTCACATCATCTGTGGGCTCTGACCAGATTTTGTTTTTGTTCCACCCGAAACAGGGACAGTACCCAGGGCTCTGATGTGTCTCTCAAGGCTTGTAAAATGACAACTTAGGGGGCCTGAAGGGAAGGAGGAGTTGGGGCATAGGGGACACAACTAGGCTCTGGAGATTCTTTGATTTGGAATTTTTCAGGGTGTGGTGGGCTGTTCAGTGTCACAACTTACTATGACTGATCTGAATTTGTTCATGACTATTTTTTTTCTAAGACTGCCTTGTGAGGGACTGAGATGCAAGATTTGTTCATGCCTCCCCTTTGTGACTTCAAGGGCCTCTGTCTTCTCTTTCTGCCAAGGTGTCTGAATGTGTCTACATCCCTGGTATCATGTGAGAAGTGGGGAGACCAGCCCACCCTCATGTCCACCATCACCCCTGATATTGTTTGGATCTGTGTCTCCACCCAAATCTCATGTTCACTTGTAATCACTAAGGTTGGAGGTGGCACCTCAGGGAGGTGATTGGCTCATGAGGATGGATCCTTCATGAATAGTTTAGGACCATCTCTTTGGTGCTGTTCTTGTGATAGTTCTCACAACGTCTGGTGTTTAAAAGTGTGTGGTACCTCCCTGCTCTCTCTCCCTCCTACTCCAGGCTTGTAAGTCATGCCTACTTCCCCTTAACCTTCCAGCATGATTGAAAATTTCCTGAGGTCCTCTCATAAGTTGAGCAGATGCCAGAATCATACTTTCATATAGCCTGCAGAACCATGAGCCAATTTAAACCTTCTGTCTTTATAAATTACCCAGTCTCAGGTATTTCTTTATAACAGTTGAGAATGAATAATTCAGAAAATCGGTACCAGAAGTTGGGTACTGCAATAAACGTAGCTGAAAATGTGAAAATGTCTTTGGAACTGGGTAACAGGTAGAGGTTGGAAGAGTTTGGAGAGTTTAGAAGACAAGAAAATGGGGGAAAACTTGCAACTTCCTAGAGGTTTGTTAAATTGTTGTGACCAAAATGCTGATAGTGATATAGACAATAGAGCCCAGGCTGATGAGGTCTCAGATGGAGATGAGGAACTTACTGGGACCTAGAGAAAAGGTCACTTTTGTTATGCATTGGCAAAGAACTTGGAGGCATTCTGCCCCCTCCTTAGGGATCTGTGGAACTTTGAACATGAGGGTGATGATTAAGGGTATCTGATAGAAGAAATTTCTAAGCAGCATAGCATTCAAGATTTGGCTTCCTGTTGTAATAGTCTATGCACATATGTGTGAGCAAAAAAATGATCTGAAACTGGAACTGATATTTAAAGGGGAAATTTAATATCCAGGACAATTCCCAGTGGAGCTGCAGGAGCAGGACCCCTATCAGGACTACTAAATGGTGGAGCCACTGGCAATGTGCAAGCTCAGCTTGGAAAATCCATAGGTATTCAATTTTCACCCATGAGAGCAGCTATATGGGTTATGTTCAGCAAACCCAAGGATGTGGGGCTGCAAATGGCATTGTGAGCCCACCACTTGAACCAGTGTGCTCAGGATTCAAGATATAGGGTCAAAGGAGATTATTTTAGAGCTTTAAATTTTAACATCTTCCATGATGAGTTTCAGCTTTGTGAGGACACTGCATTCATTTCTTTTGGCCCATTTATTCCTTTTAGAATGGAAATGTATAAGAAATGTCTCTTCCACTCTTGTATTAATATTTTAGAAGTAAATAACCTTTTTAAAACTTTACAGGCTCACAGCTATAGGGACTTACCTTGAGTCTCAGATGAGACTTTGGAATTTTGAGTTGATGCTGGAACAACCTAGCACATTTGGGACAATTGGGAAATTATCATATTTTGCAATGGGAGAAAAACATGAGCTCTGGCTGGCTAGGGACAGAATGTAATGATATAAATATTTACCCCCGATACCTCATGTTAAAATCTGACCCCCAGTGTTGGACGTGGGGCCTAATGGGTGCTGTTTGGGTCATGGGGGCCAATCTTTTATGAATAAAGAGATCCTGTCCTCTCTCGCAAGTGAATGAATTGTTACTCTTTTAGTTTCCAAGAGAGACAGTTGTTAAAAAGAGCCTGGCAACTTCCTAAGCTCTCTGTTCCTCTCTTACCGTGTGATCTCTGCACATACCAGCTCCCCTTTGCCTTCTGCCATGAGTGGGAGCAGCCTGAGGCCCTCACCAAATGCTCAAACATTTCCAGACATCAGAATCCCAAGCCACATGAACCTTGTTTATATAAATTAGTCAGTCTCTGACATTTCTTTATAGCAACACAAAATGGAATAAGACAGCGCTCTCATCACAGGTATGTGTCTCTGGCATTCAGCCCCCATTCTCAAGATATCCAGGGTCCGCTCAGCCATGAGTCCTCTCATCAATATTCTAACTCTTATCACTCAAGAGATTCTAAGGTTTTTAGGAGAAACCAGGGACAAAGACTAAATGTTTTTGTTATACCTCAGATTACCCGCTTTTCTTTGACCACATATCTTTTATAGGAAAAGGATTATAAAAGTAAAGAGGTATTGGCGTATTATCAGAGTCTCATTCAGTCATTCAAAATTAGAACAGTTCACCATCCTCTCGTATGAATATGTCTCCCAGAATGAAGTCACTCAGGTTTGCAGACACCACTCAACCTTACCAGGCTCCAAAAACAAGAATGGTCTCAAGGACATATGGCTTCACTCTTTTAGGCACCCAGTATAATTGACCTAAGAGACAATATCTTCTCTTGCTCACAGCACTTTTGAGGAGTTAAGCTAATATTGAATTTTCCTCATTATATAACCCTTTGATTTAGTCACTTACCCTCAGCCATTATTCCTCCTTCTGTCCCTTTATATCAGTCTTTTCCAGTTTTAGAGGTGACATCAGGTTTGTCTGCTGTGCTGACCTAGACTGCAGGCAGCAATAGTATTCTAGCATGCCTTCCCTCGGTCTACTCTTGGTCATAGAGGGTAGGTTATGTAGGTAAGGAACTAGTGGGGGCCATCTGACCACCAGGCTATATAGCTCTATTTACTGTTAATCCTGACTTTGCCAGATGAAATGAAGGCATAGCACCATCTTTGAGTTGCTTGAGAATTCTTATATAAAGATGTAAATATATAGTTATGGTTTTTGGCTTAAAGATAATTCCTGTTTCTGGCACTTTGATTTTCATCCCTATTCCTGGTACCACTGCATCACATATGAAAAAAGAAATTTGAGGTGAAGCGTAGTCATTATTCCAGCATCCTCTCCCCTTCAGAAGAATTGTATGTATAGTCATAACAGCATCATCCTGATCCATCAGGTAAAAGAGAGGAAGCTATCTAGAGGAGTCACTCTTGCAGCCCCACCCATGTGGACAGTGAGCACATTCATGAAGATGTAAAAGCCAGTCCTTCATGTTTATATTGCCCAACAACTATATTGCCAGTTTTTAGACAAACAATGCTTCAACTGACCATTTCAATTTTCTATCAAAGTTTTCTTCTGAGGAGGACATCTCCCTGTGCATTGTTAGCCATTTGAGGCTGTAAAGTGTGTTTTCTTGCGTAAAGAAATGGGACTCAGCAGTCCACATTGGTGCAATCTCTTTTTTTCTGGTGATTTCATAGCCCTTGAAGCATTGACCTCTTCCCCTGGTTGAGCATAGCCCAATCCAGAGTCAGTGACTTTCCTGTCAAGATCCCTTGGCAGCTCCTTTGGGGTTGCTGCCATCAGTCTGGCTTGCCAGCCATGTATGATCAAAGCCTTCCCACTAGAGAATCACATAGCCATCTGCTGCCTCTGTCTGTTTTCTTGACCAACAGTCAAAACAGAGATGATAAGAAATGAGATAAATTACCAAAATTGTGAACAAAAGAGAGATTATCACTAGTGACCCTTTAGAAATTCAAAAGCATTATAAGTGAAGACTCTGAAAAACCTGAAGTCAATAAGTTAGACCACTTAGATAAAATGGACAGATTCATACAAAGATAGAAATTGCCAAAACTGACTCAAAAATAACTAGAAAACCTGAAATAAGGAAAAACAAAAAATAATAATGTATTGCTTGCTGTTTTATCTGGCCTAAAAAGCCCATTTGTCAGCCTTCAGTCCTTTGGCCTAAGTTTAGCTCAAATAAGGACTGTATATGCCAAGCTTTAATTCTCTATGTGAATGATAAAACCCCATCTTCACAAGAGGAGATGGGTTATGCTGTTTGTTGGATTAGTGAATTAAGCCCCGTGTTCCCCCTTAAAGAGAAATAAAAAGAGCATAGTAAAGAGCCCTCACCCAGTGAAAAGCCCTGGGATCCCCTAACACGCTTGCCCTACACCCTATACATCTCACAAAGTAGAGGACAGGGAGATCAGGGGGCAAAAGGAAGGTCGGAGGAAAAGGATTTGGGAGGTCATGAAGGAGCTAAACCCAATGCTCCCTTAAATCCTTATCCAAACTTGAGGAAAGAATTAGAACAATGTAAGGAAGGACAAACCTGATAAAAACAAGCAATGGGGAAAGGATTCCCGATTTAATAAATGGTGTTGGGAAAACTGGCTAGCCATATGCAGAAAACTGAAACTGGACCCCCTCCTTACACCTTATACAAAAATCAACTCAAGATGGATTAAAGACTTAAACATAAGACCTAAAACTGTAAAAACCCTAGAAGAAAACCTAGGCAATACCATTCAGGACATAGGCATGGGCGAAGACTTCATGACTAAAACACAAAAAGCAATGGCAACGAAAGCCAGAATTGACTAATGGGATCTAATTAAACTCAAGAGCTTCTGCACAGCAAAAGAAACTATCATCAGAGTGAACAGGCCACCTATGGAATGGGAGAAAATTTTTGCAATCTGTCCATCTGACAAAGGGCTAATATCCAGAATCTACAAAGAACTTAATTTACATGAAAAAAACAAACAACTCCATCAAAAAGTGGGCGACGGATATGAAAAGACACTTCTCAAAAGAAGACATTTATGTAGTCAACAAACATATGAAAAAAGGCCCATAGTCACTTATCATTAGAGAAATGCAAATCAAAACCACAATGAGATACCATCTCACACCAATTAGAATGGCGATCATTAAAAAGTCAGGAAACAACAGATGCTGGAGAGGATGTGGAGAAATAGGAACGCTTTTACACTGTTGGTCGGAGTGTAAATTAGTTCAACCATCGTGGAAGATAATGTGGCAATTCCTCAAGGATCTAGAACCAGAAATACCATTTGACCCAGCAATCCCACAATCCCACTACTGGATATATACCCAAAGGATTATAAACATTTTACTATAAAGATACATACACACATATGTTTATTGCGGCACTGTTCACAATAGCAAAGACTTGGAACCAATCCAAATGCCCATCAATGATAGACTGAATAAAGAAAATGTGGCACATATACACCATGGAATACTATGCAGCCATAAAAAGGATGAGTTCATGTCCTTTGCAGGGACATGGATGAAGCTGGAAACCATCATTCTCAGGAAACCATCAGCTACGTGTTCTCTGGGTCTCTCAGAGAAAGACCCACAAGAACAGAAAACCAAACACTGCATGTTCTCACTCAAATGGGAGTTGAACAATGAGAACACATGGACACAGGGAGGGGAACATCACACACTGGGGCCTGTCTGAGGGTAGGGGGCTAGGGGAGGGATAGCATTAGGAGAAATACCTAATGTAGATGATGAGTTGATGGGTGCAGCAAACCACCATGGCACATGTATACCTATGTAACAAACCTGCATGTTCTGCACGTGTATCCCAGAGTTTAAAGTATAATAATGATAATAATAATAAATTGGATTTGTAAGTGTGCCTTTAACAAGTACTGAGGTTAGGAATTTTAAAAAGGAAATGAGGCCACTCTCGGAAGATCCCCTCAGTTTAGCAGAACAGCTAGATCAATTTTTAGAACCAAATTTTTATACTTGGGCTGAGATAATTCAATCATGAATATTCTGTTTACTGGGAAAAAGACGGGAATAATTAGAAGGGCAGCCATAATCATTTGGGAGAGACAGCAGCATCCTCCTGGGTAAGGAGTCCTGCCAGCTAAGCAGAAATTCCCAAATGCAGATCCTGGATGGGATAATAATGACCCCAGGGATCGGGTCCAAATGCAAGACCATAGGGAGCTAATAATTAGAGGGATTATGCAGTCCACTCATAGGACACAAAACGTCCCCAAAGCATTCAAGATCCAACAACAAGAAGAGGAGACTCCCTCTGCATTTCTGCAGAGGCTCAGGGATCAAGTGAAAAAATATTCAGGATTAAATCCAGAGGACCCAGTAGGGCAAGGCCTTTTAAAGGTTAATTTTGTAACTAAAAGCTGATGTAATATTACTAAGAAACTGCAAAAGATTAACGGATGGAATAAAAAACCAATTAAGGAAATACTGAGGGAAGCTCAGAAAGTTTGTGTGTGTGTGTGAGAGAAAGAGAGAGAGAGAGAGTTAAGCTGCTATACCTGAAGGAAGAGAGAGCCAGCGGCACAGCTGTGTGTGGCAGCTGGCTTCTAAAAGCTGTTGATAAAGGTTACTGCTGAGTCATTTCCGCAGAGCTGCCTGTTTTTGCAGACAGACAAGGGGAGCCAGGGCACAGCACGGCTCGGCTCATGCCCAGAGAAAGAGGAAGAAGCTGAGTGTGAGACAGAAAGGAAATGGGATGGCAGAGAGAGAATAGAAGAGGAAAATTAGCAAGAGAGACTAAAAGAGACAGAGATCAAAGAGAAACACAGAAGGTAAAACTGGGGAGACAAATAATGTAAAAGGAAAAAAGAGTACAAGACAAAGTGAGAGAATGCTGAGAGGTTGGCAGGGCTGGGGGAAGTTTCTGGGGACTTAAGCAACAAGGAGGTGCAGGGGAAGGGTGCATGCAGTGCGTGGCCACTGAGGAACGACAAAACCCGGGAACTGGGGGATGGATGCAAGTGAGAAAGGGATGTGGAGGAGAGTTTAGGATCAGGCTGCCTGAGGTGTAATGGGTTGCCTACAGCAAAAACTAGATGGCTGTTTATCAGGAGGTGGTCAAAAGGATTCAAGTTATGGAAGAGTAAATGAATAAGATAACATTAAGGTTTTGTTGTTGTTTTAGTGAGAGGCTGGAAGGCCACCAGGGGCAGTTAGCTGTCAGTAAGGCAGCAGAAGGGCTGGGGTCGCTACATAAGGAAAATCAGTACTAGGGCTGTAAACTCAAATGACTACAGGGCCAGCAAATAATAAAAAGGAGGGCTGCAGGGCTGGGTGGGAACTGTGGCGGCTGCTCAGCTCTTCTTACAGTGCTGGCACTGTGTTTTCAGATTGTCTGCTTTGTCAGAGGACAAAATTCTGACTTTTTATGTAAAATATAATTTTAAAATGCTGATATTCTGTTCAAATAACTTAAAAACCCAAAACAGGCAAAAGAGGATGCCAGTTTGCAATCCCTGAAGTAGAGAGAGCTCGTGCTGGGGAAAAGTCTGCCAAAATGCTTTAAGGTGGAATGTGTAAAAGTTCTGTTTCCCAGAGTCGGGCTGGGCCAGGGGAGGATCCTTGCAGCCCAGGAGGAGGAAAAGCCACTAAGTCCCCTCCCAGGGCTGGACAAACTGGAGACCCTTTACAGTTGCTGGGTCACCAGTGGGGGTTGCTTGAAACACAAACAGTGCACCTCTAGGCCTGCCACGGAGAGGAACGGTGCCTTTGAAGCACAAAAAAAAAAAAAAAACAGGAAGGGAGGGCGGAGCCAGAAATGCCTTTTCTAATGAGAGTACCCATCAGGGAAGGCTCCATAGGCTGGCAGATCTTCAAACCAGCAGCTCTTGGCCCAAAGCCAAACCCAGCAGGGCCCGGCCAAGGGCACTCTGGGATGCCAGCTGATCAGTCCCTTGCCTCCCCAAGACCTCCTGGGGTCAATGGGCCCTCGGGAGGTGACTAAACTAACACCAGCCAGTTTCTTATGAAAAGGAGAGGAGAATAAGAAGGCGTCAGAGTATAACTGTTTAGATATCACAGAGTATCAAACTAAAGTTAGTACCAAACCTTAAAGGAACTCTACTACATAATGGGATGAGGTTGTTTATGAATGGGTCATCCTGAGTAATAAATGGTAAAAGACACAATGGCTGTGCTGTCATGAACAAAAACAAACAATCCTTATGTGAAAAAGTTAAATTACTCAATAACTGGTCAGCCCAAACCTGTAAATTTTATGCTTTTAACCAAACCCTAAAGCTCCTAGAAGATCAAGAAGACACTATATATACTAATTCCAAATATGCCTATAAAGTAGTACACACCTTTGAAAAAATCTGGACAGAGCAGGGCCTAGAAAATAGCAGGGCAAAATAATTGGTACATGGGGAACAAGTTTTAGAAAGCCTCCTGTTTCCAGCAGAGACAGCCATAGTTCATGTAAATGGCCATCAGAAAAGAAACACTATAGAAGCTGTAGGGAACAGGCTTGTGGATAAGGCTGCTAAGCAAGTCTCCCTGGAGGAAAAATTTAAACTGTTTAGCCCAGATATCCCTAAGGTGATATTAAAACCCCAATTTTCAAAAGAGGAGGAAAAGCTAGGCAAGATAGGAGCCACTTAAACTAAGAATGGAAGGTGAGTGCTCCCTGATGGGAGAGAAATAATAAACAAACCCATAATAAAAAATCTAATGTTGGCCGGGTGCGGTGGCTCATGCCTGTAATCCCAGCACTTTGGGAGGCGGAGGCGGGTAGATCACAAGGTCAGGAGATCAAAACCATCCTGGCTAACACAGTGAAACCCTGTCTCTACTAAAAATACAAAAAAGTAGCCGGGGCGTGGTTGTGGGTGCCTGTAGTTCCAGCTACTCGGGAGGCTGAGGCAGGAGAATGGCATGAACCCAAGAGGTGGAGCTTGCAGTGAGCCGAGATCGTGCCACTGCACTCCAGCCTGGGTGACAGAGCGAGATTCTGTCTAAAAAAAGAAAAAAAAAATCTAATGTCTATATTGCATAAGGGAAGTCATTGGGGTCCCCAGGACATGTGTGATGAAATACTAAAGAATTATGGGTGTATAGAAATGTATGCCCTGGCTAAACAAGTGTGTGGGAATTGTGTGAACTCCCAGGAAACAACTTAAGGTTAAAAGAACTTGTAACACAAACCCCACCCCTTGAGTTCACAGTTCACCACTTCCAGCCTGGCAACTCAGTGCTAATTAAGACTTGGAAAGAAGACAAGCTCCACCCAAGCTGGGAAGGTCCTTATCAAGTGAGGCAGCTGTACAAACAGCTGATCAGGGGTGGACACATTACACTCGGGTCAAGAAACTGGTTAAAAAAAAAAACGGAAGGTAAATTGGAAGTGTATAGATCACCTAAGAAACCCTTTAAGCTAATTCTAAGGAAAACCTAAAAGTAAGCCATAAGCAGGCTCCATCACTGGGGGCTGATATGGTTAGAATTAATCCTAACACAAGGGGTGAAAGGAAACCTAAGTATTGTATAAGAACCACACGCCACCTAACTGTAAAAATTTAAAGTGCAATCCTATATTAATTACTATAAACAACCCAGCTACTCTAAACCAGAAATCTTGAAGGTATAAATTAAAAATAAATATCTCAGAAAGGAATCCCGTGGGACGGTTAGCTTTTAGGTTAGTCACCAACTCTACCCCAAGCCCACCCAGAATTACTAGAACTCCTGGTCCCATTAACTTCCTTTAACCCACCAAACAATAAACCTAAGAGAGTAAAAATAATTAAAGTAACTGACTTAAGGCAGACTTTAAAAATTAAAACAGGATATAGAGACATAAATGCCTGTGTTAAATGGGTGAAATTTTCAGCACAAGCCCTCGATAAAAGTAACTGTTATGCATGTGCTGCTGGTCAACCTCAGGCACAGGTGGTTCCATTTCCCCTTGGAGGGGATACTAATCCCAAAGGAATGTGTTGCGTGTTGGCTGTATACCAAGACAAGGTTGCATGGGGAAATAAGACTTGTAAAAGTCTGTCATTGCTCTTTCCCACTTTGCAGAGATCAGATCCTAAAGCAATCCCCTCATTCTCTATAGGGAATATAAATCACTCCTGTTGTCACTCTAGACAGAAGGTGAGGTTCGATAAACCTGTGGGAAAACTCGCAACCTGCACCCACATCCTAAATGTCACTGGTAACCCAGACTGTGGCAACCATTCAACTCTCCATATACCCCAGGCAAATGTCTGGTGGTATTTCGGGAAAGGGAACCTCCGTAACTTGTTACCGTCCAATTGGACCGGGACTTGTGCTTTAGTACAATTGGCCATTCCGTTCACCCTGTCATTCCATGAAACAGCTAAAAATACACATGGTCATAGAGATCAGAGTAATTTAGCAATTTATTTTAACCCATATATAATGTGTGTGTGTATATATATATACACACACACACACACAAACATATACATATACATATATATACACACACATATATATATACACACACACACACACATATATATATATACACACACACATACACACAAGGCTTCTGGAACAGTGGATGAAAGCTTTGTATATCTATCTATCCATCTATCTATCTATTTATCTATCTAAACTCCATAGGAGTACCTAGAGGAGTGCCTAATAAATTTAAAGCACGAAACCAAATACCTGCTAGATTTGAGTCAGCACTTTTCTGGTGGTCAACTATTAACAAGAATGTAAATTAGATTAATTACATGTCTTATAATCAGCAAAGATTCATCAATTACACGCAAAATGCCCTTAAGGGAGTAGCCAGACAACTAAATGCCACTAGCTAAATGGCTTGGGAAAACAGAATTACACTGGACATAATATTAGCAGAGAAAGGTGATATATGTGATATGCTGGGTGGAAAATGTGACACTTCCATTCACAACAATGCTGCCCCAAATGGAACCATCATAAAGGGATGGCAGGGACTAACAACTCTAGTCAACGAGCTGGCAGAAAACACAGGAGTAAATGACCTTTTTACTAACTGGTTAGAAGGTTGGTTTGAAAAATGGAAAGGAATGGTACCTTCAATTCTTACATCTCTCGTGATTATGGCTGGGGTCTTAACAGCCATAGGATGTTGTATCATACCTTGTGTGAAGGGTTTATTTAACACAAAGGTTAATTAAAGCAGCTATTAGTAAACAAATGCCCCTAATGTCCCAACAGAATGACTTACTATTATTAAAAGCCAAACTAAACTTCTCCTCCTATAATGAAGAAAGTAAAAAACTTCCAGAACAGTTAATAAACAAAGATATGTAAGTGAAAATAAGACCAAAAAGGGTAAAAAGAAAAAGAGGAGGTAAGTGTAAAAAATAACTTACATGTGAAGAAGGTTCATTTTCATAAGTGCCTTAGAATATGTTTAAGCAGGCCACATGGAAACAAAGAGATAAAGAAGCAAAATATACTAAGCCACAATCCCCTCCTTCCTGCTTTCCCTTTGACCCAGTGTCCAGGAGCCTACTGGTCAGGGCCCCCTCAATGACCCCCCTCCCCACCTCACCAAAGAATTTAGTTTGGGCTAGCTTGCCATCACCTAAGTGCAGTCACTAAGGCCGTAAGTCAAATGCTCAGAGTCTTGAGACAGTTGCCATGTATTATGGGTGGCTGCAACAAAATGCAGCAAAAAATGCAGCAAAAAGACCCTAAAGAACATACCTGAAGTCTTAATACAACTACCAATAGGTGATGCCCAGGAAGACTATAACCCCGTAGTACTCAGCTAATGAGGAATTGGGGAAGGGACTTGCACACTAGGGAAGAAATAGTTTGTTGAAACTGTCCCAGGTGTACCTGCACTCCAGACACCTGATCTTGCAAGACTGTCATTAAAAGTCTCTCTTTCGCTGTTCTCTGGGTCTCTGAGTCTATTCTTTGGGTTTGAATGGGTGAGTTTCTTTCTCACAGGGATGTAGATGGCAACGTGGCTCTCATTCCCCTCCCAAATACCCCAACTTTCATCGCCTGTTCCAGAAGCCTTGTCACCTACAAGCCTATCTGCACAGAAGGTATGAGGGGACCCTACAGCCCAGACAGGGACCCTCCCATCTCTAGCAACTGTCCCCTTTTCTCACCTGGACCCTCTGCACCTGATGTTGTCTTCTTCTTGCATCAAAGGACACAGAGAATAATAATACTACTAATAATACTAATGATGATGAAAGCAGCAACAGCAGCAACATATGGAATGGCTGGTCATCAACTCTGAAGCACCAGGGCCATCCCTGAAAAAAAGGGCCTATTACACACTGGGCACCCACAGCCACAGCCGTTCCTGCTGCCCCCACCCTGGCCTGATCCTCCTTATGTTGGAACCCTCAAGGGTGGTCCCAGGTTCACTAGAGGACACAGGGTGAGTGCTGTGATTCCTGCTGTATCCCATGGAGCAGATGACCCTCTGCTCCTCTCCTTGGGGAATCCTGCAGGCCACCTCTGTGTGGTAGGTCCCATCCCATTGGACAGAACACCCCAAGACTGCTGGGCATCCTGGCTCAAAGACGCCCCATCCTGTCACCAGGTCAGAGAGATATTCTGGAGATACAAGCCAGAGCCCAGCATATCAGGGTGATGTTGCCCTCCAGGGCCTCACTGCAGGCCACACTCATGGTGGAGGAGTGGGGGACTGGAGAAGAAAGGGCAGAGACAATGAGGCACATGGCCAAACCCTGCTCCCCTCTAATGGAGATGCAGGGAATAGGGCTGGTCCGCTCCACTGCTCCGACTCTGGCAGAAGTCCTCACGGACCCCAGACCTTCTGCAAGTCTGTCCTCACCCTGGGGACCAATTCCTCAAGGCTGGCAGAAGGATGGGCCTCGAGACTGTGTCTTTATGCTCTGGGATCCCTGCATTGATGCTGAGGAGGGGAATGTCAGGGCTGGGCTCCTGGTACATGGGGCCAGAGGGAACTCTTAGGGATGGGCAGGCTGGGAAGCAGATGGGGCAGCCTTGGCCCTGGGGGCTTCCTCTCCTGCCTGACACCCACCCAGGTTCAGGCTTCTGTCAGAGGGCCCACTGCTTCCCCAGATTGTGACACTGGACCCTTCAATCCCTGACCCACTGTCTTTTTCCAGTGGCTCTAACAGGAGAGAAAAATCAGGATATAACACACCAACAGAAAACACATGCATCCATAGCACAAGGAGGGTTTCCCTGGACAGAGTTGGGGGTCGGGGTGACTCTAGTGGAATAGGGGAGAGGAAAGCCCCTACCCAGGCCCAGTACCTGCTCTCCTGACACCCACACAGGATTCCAGATACTGCTGTAGTTTCTGCCTGCAGTCTACCCATATAGGGTGAGAGTGTGTCTCGGCCGGCATAGCATCTTCCTTCTAGAAATTTGTGATGTTCATAGCAAAGGTCTGAGTTCTGGAGGACTGGGATACTGTCCATTCCTGAGTCTCCAGGTTGAGAGAGAGGAAGAGCTACCCATAAGAGTAGGAAAGCCTAGAGCCCCTGGTGCTGCTGGCTTCCTGATCTCACAACCCCTAATCTCCTGGAGGGAATGCAAGGCTACCCCCACCCAGCAGTTCCAAGTGAGGAACTCAGACCAGAGGAGACCCCTCCCTGGCCCTCCTCCATGCCTTTCTGTGTGGGCTGAGTGCCAGGTTACCTCCCCACCGAGCTCTGCTGACCCCTATTCCTCACCCCTGCCCCCAGCCAGATCCAGTGGGGACAGACAGGTCCCTGCTCTCTGCCCCCAGCTCTCCTGGAAAAGGTCTCCCATCACTCTTGCCTGCTGCCACCTCTCACCTCCCTTCTGTCCCTTGATATATGCCAGGGCCCTTCTGAGGTCCTGCCCATTCTCTGTCAAGTCCTCAGTCTCTGTGTCCCAGGTCTCAGCTCCCAGAACTGCTTCTGCCCACTGTCCCCGGGACCCAGCCCTGCCTTTCTGCCTGTTGAAGAGCAGGAAGGGCTGACCATCCAGATGTCCCTCAGCAAGAAACCCTGACTGCACAGATCCATCCCGGGACAGCACCGTGAGGTTGTAATGAAGACTGTGGGGCCCTGGGGAACAAGAAACCACGGATGAAACTTCTTCCTGGAAGTAACTTCACATTGATGTTTAACACACAGGTCTGCTGTCTCAACCTTTCTGAGGAGGCAGGAAATGTACATATGCAAAGGGACAAGAATGAGGATTTCAGATACAAGGAAAACTGGGAGGGCAGGAGGATGGAGGAGCAGACTGAGGAACAGAAGAAGGGGGAATGGAGATGGCAAACATGTAGGCCAGCTGCCAAGGCAGGGTGGCTACAGGCCACCTAAGGGTATAGGGAGGAGGCCAAGGAGAGAGGCTGCCCTGCAGTGGTGAGGGAGGAGCACGAAGGCAGTGGTGGAAGGAAGGTCTTGCCAGAGGGGAGGGTGGAAATGGGAAGGGACCCAGGCTCAGAGGGACCCATGACCAGCATGGCTGTGCTACACAGGTGAGGGTGAGATGGAGTCGCGGGCCGCTGCCTTTGAGGAAGGCTCATCATGTACAAGATGGGAGTAAGGGAGGATCAGTGCATCTTTTCCAGAAACAGTGCCAGGAAAACGACATTCACATGCAAAAAGAAATGAAGTTGGACTCCTGACTTACACCACATATACAAGTTAACTCTAAATAAATCAAAGACCTACACTCAGGAACTAAAACTGAAAAATTCTTAGAATGAAACATTGGGAATAATCTTCATGACATAGGTTTTGACAACACTTTTATGGATATAACACCAAAGCACAGACAACAAAGAAAAAATTGATAAGTTGGACCCATCAAAATAAAAAAAATTGAGCATTAAAAAACACAATCTGCAGAGTGAAAAAGCAACCATTAGAATGGAAGAAAATATTTGCAAATCATTTATCTAATAAAAGATTAATATCCAGAATACATAAAGAATTCCTGTAACACAAACATAAGACTCAAAAAAACTATGTAGGCAAAGAATTTGAATAGCCAATTCTCCGAAGAAGACATACAAATGGCCAATAGACACATGAAAAGATGCTCAACATCTGTAGTTATTAGGGAAATGCAAATCAAAACTGCAATGGGCTACTACTTCACACCAATTAGGATGGCTATAATCAAATACACACACACACACACACGCACACACAGAGAGAGAGAGAGAGAGAGAGAGAGAAAGCAAGTTTGGCAAAGAGGTAGAGAAACTGGAACATTTGTGTAGTACATTGGGAAAGACAAAGTGGGGCACCTGCTATGGAAATCAGTGTGTTGCTTCCTCCAAAAACTAAAAAATTAATTACTATGTAATCCAGAAATTCTACATCTGGGTATTTACCCAAAAGAAATGAAAGCAGGAACATTAAAAAGATATTTGAACACTCATGTTCATAGCAGCATAATTCCCAATAACCAAATTCATAGAGACAGAAAGTAGAACCAGTGGTTCCAGGGGCCAGGGGGAAGGAGGAATGGGGAGCTACTGTTTAGTAGGCACAGAGTTTCAGGATGCACAAAAATGTGAATGTACTTAATGCCACTGAACTGTACACTTTTAAATGGTGAAAATAGTGAACTTTATATGTATATTTTACAACAATTAAACAACAAAAAAGAAATTGTCACCGCGTACCAAACAATAATATAGAATTAGAAAGAGGCTGGGGTCCTGGTCAGAGAGAAAAAAACCAAGGCCTGAGGAAGGGCCTTCAGAGAGGAGTGGTGCTGAAGGCGGAGCAGTCACACTCCAAAAGAGGGCTCAGGTTAGAAAACCCTCACAGGAGGAAGGTGGTGCTGGGAGAAGGCCCAGAGGAGGGGATGACCACAGCCCACTATGTGGTAAGTGAAGATTTTGGATATGAAGTCTAGGAACTGACAGCCCACCGGGGTCAAGGAACCGAAAGAGGATGAGGGTCAAGGAGCCGTTGGACTAGAGCCTGTTTTGGGTCTGGGTGGGGGTGAGGAGATGGGCAGGGCAAGGACTAAAGGGTGGCATGAGAAGGAAGTGGGGGTGACCCTGGGAGAACTTGGGGTAAAGTGAGAACAGGAAGGGAGGGGTTGTCTGGGGGAGGGTGGGGTTTGGGGAAGGTGAGAACTTGCTGAGGGCCGAAGGCAGCTGGTCAAGAGGTGGGAACAGCATAAGGTCCCAAGGCAGAGAGGGGCAGAGGGACCAGGGAGGGATGGTCCAGCACCTGAGGGTTTCAGGGTGGGGTCCTCAAGAGGGTGAGGCTGAGGATGAAGGAGTGGGGAACGGGTCACCTGAGGCAGGGCCCAGAGCAGGCATCTGCACTGGAGGGGAGGGGGCATCTGCGCTGCCCTGCGCCCTGCCTAAGGCCCAACTTTCATTAGCACCAGGGCTCCCCTTAAGTGGCCTGGAGGGGAGTGGGATGGAGGGAAGACTCCCCCGACAAAAGGCAGCACCAGAAAGTTAGGGTCAGGGACAGCTGGGAATGGAGAGGCATAGGGGCAGCACTGGGTGAAGGCTGCTTGTAGGAAAGGCCCATAAGGGAGGCAGGAGGGACGGGAGCAGGGGATGAGGGCAGAGGACACCCTACAAATGGATCAGAGAACTGCAGATAGAAAGGGGTAGCAGGGAGCAGGGAGGGCAACAGGACCCAGGGGGCCATGAGAAAGGAAGCTGAGGAAGTAGGAGGGAACTTGGTGTCCTTAGATCATTGGAGTCCACAGTAGCTGGGAGGGTTGACAGAGAGGAAAGAACCCTGGGAACGGGAGGCGAAGGGATAATGAGCTGGGGATGGGAGCAGTCGCAGGAAGAATCCTCTGCCTGGAGCCGGCAGGCTCCAACCCCTCAGCTTGAGAGTCAGGAGCCCCATAGTCCCCACAGCAATAGGAAGCACCAGCTCCTGGTCCCGAAAAAAGGAGGGCCCCAACTCCAGGGACTGCGGCCCGCCCTGGAGCTGAGAACACGCGGACTCCAGGGAGAGGACAGGGCTTCAGGGACCCGAGAGCCGCTCTGAGCACCGGGGGATGTGACTGCCTCAGCGGCAGAGCTGGAAGGGCCCTCGAATGCCATTCACAGGAACAGCCCAGGAACCCAGGGACTTCAGAAGGGCTGGTTTGTCCGAAAAGTGAGAGGAGGCGGAGGAGAGGTGAGGAGAGCAAGTGCAAGAAGAGACCAGAAAGTGCAGGGGGTGGGGGTGATGCGCGATCCCGAGGAGGACTGAAAAGAGACTGAAAAGCAGGGCTGAGGAGTGGCGGCAACCGGCAGCGTCCAGCTCCCGCACCTCGCTGCACATCGCACCTGAGCCCCGCCGCGACCGCATCGCGCTCGCTGCGACCCATTCAGACCCCCCAGAAACGCCAAGCCGCTCCCGCTCTAGCCGAGGGCTAGAACAATCCTGCCACCTCAGCCTCCTGAGTAGTTGGGACTACAAGCGAGTGCCACCACGTCCAGCTGTCATTTACCATCTGGTACCAACCCCCATTAGACAATGAACCATCCATGATCACGAACTGTGTCCCTTCCATCTTCGTCAGCTTTAGGAGCATTTTTTTTCCCAATGGAACTCCACCTATGATTACTAACCATTCCCCAGGACCCCTAGCCTACACTTTTCTGTAGATGAAAATGTCATACACCACAGAGTTTTAACAATTACTTAGTTTTCCCATCCACATTCACTGATTATTTATTTCGAGCATTATCATTTATTGAGCACAGCAGGGACTGGGGTCTTGTCCCCACCTTAGAGGGATTATTTACACTGCTAAAGGTCACAAGGGTAGTGAGGGGCAGAGAGGGAGATGGACCCAGCTCTCCTGACGCTGGTCCCAAGCTCTTCCCTCCACAGTGTCTACCCTCTCTCGAGGACTTTTTCTCCCTGCGGCAGTTCCAGCAAAGGATCTCATTCAGCTCACCCCCAAGAAGACTTTTAATACTTCAATGACGATGATACTAATAATAATATGCAAAGTTTGTTCCAACGCATTTAGAGGTGATCGCGACAAGACATGAAGCCAATCCCTCCCTTTCTGGGGCAGGGGAGGCAGTGATGATCTTGGACTTTGGATGAGTCGCTCCCCAGGGTCTAGGCCTGGCTGCCCCTCCCCAACCAAATCTCCCAGGTCTTTTCTGTCCAAAGCCCTCCCCCTCTACCCTACCTCCAGCTCCTTCTGCTCTGAGCCATCAACTACGTTTTCTCCCTCAGCACTCGCCTTAGATTCCTGGACTTACCAGCACAAAGGTGATTTTCTCCTCGCAGACTGTAGGCGCCACTGCTGGGTCCGGAAAAGAAAGAGAAAAGGCCCAGCGTGGTCGCGTGTGTAACTCAGGACGCGGCTGCGCTGGGCGCCCGAGCGCGTTCTCAGGACTGCGGCCCGGAGTTCACTGCGAGGACTGGGATCACCCATCACCCCGCCCTGGTCTACGGAAAATGACAAGTGTTTACTGATATAGAAACGGAATAACGGCGCTGTGGGCTGGGGAGGGCCGAGCTGCCTTCAGGGTTCTGGTCTCCAGCTGCGCGGCACTCACACCTGCCGCTGTGAAAATGCAGACCCACGGGGCAGGAATTCCGAGTCCCGGCTGGAGCGCGATCTGGAATCTGACTCGCTTGAAACAGCACCGCGGTGGATTCGGAGCCGGGTGAGCAGGGAACTGCGCCTCAGCCCCTCCCACGGGCCGCCCACTGATTCCAGGATCCGAAAACGCTTCCAGCTGCTCCGTCACCCCAGGAAGGCAGCGCCGGCCTCTGGGCGGTTCTGGTGGAAACGGGCTCCGCCGCCCGCAGGAAAACTCACAACTAAGGGACCAGGAAAAAGCCTCTCAGGGTCGCGCGCCTTCAGTGAGGATCCTAATTTACACCCCGAGTGTGGCCCCGTCAAAGACTAGAGCGAAGGTCACTGAAATGACACAAGATCAGCGAGGCCCAGGGCGCTGCCGCTCACAGAATGCGGAGACACGGCTGCCTCGCGTCCCTTCCCTGACCTGCCCCAGGCGGACGCGGTGACGTGTGTTTGCCTCGAGGCTGGAATACATGGGGATCAAATGCAGAGAATGGAGAAAGGAGGGAAGGATGGGGGGACATTTCGAGGAAAGGAAGGGAGAGGGAGAAAAGGGGAGAGAAAAGGTGAAGGTGAGAATAATATCTGAAAGATGTAGTTTTATTATTTCTAATTTTATTTTTGCCCTTTATCTAGTTTTGTTATTTATGAACATTTTTACCAAAGCTTTTTTTTCTCTGTGTGTGAATCTGTAAATATACGGCTTATTATTCTTATTTCAGAGCCTGCGAGGTCAAGCTGCAGAGAACATGAGCTTCTACCTCCAGATGTGCCAGGGTGCATCTCGTGGGTGCAAGAACAAGGGTTTTGTTTTGTTTTACAAAATCAAAGTACAAATCTCAAATAGAATAATATTTTTAAACCATTATTGGGACATACTTTGCACACAATCAGTGTATCTATTTGAAATGCACAGCTCATTGAGTTGTACTGCTTGGCTGTTTTACACACCCACATATCCACTACCACAATGAAGATAAAGAAATAACATTTCCATAGTCCCCTAAAGAATAGCCACGCGATAAAATTCCACGCAGTCCTTAAAAAGAGGAGGATAAATTTGTAAGTATTGTTATGAGAAGATCTGTGCCCAGCCTACTTTTATCCATTTTTAAAAGGACGAGGATATATGGAATTATAATACCAGTAATACCACTTACATAATATATATTTTAAGTAGGGGAAAACATGGAGGATTATTCCCCAAAATTTTGACAGGGACCCCAGGGACTGGGATAACGTTGTGACTTTCACCTTCTCTGAAATGTTGGAATTTTATATTACAGAATAAACTTGGATTTTGGCCAGGCGCGGTGGCTCAGGCCTGTAATCCCAGCTCTGGAAGCTGAAGGATAGCTTGAGCCCAGGAGTTCGAGGCTGCAGTGAGCTATGATCTCACCACTACACTCCAGCCTGGGTGACAGCAAGAGATCTTGTCTCAGAAATAAATAAATAAAATTTAAAAATAAAAATAATAAACTTGGATTTGTGTGGTGGTTAAGAAAAAATATTTGTTTGAAAATATTATAAAGATAAGCCACACACCCAAATAGTTACAGGATTTTAAAAACCAAAGTGTTAATTAAAACCCAACTCCAGAAACTCTCTTTTAAGGGGGCTTCATATTTTCATGTCATTAAATCTTTCTCAAAGTATCTTTGATAGAGCCGTTTTTAGTGCAGTAGAGAGATGTGTAACAATTTTACAAAAGGGGCGGGCTGTAATAAAAAGGGAAAGGCAAAATCCAGTGTGGACACACTGTCCCATTTATTTTCAAAGCACGTTTGAAAACTGCGCTGCTATAGCGTCTTTGGGTTGAGACAAAGTCGAGGAAAATCTTGTTCCTGGAGTACTGATTTCCTTTTTCCCAGGGCCAAAGTCTAAAACTCAGAAGCAAGTCTAAAAACTCAGGCTGACTTTCAGATCTGAAGAAATCTCAAGAATATTTGTGTGGAAGAACATTCCATGCTAATGGGTAGGAAGAATCAATATCGTGAAAATGGCCATACTGCCCAAGCTAATTTATAGATTCAATGCCATCCCCATCAAGCTACCAATGACTTTCTTCACAGAATTGGAAAAAACTACTTTAAAGTTCATATGGAACCAAAAAAGAGCCTGCATCACCAAGTCAATCCTAAGCCAAAAGAACAAAGCTGGAGGCATCACGTTACCTGACTTCAAACTATACTACAAGGCTACAATAACCAAAAGAGCATGGTACTGGTACCAAAACAGAGATATAGATCAGTGGAACAGAACAGAGCCCTCAGAAATAACACCACATATCTACAACTATCTGATCTTTGACAAACCTGAGAAAAACAAGCAATGGGGAAAGGATTCCCTATTTAATAAATGGTGCTGGGAAAACTGGCTATCCCTATGTAGAAAGCTGAAACTGGATCCCTTCCTTACATGTTATACAAAAATTAATTCAAGATGGATTAAAGACTTAAACGTCAGACCTAAAACCATAAAAACCCTAGAAGAAAACCTAGGCATTACCATTCAGGACATAGGCATGGGCAAGGACTTCATGTCTAAAACACCAAAAGCAATGGCAACAAAAGCCAAAATTGACAAATGGGATCTAATTAAACTAAAGAGCTTCTGCACAGCAAAAGAAACTACCATCAGGGTGAACAGGCAACCTACAACATGGGAGAAAATTTTTGCAATCTACTCATCTGACAAAGGGCTAATATCCAGAATCTACAATGAACTCCAACAAATGTACAAGAAAAAAACAAACAACCCCATCAAAAAGTGGGCAAAGGATATGAACAGACGCTTCTCAAAAGAAGACATTTATGCAGCCAAAAGACACATGAAAAAATGCTCATCATCACTGGCCATCAGAGAAATGCAAATCAAAACCACAATGAGATACCATCTCACACCAGTTAGAATGGCAATCATTAAAAAGTCAGGAAACAACAGGTGCTGGAGAGGATGTGGAGAAATAGGAACACTTTTACACTGTTGGTGGGACTGTAAACTAGCTCAACCCTTGTGGAAGTCAATGTGGTGATTCCTCAGGGATCTAGGACTAGAAATACCATTTGACCCAGCCATCCCATTACTGGGTATATACCCAAAGGACTATAAATCATGCTGCTATAAAGACACATGCACACGTATGTTTATTGCGGCACTATTCACAATAGCAAAGACTTGAAACCAACCCAAATGTCCAACAATGATAGACTGGATTAAGAAAATGTGGCACATATACACCATGGAATACTATGCAGCCATAAAAAATGATGAGTTCACGTCCTTTGTAGGAACATGGATGAAATTGGAAATCATCATTCTCAGTAAACTATCGCAAGGACAAAAAACCAAACACCACATGTTCTCACTCATAGATGGGAACTGAACAATGAGAACACATGGACACAGGAAGGGGAACATCACACTCTGGGGCCTGTTGTGGGGTGGGGGGAGAGGGGAGGGATAGCATTAGGAGATATACCTAATGCTAGATGACGAGTTAATGGATGCAGCACACCATCATGGCACCTGTATACATATGTAACTAACCTGCACATTGTGCACATGTACCCTAAAACTTAAAGTATAATAATAATAATAATAATAATAATAATAATAATAATAATAATAAAGACCAAAAAAAAAAAAGAATGTTTGTGCGGACAGCTACGCTCTAAGAATCCAGCTCTCTTGGGCTCCAAGCTCAAGCTCTCTGGGGCTTCACCCAGTGACAATGGCCGGAAGGACAGGACACAGTGAAATGGCACCAGTGAGTCAGAGGCCAAAGGAGGATTTCTGGCCCCAGCGCGCAGGATGTGCTTTGTTATAGTGGGGTTGGGATAGCGGAGCGGAGGCAAGGACACTCTGGGAATAAATGGCGAGAAAAAGTGCGCTAGGGAGGATCCAAAGCCTTCAGACTTCTTCCTTTCCTTCCTGTTGGGTGGGAGGGGACCAACATGGTCCCTGGTGGGGAGGTCCGTGGGATGCAGAGAATGGGGTCGCTGCAAAGGGGCGTTGCGCGCCCCACGCAAGGCTTCTGGCACTCTTCTCCTAGCTACTACTGATGAGTTCAAACTAGCAGGAGACTAAGACGTGTCCTTTGCAATGTAGACTCCATATCTTGCACTTCGGCTGGTTTACTAAATCCATCTTAATAAAACACAAAAACAAAGAACCAAATTCTGCGTGTGATATTTCTGACCTCTAGAAGGTCCTCCCTCTCCCCATTCCTCGTGGGCTCCCTTCTTGCCCCGCCCCCTCCGCTTTGTCTCCACTTCTCCATCCCTGTCCATCTCTGGACCCCGCTCCTGAGTATCTCCCCCCTTCTTCAGAGGACTTCCCCTCATGGAGTACAGACTCCTCCACCTCCAGGAAAAAGAGACAAAGTCCACTGAGAAGGAACTGAGAGACTCCTGTTACTCCACCCCTGAAGTCAGCCTGTCCCACAACGCTCACTCAGGCTGCATGTGTGTGTGTGTGTGCCTGTGTGTGTGTGCCCGTGTGTGTGAATCTGTGTGTGAGAGTGTGTCTAAATATGTGTGTGAATGTGTGTGCGACTGTGTGTGCCTGTGTGTATCAGTTAGCGTGTGTATCTGTATATGAGAGAGAGTGTGTGTGTATGTGTGTGTGTGTGTGCGTGAATGAGAGTCAAAGTGCTAAACCTGGCATCCAGGAAACCTCCCCACCTTGGCACTGCACGCAGGAGTCAGTGTTATGTGCACCTGTGCTTTTATTTCAGGAGCTGAGACAATTGTATTAATCAGATGTGCAGAGAGCCAAGGGCCCCACGCTGGAAAGCATCAGAGAGGAGGGTGAGATTGGAGGAGCCCCTGACTCCAAGTCTCTTGATCACTCTTACACAGGGATCTTGAAAAAAAAGTGCAGGACACTCCGTTCTCTCCTGGGAGTGACAGGGAAGCCAGAGCCACTGTGCGTGTCAAATTCCATCAAAGAAAAACCATTATAGCAAAACTTCCATGTCACAGTTTTAAGCCTGCACAATGACTCAAATAGAACCAATACCAAAAAAACAAATTCCTAGCTCAGGTGAGGTCAGTGAAGTTGGCTGTCAGGTGTAAAGGAAACTGCAGGTATAAAGAAGGACACCTGTAGATAGGGCTGCAGCCCAGTCGCCCCTGCATCTTAGGGCGCCTGGAAAGGACTGTCTCCATTCAATAGTGCAGGGTGAGGACATTTTGGGGGAGAAATATAGACTGTCCTTAGACCCCTGGGGTTTGTACATTTACTTTCTGACTTTTTAGCTGTTGACTTCATTTTTGAACAAATTACAGTTACATAAATTTGCTTTGACTTTAAGTGTAAAACAGGAAAATATTCCTGAAACAGGAAACAAGGGCCAAGTGACCTGCACTGTCACCCCCCTCTGTGGCTCCCTGATGCAACACAATTGTGAGCCAACAAATCTATGGCTAGGGAAACAGTCAACTCCATTTCTGCAAATGTTTCAGATGTTCCTTCTTGCTGAGTAATGTTCTAGTTTTACCCCAGCCTTAATATTTTAAGTCTATATTTTCCCAGCTGTTTTTTTTGTTGTTGTTGTTGTTTTTGAGAAGGAGTCTCATTCTGTCACCCAGGCTGGAGTGCAGTGGCACGATCTCGGCTCACTGCAACCTCCGCCTCTCAGGTTCAAGCGATTCTCCTGCCTCAGCCTCCCCAGTAGCTGGGATTACAGGGGCCCGCCACCACGCTTGGCTAATTTCTGTATTTTTAGTAGAGATGGGGTTTCACCGTGTTGGCCAGGATGGTCTCAATCTCCTGACCTCGTGATCTGCCCGCCTCGGCCTCCCAAAGTGCTGGGATTACAGGC
The DNA here is from genome assembly GCF_000001405.40 of Homo sapiens. Classification (NCBI taxonomy): domain Eukaryota; kingdom Metazoa; phylum Chordata; class Mammalia; order Primates; family Hominidae; genus Homo; species Homo sapiens. The sequence continues at coordinate 29,982,759 of NC_000006.12, forward strand.
ATGAGCCACTGCGCCAGGCCTTGTTGGTTTTTAAATAATGCATGTATATTTATTATTTGGTTTGTTGTAGTAAGCCATCTGGAATCAACTGTGGAAATAAATGAATGGTTCTCTATTAAATAACTGCTGAGACCATCTGAAAAATGTATTAACCCCAAAACCAATCACTTCACACTCGTCTACTGCCTCCTCCCCAGAGCCATTCTCTCTAGGATAGTAAATCCGACGGGCCTTCCAGCTGGGCTGCCTGCTGCATCTCATGCAGCTGTCCATCACCCACACAACAGGCAGAGTGAAGCTTTCGAATGGGAATTAGAGCCCATCCTCACCACCACATCCCAGAGACACTCCAGCCTCTTCCCTTCCTCTCTCCATTTCCTATTAGCCCCTCAACACGGGGCCCCTCTGGCCATTCTGGCCTCATCTCACCACTCTCAGCCCAGATCACTCATCTGCACTCGCACCAGTCTCTTGTCACTGCTCAATCCTGTCTCTGCCACCGGCCCCTGCTGGTACTCCCACATGCACTTGCTCCCTAGGGATCCACATGGCTCACTCCTCATGCCATTCAGTTCTCTGCTCAAATGTCCCTTAGTCAAGTTCTCAGGAACCTCTTATCCAACAAAATATATCTCCTGCCATCCTCACCACCACCAATCTTCTAACCCGAGTATATTTTCTCCATAACAATTATCACTGATATTAGAATAAATTTGAAAGTTGTTGTCTGTACCACTAAAACATATTATTTGAGGCCAGGACCTTGTCCAGCCACCACTTGTATCCCTAGCATCTAGAACATACCAGTACAGAGGAGGGGCTTAACAAATAAGAGGTGAATGATGGGTGAATATAATTGGTATGCTGCTTTTGATAAGCAATTTTATAACATGTGTGTCCGAGGCGGGTGGATCACCTGAGGTCAGGAGTTCGAGACCAGCCTGACCAACATGGTAAAACCCCGTCTTTTCTAAAAATAAAAAAATTAGCCAGGTGTGGTGGTGCACGCCAGTAATCCTAGCTACTCGGGAGGCTGAGACACAAGAATGACTTGACCCTGGGAGGTGGAGGTTGCAGTGAACCGAGATTGTGCCACTGCACTCCAGCCTCAGTGACAGAGTGAGACTCCATCTCAAAAACAAAGCAAAAAAAGTTCATGCAGTTTGACCAAATAATTTATATTTGAGAAATCTATAATTCTACAATGAAATGCAAAATATAGAAGAATCTTTAGGTATAAGGATATTAATCAGATATTATTTACAATAAGGAAGAAGAACTTGTAAAAGAAGAGTAGCTGGGTCATTTTTTGGAAATAGTATACAGCCAGGAAAAGTACTGTTTAAGAAGAGTTTATGATAACATATAAAGTTGCTTATTGATAATAATAAAATTTGAAAAGCAAGATTCAAAATAACTCATACAGTGTGACTGCACTAAGTCATCCTGCACAGACACCACATGCACAGAAACCAGGGGTGGAAACTCAGGGGGCAGCTGCAAAGCACAGCTCCAGGGCCCCTTTTCACTGACGTCTCTGAGGCTCTGCCAGGCAGAGGTTCATCCGGATCCTCCCAGTGGGGACACAGGTGTTTTCCATCTTTCTGCTTCACTACATTTTTTATATTTTCTGTAATTGAGCAGATTCTACTTTCTAAAAGGGTAAAATGCTGATTATGAAGTTTTACAACATTTGAAATACAATTTTAATGAAAAAGTCCAAATGTCCTGTCCCAACTCAGGTCACTTTCTCTTTTTTTAGAGATAGGGACTTGCTCTCTCACCCAGGTTGTAGTGCAGTGAGTTGATCATAGTTCACTGCCGCCTTGAGCTCCTGGGTTCAAGTGATCCTGCTGCCTCAGTCTCCAGAGTAGCCAAGACTACAGGAAAGCCCCAAAATGACCATCTAATTAAAAAAAAAAAATTGAACAGAATACATCTCACTGCTTCCCAGGCTGGTCTTGAACTCCTGGGCTCAAGTGATCCTCCTGCCTTAGCCTCCCCAGTGTTCTAGGATAACATGGGTGAGCCACTGTGCTCAGTCCTAACTTAGCTTGAAGCAAAGTCTCCTCTCCATGTCATAGGGCAAAAACTCCAGCTGATGGAGCCTTCAGAAAGAAGAAATAAACTCTTCCTCCACAATGCCTCATCCATCCCTGGGTTATAGGCGTCGGCTGAATGATAAAGTCAACACTGAGAATATGATCATTTTAGATTACTGATTGTCATTTAATTTTAATTCCACCACACCTGAGAGAGTGGGATGGATTCTTTCTTTTATTATGATTTGAGCATCTGAGTCCCTTCCATCCTGAACATCTGACATGGGTGCTTCAAAAATGTAGGTCTTGAGACTTAAAGGGCACTTGGTCTCCTGAGCAGGCCCCCTGCATGCGCCACACCCACTAAGGCTCCATAACAGTGGGAAGAGCAGCCACAGTCAGAGCCCAGGTGGGTTCACACTGAGGGACCATCCACATCCAGGGTACGCTGAGGAGGGGCTGAGGTGAGAATCCAGCCCCTGCCTAGGCTCTGGGTGAGAGGTGGGCAGGACAGTCAGCTACTGAGTATTACTGGAGCTATTGCCTTTTTTCTCCTGAAGACCCCACCCCTGCACACACCAAAACTTTACATTCTTTGTGGAGCAATTTTCTTTTTAGAAATGTAAACACCCCCTAATCTTAAAGCCACCCAATATCACTCATAGTGACACCGCAGTAGGATAAGCTCTTAACTCCCACCAAATTAGCCTCAGAGTTGTAGTTTTTGTTTGTTAGACATGGGGTCTTACTCTGTCATCCAGGCTAGAATGCAGTGGCATGATCACGGCTTACTGCAGCCTCGAACTCCTCGGCCCCAGAGATCCTCCCACCTCAGACTCCTGAATAGCTGTCACTAGAGGTGAACGCCACAAGCCCCAGCTAATGTTTTGTGTTTTTTGTAGAGATGGGGTTGTGCCATGTTGCCCAGGCTGGTCTCTAAGGCCTGGGCTCAAGTGATCTGCTGCCCCGGCCTCCCAAAGTGCTAGGATTAGCATGAAGCCCCACACCAGGCCTGCAGCTGAGTATTTGGAGCTAAGGCAGGAAGTTGCTGTGGAGTTTGTACCCAGCTAATTTGAAAGGTGGTCCTGAAAGGTAAAGTGCGATTAGGTGGACCTTGGTGGGGAAGCATAGATGTTTCTGGTGAGAAGAGAACAAGATAGATGGGAAGCTTCTAAAAGTGAACATCAGTGGGCCCTGTGCTCACACAGCACTGGGATTTGGAAGACCTTTTCCCACCCACTTTTGGCTTGTGAGCTTTTATTCCACCTTCTTGTCTCCTAGGTCATTGCAGGAAATCCCTTCATTTGGTAAACATTTATCAAACACCTACCATGTGCTAGGCATTGTGTTAAAGGAGCTGGGGCTGAGGTAAGAGGAACCAAACCCCCCTTGCCTTCAAGGTTAAGCCGTCTTGCTCAGGCAGAGATCAGTAAGGAAACTCTTTATTTATTTATTTATTTATTCATTTATTTTTTTAGACAGAGTCTCACTCTGTTGCCAGTAAGGAAATTCTTACACAAATGGTTGGCAGAATATGCAACTTGCTTTGCGGATGCACATGTAGACCATCTGCTCTGACCAAGGAGTCACAGAAGCTTCATAAGACACAACATTTGAGCTGCGTTTTGAGGTATAAATAGGAGTCTGACAGGCATCCAGGACAGGAGAGCATTGCTCAGAACCCAGGACATGAATTTTTCTCTCCTAGGCCAGGCCAGGACTCAGACTAAGCTGACTGAGGAGCCAGGTGCTTCCTGGCAAGGAAGTGTGTCCCATATATGACTATCCAGAAGTCACAGCTGCTCAATATTGAGTCTTGAGACAGAGAGAGAGAGGCCTGATTTGAAATGCAGAATTCTGCTGGGGGCCCGTTAAAATGCAGTTTCTGATTCAGTAGGTCTGAGGCAGGGCCTGAAAATTGCATTTCTAACAAGTCCTCAGGTGATGCCAATGCTACTTGTCCCAGGAACACACTTTGAGAATCACCACCCTAAGGCAATCCATATTGATTTCTAATATCAGAAGAGGGCTGACAGGCAAAGGTATAGGATAAACTAGACCATGCATGGGCCATCTTGGAGAGCACCCCACCCAAGTCTGCAGCATTTGATTTCCTTGGGATCCCGGGAATGGCAGACACCCAGGAAGGAATCAAATGTGGGGTTACAGGGCAATCCAGAGGCTGAGCTTCACACAGCATCTGGGGTTCCCACTACTTCACAAGTGGCCCCCACACCCCCAATCCTTCCCACCCCTTATGAAACTGACCTACGAGTCTTGCTCTGCTGTCCTGGGCTGTTTGGGCCTGGGATGTGAGCTCTGACTATACCTTCTGATCCAAATACAGGGTGACCTCATATGACACATACTTAGAATGGGCTCATAATGAGAACCTTCCAAATTCAGCAAATGGATTCAATCGTGTGTTTTCCAGGAGAATTACCAAGTGTTCTCTTTTCTAAATATCACATACTTGAGCTCACATGGACAGTAGAGGAAGTTCTGAGCCTGCTGAAGCCACAATTGGTACATTGGACCCCGTAGAATTCCTTGTAGATTGGGCTTCACCATTTACATCAGGATTTGGTCAAAATTTCCTTCACCAAACCGGTTGCATTTGTGAAGTAACCATGCTCTCATTTTGACTTTTAATGAATGAAAGACAGACACACACATAAAGAAAGATAGTGCAATGAAAAAGAAAACAACATACTGAATTAAAGTGACAGGAAACATCCTTGTTTGAGAAGTGATATAATTTTTAGACAGTTTTTTTTTTTAATTAAGGAAGGTAAGAGAATTAATTCTGTTAGGCTCTTTTTTTAAGTTTTTTATTTTGAAGGATTTGATTTTGTTTGTTTTGTCTGCCTTGGAATTATCTTTTATTTTATGTTTTGACTTGGCTCAAAACTCAAAAAGTTAAAAGTCTCTCTCTTATGCTACCCCATCTTGACAGGCAGCTATTTATATCAGTTTCTTGCTTATTCTTTCAAAGGCATTTTATGCATATGCAAGTCAATCTAAATGTATATGTATATAATCTTTCTCCCATTTCACACAAATTTTAGCAAACTACATATGCTTTCCTGCACCTTGCCTTTTCCCTTCACATTGTATCACAAAGACCATCACATGAAGAAATACCAAGAGCTTAGCTACATCTTTGTTTGAAATTTTCATGATACACCATTGTATATATATGCAATATTTAAAAAAAAAATAGAGATTGCTTCTTTTGAGTGCGGTGCTTTTTAATCAGCCCCCTCTTGATAGGCATTTGGATTATTTCTTTCAGAGAACAATTTTGCATCATGTAACATCATATGGAAAAGCTGTAGTGACCCCACTCCTATATGCATATTCTAGGGAAACTCACATATCTCTGAGAGCAGGAGGCAATGTCCCAGGATGTTCATTGCAGTGAGGTCTACAATAGAGAAAATCTAAAGGTCAATGAAGAGGGAAAGAGAAGAATTGTAGTATATTCCTCCCATGGAATACTATCCACCAATGAAAGCAAATGAACTATTTGTATGAACATAGATTCATGTCATAGAACATGTTAACTGAAAAAGCAAGCAAATGAATGATAAAATTAGCCAGAAACAATTTATAAGAAGTCTAAAAGCAAAGCCAGGCAAGGTGGTGTACACTTGTAATCCTAGCACTTTGGGAGGTCATGGTGGGTGGATCGCTTGAGTTCAGGAGTTCAAGACCAGCCTGGGAAACATGGCAAAAACCCTCTCTCCAAGAAATACAAAAATTAGCCCGGCATGGTGGAGCATAGCTATACCCCCAGCTACTTGGGTGGCTGAGGTAGGTGTATCGCTTGAGCCTGGGAGGTTGAGGTACAGTGAGCTGTGTTTGTGCCACTGCACTCAAGCCTGGGTGACAGAGTGAGGAGACCTGTTCTAAAAAAACAAGTCTAAAAGACTTCAAACAAAGAGATTTCCTAAAACTTAGTAAAAATATAAAGGCATACACTAAATTCAAGTCACACATCCTCTTGCAATTCTTGATTTGCTCAGTACAGTACTGACTGAAACATGTGCATATCAGAGCTGTGAAAAATCAAGGCTATCTACATATATTTCTATTATTTTTCTATGTATACTACATATAGCCAATAATATTAAAATGTCGCCAATTGACAAACCTGGGTGGTGCCTTCACAAAGATTTTTTATAATTTTCTATTCTTTCTTCCAGCTGGAACTACTTTGAATTAATGTTTGTGAAGTGAATCCACAGGAACTGAGCAAAATAAGAAAAGAGTTATTGAGTGTGAGGAAAGCTGCACAGAGGTACAGACAGATGGAGAGATGACAATACTGAGCATGTCAGTGACCTTCACAGTAACAGACTTCCTGGAGGAGTGTGAGCTTGAGCCAGAATGAAGAGGATAAAATATAAAAGAGGGATGAAGGAGTGGGGACTTTAGGGGGCAAATATGGGATTGAGTAGGCCAGACTGGGAAGCGTGGATGGATTCTAAACATTCCACTTTAGGTCTAGCACTTAGAGAAAGAGAAATCATGTTTATTTAGCTCCTTCCACAATCTTTAGAGAAATCTTCTGAAACATTACAAAAAAGACACATGAATGGCCAATAGTCATCAGGGAAAAATGCAAAGTAAAACCACAGCGAGAAACCACTAAGCACTTATTAGAATGGCTGAAATTTAAGTGATTAATAAATATAAATGTTGTCAAGGATGTGAAACAGTCTCATCCACTGCCTATAAGAATATAAAACAGCCACTCTGAAAATCACTTTTATATCATCTAATAAAGTTAAACAAGCTAGTACTCTATGGCTAGCATTTCCACTCCTAGGTATTTACTCAAGTGAAATAAAGATTATGTCCAAGAATCCCTGTACAATAATGTCCATAGTTCATTTGTAACAATAAAAAACCGTGAATACCCCCAAAATGTACAAAAAAATTGTGACTCAGTGATACAATGCAATACTACCAGCATTAAAAATGAATGAATTACTGATACATGCAACAAGCTGGGCAGACCACATAGATATTACACCAAGTGCAAAAAGCTAGGCACAAGGGAGGCCATATGGGATGAATGGATACGTATGAAGTTTTGAAACAGGAAGAGCTACTCTATCATGATAGTCATCAGATCAATGGCTGCTGGGGAAAGGGGGCTAATTTGAAGGCAGAAAAATAGAGAACTTCGTGTATCTTCATAGTGGCATGGGTGCTATGGCTGTATTTGTCAAAATTCATTGATGAATTTGATACAGATCTGATCATTTCAGTATATGTAAATTTTACAAGTTTAAAATGCTTACAATAAAAATTTAAACGTTAGTAATAAAAAATAGTAATTGAAAATATTAGCAACAAAATCCAACAACAGATCAAAACAATACACCATAATCACGTGAGTTTTATACCCAGGATGCAAGGATTGTTTGACATATGTGAATCAAAATATGTCATATACCGCATCAACAGAATGAAGGACATAAACCATATTATCATCTCAATAGATGCAGAAAAAGCATTTGGTGAAACTAAACATTGCTTCTTAATGAGAACTCTCAAAGGAGTTCCTCTGACAAAGGAACCAAGAATATACACTGGGGAAAGAACAGTCTCTTAAATAAATGGTGCTGGGAAAATGCTACCAGATGCAGAAGAATGTAACTAGACCCCTGTCTCTCACCATATACAAAAAATCAACTCAAAAGGGATTGTAGACTTAAACGTAAGACCCAATACTGTAAAACTACTAGAAGAAAACTTATGGGAAACATTAGTCTAGGCAAAGATTTTATGGCTAAGACCTCTAAAGCACAGGCAAAAAAAGTAAAAATAGACAAATGAGACTATATTAAGCTAAAAAGCTTCTGCACAGCAAAGGAAACATCCAACAGAATGAAGCAATAACCTGTTGAATCGTGAAAATATTTACTAAGTATTCAACCAACCAGTATATTCATCCAATTAGTATATTCTAGACTAATATCTAGAATATACAAGGAACTCAAAAACTTGGCAGTAAAAAATACAAATAATCCAATTAAAAAGTGGACAAAGGATCTGAATAGACATTCCCCAAGAGGAGGCATACAAGTGGCCAGCAGGTGTGTGAAAAACACCCAACATCACTAAATACCAGGAAAATGAAAATCAAACTACAATGAGATATATCTTACCCTAACCCTAGTTAAGATGGCTATTATTAAAAAATAAAAAATAATAGATGTTGGTGAGCATGTGGAGAAAGGGGAATGTTATACACTGTTGGTGGTCATGTAAATTAGTGCAGCCATTATGGGAAACAGTAGAGTGATCTCTCAAAAAAACTGAAACTATTAATAGAACTACTATCTGATGCAACAATTCTACTTCTGAGTATTTATCCAAAGGAAATGAAGTCAATATATCAAAAGAGTACCTGCACACCCATGTTTATTGAAGCACTATTCACAATAGCAAAGATGTGAAATCAATGGTGAATTTATCAATGGGTGAATGAATAAAGTAACTGTAGTATATACACAATGGAATGCAATTCAGCCATAAAAAAAGAGTGAAATCCTGTCAGTTGCAGCAACATGGATGGAACCAGAGGTCATGTTAGGTGAAATGAGCCAGGCAAGGAAACACAAATATCACATGTTGTCACTCACATGTGTGAGCTAAAGACGTTAATCTCATGGAGGTTGAGAGTAGAATGAAAATTACCAGAGGTTGGGAAGAATGTAGGGGTGGGAAGATGTAGAGAGGTAGATTAATGGGTACAAATGTACAGTTATATAAAAAAAAAAGTTCTAATGTTCTATAGCACAGCAGGCCAACTAAAGCTAACAATTATGTATATTTAAAACAGCTAGAAGAGTGGATTTTAAATGTTCCCAACACAAGGAAATGATACATGCTTGAGGTGATGGATTCCCTAAACACCCTGACTTGATTATTCCACATTCTGTGTATGTATCAAATGATCACATGTGCCCCATAAACATATAAAATGTTATGTATTACCTTTAAAAAATATTTTTAAAATAAACTCAACACAATATGGGACATTTTAAAAAGTACAAAAATATGACCATGATAAAAATTGGCAAATATTTCCTTTTTATTAAGATCCACTTTGTAAGTTCAAGCAGAATGAAGCCCATACAGCATCAGAAGAAGTGGCTCTCCTGAGAGAATCTTCTCCCCAGTTAGAAAGGCAGAAACAGAATTCCTGGAGAAAGTAAGACTCTGGAGAACTGCATAGCACCTCTTCTTGGGGTCTGGGGTTACCCAGATGTAGGGAGGGTTCACCTTCTGGGAAAAACTAAACGTTGGTTCTTGTTCTTTTTTGTTCTTATTGCAAGACCAAAAATTGAGAAAACCAAGAGAAAGCACCAAGCCAAAGGGATATACTCTCTTTTATTTTTTAGAATATCCACTACCAAGGATGATCCACGCTGTTATGAGACGAATTGTGTCCCTCCCCAACCGAAATTCATATGTTGGAGTCCTATGTTGAGAAGACAGAAGTGGCCATCTACAAGCCAAGGAGAGAGGCCTCAGGAAAAAGCAACCCTGCAGCACCTTGACCTGCACCTGTAGCCTCCAGAACTGTGAGACAATACATATTTATTATTTTACTCACCCAGCATGTGGTACTTTGTTATGGTAGCCCTAGCAAATTAAAACAGAAATATTACCTTTTCTACTCTGTCCTATGTATGAACATGAGACTTTTTAAGAATATGAATTACCTGGGATTCCAAAACATAGAGTGAGTCAATGGAAAATAGATGATACAGGGTCATTTCCAAGCCTTTGTGGGTCTCCTGGCCACCACACAAACATGGATGTGTTCCCATTTCTTTTCAGTTTCACACAGTGCAAAAGTTGTGGACATAGAATCACAAACTGTGTTTAATTTATTTGAGACATTGAGTGAGCTAGTTTTGCCCTAATTTTATAGAAAGATGATGAACAATCATAATTACTAAACCAAAGAGGCTTTTTGGCAGGGGATGGCAGGTACTATGTTTTCTCCTCCTTTTAAAGTGCATTTTCCTAAAGAGTCTTGTCTAGGAGTAAATGTCATCACTTTGCTTTTTTCCTCCGCATTGATCACTTGGTCCTCCCTGCATTTCAGTAAGGTTGCTAGAATGGAGGCATTTGTCCATGATTCACAGATGAATCAGAGGCCCTATGAGTAGAGAGCTTCTCCTGAAGTCACACAGCTCGTGAGTGGTGGAGCAATGACAGGCACATGACTCTCCAGGTCCCTAGTCCAGTTTTCTGGGTGCCATGAGAATTACAGCCTTTGGTTCCTTTTACATGTAGTTCATTTCTGAACCTGAGAAGGAGAATGCACCTCAGGTGACTAACAGTTTTTGCTCTTCTGTACTTGTCTGAGAATGACCCCAAAAGATTTTTAAAGGCCAATTCTTTGGCTACCAACCCTATTTTGCCCAGGCATGGACATGGAGCAGGTGAACACTGCCTTTACCTGTGACATGCCTGAAGATTCTGAGACCTACGTGAATCAGGTAAGCTCCATACACAGAGGGACACCCACTCTCCCACCCACTTATTTTCTGTATCTTTTCACACTTCACTTCTTCATTCCTCCCTCTGGCTGTCTTCCCTCTTTGGGGTCTTCTAGTCCTAACCTCTGTCTCCTTCCAGGTGACTAGAGCAGGCTGGTTTGGAACAGGGCTTGTGTCGGATGAGAATTGTGCCAGGATCCTCAGTGATGGGCAGCATCACTTTAAGTTCAGTGTTAGGAGCTACCTGCTGAGACAGACGTCTCCTCCACAGTGAGTGCTGATTTCATGAAACCCTTAGTTCCTCCCTATTCCTTACTGTGTCTTCAATCCCATCATGTAGGTCATGGGCACTTAACGCATAATGAACAATTGACTGCTTCATGCCCCCTGGCCGTTGATGCTGTGTTGGGACGTTTTGCTGCCCTCTATGTGGGGTCTGTGCCTTTTCTCATATTACATCTCTTCCACCACACCCAAGTCCATCCTCTGAACCCAGGCAGTACACCAGCATCTGCATGTGTGCTGTGTGTTCCTGCCTTGCTTTGTCCTTTCATGCCTTATTCTCACTGTGCCATGTCTCCTTCTCAGTTGAACAGATGCAGTAGGAGACTCGCTCATTCTGGAATGTGACCATCTGCCCTTCAGGAGAGGACAGCAGGGTGTGGGTGAAGGAGACCCTGCTGCCCCCACACCTGACAGCCTCCACCACCCCCTGGCTTTCCTCTTCTGCATCAGCACCACTCCCGAACCATCATTCCTGATCGTCAGAATTTTTAATGTAACTAAACATGAAACACAAGTGCATCTGCATTATGTGTGGGTGCTCTCTCCCTTTATTGTATTTGGGGTAAGATTATTTTAGGGCATGGTCCAGGGTAAATTCCTGTAAGGCCTGGATGCCCTGCTGTGAGGTCAAAGGGGGACGGACTGCAGAGCCCTGGCTCCCCAACTACCTGCCTATTTCCGGCCCTTTGTTGGGGTCTCTTCTGCTTTATCTGGCCTGAGAGAGGCTGGGATGTTTCTGATCCTGGGGCTCCTGGTGGATGGTGCGCAGTATTTCCAGGGATGGAGGGTGCTGTGGGCACTGGTGGGAAGCTTGAGTGTCTCCACCCAGGCTTTCTTGGTGCCTCCTCATCTATTCCTTCAAATTCTAGACCTTGAGCACCAGGGCCTGGGCCCCTGACCCCCTCCTGCCCTTCCAGCAGGGCCTGGTCCAGCTCCAGCAACTCCTCAGCTTGGGCCAGCTCAGCTGTGTTGGGGGCTCATGGCCCTGGTGAGGGGGAGTGGTGGAGGGAGCATCAGCCAGGGCAGGGGGCTGAGGCCCTTGGAACCTGTATTGCAGGGTCTGGCTGTAAATGAGGAATTCTACCTCCCTTTCCCTTTTTCTAGCCCATTAGCTTAAGGCCTCCTGTACTGAGAAGCCCAGGGAGCCCCTTGTCTTGGGCATAGGCCTCTGGGGGGCAAATAGAGATCCCTGGCTCAGGGAGTATAACTGGATACCTTGAACAAGGATATGGGGTCACTGGAAAGAGAGGACCGGCTGTCCCTCTCCGCTAAGAAATAATTAACTGTTAGATGAGGGGGAATTTCTGTTCAAGGGCTCTGTGGACTGTGCTGCTCTGGAGGGGGTGGGGAGAGAGAGCCCTGAGGTCTGAGCTGGGGTGTGGTTGGGAAGGAGCTGAGAGCTCAGAGCTGGAACTAGGCAAGGAGCTGCAGGGGTGAGGGTGGTGCAGGGTGGGATTTAGAGGATTTCCCCTGACTCCTGTGCTGATCCCCTTCACGTCCTCCACCCCCACCCTTGGTGTCCGTCAACATGCTGGGGTGACCTCATCTTCCCACTGTCCCTGGAGCTGTTCTACTCTTCCACGCTTGCCTTGGGGTTTTCAGAGCAGCATCTTTGTGAGTCCTGGAGAGCTAGGGACCAGGAGGGCAGGAGGAGGTGAAGACAACAGCACCAAGAGATCCTGGAAGAGAAAGGACCATGGTAGCTGAGGCAGGGAGCAGTCTGAGTTGCCTAGAAGACACCAAGAGTTCGCTCCCTCCAGGCCTTGGCTTTGCTTCAGCACCTGGTGCTGCATAGGCCCCACCCCTGCCCTGCTCTGCTGCCTCCACCTCCCTCTCAGCCTGGTCCCAGACAGAATCCAGACCAATTCCTGTTTCTGATGTGAAAAATGATCCTGCCAGTTTAGGCAGAGCTTGCTTTAGAGTACTGGTGCCCAGCCTTCCACAGGTCTTGTGTCTGTTTTTCTTGGCACTGGGTTTCTTCTCACTTATTCTTCTGAATTGGCAAGGCAGGAATTACATCACTAGTTTGCAGATGAGGAAACTGACTCGTATGGGCTCATTCAGCACTCACTCACTGGGCAAGTGTCTGTCAGGGCCAACTGTGGGCCAGATGTGCCCAGGGCTCTATAGCTAGCTGGTGGAAGGGCCTGGAGGGTTCATATTCAGGTCCACCTGACTTGAAAACTCATATTGACCTTACTTAAGTACTGATTCCCGATTTACAATCCATGCCACAAACTTTATTGTCATATCTAAAGAAGTTGCCACAGCAGCCTTTAGCAACCACCCTCCTGATCAGCCAATAGTCAACACTGAGGCAAGACCCTCCCCCAGCAAAAAGATTAGCAAAACCTCCACACCCTCTCTCAGGATGTTCCTGCACCTCACAGCTACAGCAGCAACCTGGTCTCCCTGAGGACACGACCCCCTCCAAAGTCCTCCCACATGGGGGAGTTTTCCCAGGGACTTGTACCCCTGGGTTCAGAGGTGAGGTGGGGTCCTTGCTCCTCACTGTGGTTCTCACACCTTTCTCCCTCCCTCCTCCCTAAACCCCTAAGCTGTCAGCAGATTAGGGCCCCATTCCCCATGTTGTAGCCATTCCCTTTGTGCCCCAAGCCATTCCTCTTAATCCTGACCCTTGTAGCTCCTGGTTCACTGTCACCCTCTCCAGCAGTGCGTCTCCTTGACTCTTGGTGACTTCAACATACGCAGATGTGGTGGGCTGAGTAATGGTCCCCAAAGATGTCCAGGCTTAATCGTTGGAACATGTGAATAGGTTGCATTGCATGGCAAAAGGGACATTAATCATGTAATGAAGATTAAGGACCTTAAAATAGGGAGAGTATCCTGGACTATCTGCGTGGGCCCAATCAAATCACATGAGCCATTAAAAGCAGAGAAACTGCCCTGGCTGGAGTCAGATTCTGCAGAAGAGGAAACAGAGGAGAAGCTGGAGAGAGGAGGTCAGATGTTCCAAGCAGGAGGACTGGATGTGCCTTAGGCGCCATGTGTGAGTACCTGAGAGAAAACTCTAGGAGCTAAGGGTGGCTCTTAACAAGGAAGTGGAAATCTCTGTTCTATCTGCAAGGAAGTGAATTCAGACAAGAACTTGAATGAGCTTGGAAGTGGATTCTTCCCCAGTCTCCAGGAAGGAATGCAGGCCTTCCCGTACATTGATCTTAGCCCCATGAGACTGTGTGGACTTGCAACCCACATGACTGTGACATGATAATTAGGTGCTGTTTAAAGCCACTTGGTTTGTGGTAATTTTTATGGCAGCAACAGACACCTATACAGCAGAGAAGATGCCCTTGCTCCCTGGACTCTCAGATCCTGTAACTCCTCTCCTCCATGACCTTCTCCTCTCTCTGCCTGAATCTCATGCCCTTGTCATCCCCTAGGCCTCATCACGGCCAAGAACCCCAGCCCTTCCATACTCTCAATCTCACACTTCCCACTCTCTGGCCATCTTTCCACTCATCCCCTTGCAAGGTGGCCACAGGCTCTGATGACACAGACACTATCATTTTATCATATGCTGTGATGTAATATCAATGAACCACTCATTTCCTATGTGCCTGCATTCCAGGCTTGGAGTCCACCCTGTGGTACATCAATTCCAACAATCCTTCCAGCCCACTGGGATTCCCAATTGAGTGATCCTGCCATCTACTCCCTGTCACTCACCCTTGGTGTCCTCTCCTCCCTCTTCTCCCATTTTGAATTCTACAGTAAATAATTTCAATCCCTCCCTTGCCTCTCCCTTGCATTGTCATACTCACCTGGCAAAACTACACAGCTGGTGGGTTCCACCTCTGTCTATGCTGCACCTGCCCCATGAGCTGCAGGAGGCTGGACAGCAGCACACAACATGCTGACTGGTCTCTTTAAGATTCCAAACCTCATGGGGAGCCCCTACCATTGACGTGGCCAGCAATCACCCTCTCCCTACGTGGTTCACCCTCAGCCTCCTCTTGGCCTGGGTGACTCCTAGACACCTTCTCTCTGTGCTCACACATCCAACCCTTCTTCCCCATTCTTACCTCAGCTGACAACCTTGCCTCCTACCTCACTGAGAAAACTGAACACATTAGAAGACAACTTCCCCGATTCCACCACTGTCTGCTCATGCATTTGCAGCTGCACCACATGTCAGGCATTTTACCACGGGAGGGATTGCTGGGGGTTAACAATTCTGCTCCCAGTCAGAGCCAGTCCCTCTTCTGGTGCCCCAAACATCATCCCTTCTCATCTACTTAAAGTTGTCAGTTCATCAACTAGTATCTTTTTTTATCTTTATCATCAACTTTTTCCCTCTCTCCCCACTGGATCATTGTGGCAGTCATGAGAATGCACATCCCAGCCCCTCAGCTACAGGAAGCAGAATCGATGATGACCCCAGCTCTTGAAGCTTGAAATCTATTGCCACATTTGCTCTGATCCCACACCTGCCCCCTGATCTTTTCCAGCCAATGATTGAGGAAAGCAGGGCAGAAACTAAGGCAGGAATATTTCTCCTCTGAAGGCTGACTGCAGCCCCAGGGCTCCCTGCCTCCTTTACTAAATTTCCCTTAGCCTGCACAGGGTCTAGGATGCTTCCAGCTGAACTTCCTGCCCTCTCTCCTTCACTGGGGCTCAGAGTTGCAGTGTGGTCTGATGGCTCTCCCAGTGTTTTCTGTCTCTCTCCTGAATTTCTCTCACAAGTATTTCCCTGAATAAATCCTTGCACATTTACTACCGTATTGGGCTCTGCTCCTCAGGGGACCCTAACTAACCCAAGCGGTATGAAGGGTGACCCATGAAAACAGGCAAAAATGGGAATTTGAAATAATCTTGCCCACTGCCTGGCAGGCCAAGAGGATGCCACCCGGGTTGGTGGGGGACACAGAAAGTCCATGGCATAAGGTGCAGCTGAGGTGCTGTGGTCTCCTCAGTGCTGAGCTGAGAAGATGCCCTGGTTAGGGGAAGCTATGGCAGGTGAGGTGATAGAATGCCCTACACAATAATGATGAGGTTGGGGGAAACCTACAAAGACAGAGGAGTTGGGTGGTTACTGCTTGGCTGCGTTGATACCCTATAAAAGGATCATGAGAATCTGCGGGTTGTTAACAGCTGTCACTGGCTACAGGTGACAGCCTCTGCAGTGTCTCATGGAGAGGCCTTTATCTCCTGTAGCGAAAGGGCAGATAGCGTGGAATGGCAGCTGAAGACATCATTACGAGGGCCACAGTGCTCCAGACATGTCTGACACTCAGCCAAAGCAGGCCTGTTACAGGAAAGTCAGGGTCCTGGTGGGGAAACCTGAGATTCTGGAAACTGGAACCAGGATATCCGATGGGTGCCCTCCAGGACCCTCTGGGAATGCAGAGGAGGCTCACCATTATCTAATAATGGTTCCCACTTCCTACGCTGGAAGATGCTGCAAAAGCCTCACCCCCGTGATTCTGCGGGAATCCTACTCAGCAGCTTTGCAGGAATTAGCCGCCATTTCCCCACAGGAGCCCAAGGAGCACTTCTGGGATTGGAATTTGAGGGCGTTTGATCAAGAAACCAGAATTTCAGGCTGGATGAATAAAAATCCTTTGGCTTGGAGGCACTTTCTCAAGGCATGGGTTTGTCAAACACCCCAGGACTTTGATAAGTGGAGCTAAACCCACCGCTGGGGTGAATCCATATAGATTGGAAAAAAAGATGCCCAACTCTCAACAAGGTAGACATGTCTTAGTTGCCCTGGAACATGTAAAGGAAGGAATAACGAGGCTGAGGGAAGTGGGCATGGTGAAGGCCCACCAGGGCCATGCTCCACAAGAGGGCCCAGAGGACACAACCTTCCACCAGAGCCTCAGGAACATGATGGTGAAAGGGACCTGCATCACTAAGTATAGGGGTGTTGTCCTCTGCAGGCTGCAGGTGATGGTAATAAAGATGGTCCCAGAGTTGCATTTATCCATATCCCTGGGGAGAGTGTGGCCCTGAAGAGACAGAGAAGAAGTGGTGGCAGTGACCTGAAAAAGCAGAGGGCATGGTTACTATGGCAACTTCAGAGTAGCAGCCAGGAGGACTCAAGTTGCAGGGAATGTGGGGAAGGTTAATAGAGGGTGGTGTCCCAGGGTTAGGACAGGCAGCCAACAAGGGCGCTGCTTGATATCTATGATAGGAATGAAAGAATTGAGGAGCAGGAGGGTGAAGGTGTTTGACCCAATACAAAGTCATGATCCCATCCTCAATGCCTAGACCTCAGCCAAGATTCAGATTCAGATCTCAGTGACAGAGGAGGAGTCCATATCCCTAGGAGGAAGACCCTGCAACCCTGTGGAAGTATATGCTGGCACAATTCCCTCAATCATTTGGCAAAGGAACCTATAGACATTTACTTGGGTGGTTGTACACTGGGGAAAGGAAACACGCAGAACTGGAGGGATTATTGACACTGGGTGTGAGCTGACATTGATGCCCAGATGCCCACAGCACTCATGTCTCCCATCACAGTGGGGCTTATGGAGGCCAGGGAGTAAACCTGGACAAATTATGGCCCACAATGGGACCACTGGGCCAACAGACCCAACGCTGGATATCTTTCAATTCCCTGAGTGCATGATTGACACTGCTGCACTGCTAAGTGGAGTCACCCCCACACTGGGTCCCTAGTCTGTGGAGTAAGGACTCTCATTGTGCTGAAAGCCAAACGGAAACCTCTGACACTGCCCTCATCCTGGCCAAATCAAAAACCATAGTGTGTCCCAGGGTGGGTCTTGTGGAAGACACTGAAAGTATTATGGGGTCGCACCAACATTAGAGAGCTGAAGGATGTGGGGTGGTGTTGGGGCTGTCTATTGTCTCTATGTAATCCAGCAACCTGTCCCTGAGGGAAACTGGTAAGGCCTAAAGAATGAATGAGATTACTCCAGGTCTGGCCAAGTAGGAGTTATAATTGCAGCTTTTATGTTGTCTGGTTATCACTGGTAGAGCAGGTTAATAAAGCCCCGGGCACACAGTGTGCCGCTGTGGATTTGGTGAGTGCATTCCTTTCCACTCCAATTAGAAAGTGGATATGGGCTGGGCGCAGTAGCTCATGCCTGTAATCCCAGCTTTGGGAGGCCGAGGCCGGTGGATTACCTGAGGTCAGGAGTTCTAGACCATCCTGGCCAACATGGCAAAACCCCGTCTCTATTAAAAATACAAAAATTAGCCAGGCATCATGTCAGGTGCCTGTAATCCCAGCTACTCGGGGGGCCAAGGCAGGAGAATCACTTGAACACAGAAGGCAGAGGTTGCAGTGAGCCGAGATCACGCCATTGCACTCCAGCCTAGGGGACAAGAGCAAGACTTTGTCAAAAAAGAAAGGAAGGAAGGAAGGAAGGAAGGAAGAGGATATGGAGTGATTCACATTCATGTGGAATCAACGACACATTTATTTATTGTTTGCCTCAGGGCTATTGTAACACCTGTGCCCTCTATAGTATAGGCTTAAGACTGTACTGGACATACTGCATATCCTTTAGGATATTAAATCAGCACATTTCATTGACAACTTCATGTTGACTGGAGTAGATGAGCAGCAGGAAGAAAGTGCACTGTAGTCCTTTGCAAAACACACGCACCCCACAAGGTGAAGATAAACCTTATACAGCTTCAAAGGTGGGCACTGAAGTGAAGTTTTATGGGTGAACAAGTGCCAAGTGTTTAGGGGAATGCAGGTGTGTCCCCTCCAAGGTAAAAGAAAAACTGTTGCATCTTGCATCCTCACCAGAAGCAAGGAAGCACACTGCTTGGTGAGCCTCTTTGAATTATAACAACACCACATTCCACATCTAGACATTTTGCTTTGGCCCACAGTCTAGGTGACATAGGAGGATGCCAGCTTCAAGTGGGGCCTACACAGGAAAGGACCCTGCAGCAGATCCAGGCCATGGTACAAGCAGCCACCATCCCTCAGACCCCTGGGGCTGGTGGTGCCAGTGGTGGGGAAAGACACAGGATGGAGCTGAACCAAGCACCAGTGGGAGAGTCACAGTGGAGGGCCTGGGATTCTGGAGTAAGATCATGTCATCCACAGCAGAGACACATGCCCCCTGTTAGAAGCAACTTTTAGTGTTCCTTGTCCTGATTCAATAGAATGTTTGACCACGGGATACCAAGCAACTACGGGGTTCCAAGTGCCTGTGTGACCCACAAAGTCATAGATGGTACAGGCCCAACAGCATTCATCATCAGGTGAAAACAGTCCACCTGGGTTGAGCTTGAATCCCTTGCTGACACCCACAGAAAACACCCAAGTCTGAAGTGGCACTGAACTACCAAACAGACAAATGGCAGTTAGCCAGCTTTCACCATGGGTCAGCCCAGGCCTGGTAGGATGAGTGCATGAATGGAGCAACCACAGTGGCAGGCATGAGGCTCCGTAAGGGGCCAGCAGCACTGACTTCCCCACACCAAGGCAGATCCAGCTGCTGCCACCTCTGAATGTCCAACTCATCAGCAATTGAGGCCCATGATGTGCCCTAGTGGGGCACTATTTCTTTACATGACTACCCACTAAGTAACAAGTTGACTACATTTAGCTACTTCCAACCTGGAAGGGCCAGAGTTTCATCTTCACAGGGTTAGGTACCGATTCTATGGGTGGGTTTTCCTGTCCTGCTCTCAGACACAGCCAGCACCACTCTCTGGGTGCTGTTGACATTCCTGGTCTGCAGGCTAGGCAGTGCTCCTAGCCCATTATCTGCCTGAAGGACCCACTTTGCAGGGAAAGTTTCAGTGTTTCCACGGCTGTGGGTTCCACTAATCCTATCACCATCTGCACTACCCAGGAGCTGCCAGCCACAAGGAAGGCTGGACAGGTCTTCTACAGGCACAACTCAGTGCCAGCCTGGAGGAAGCACTCTGAGGGGTGGGTGCCATCTTTCAGGACACAGTGCATTGTTTGAATCAGAGACGTCTCTAGAGTTCTGTGTTCTCAATAGGAAGAACATGTGTGTCCAGAAATCAAAAGGCGGAAGCAGGTTTGGCTCCATGTCCAATCTCTTAGATTCACTCAATGGGGTATTTCGCATATTTTATCTCCCAACACTGGGCTGTGCAGGATACGAGGTTCTGGTTTCCAAAGGAGTGTACCCCTAAAAGGAGACAAAAGACAGCCCACTGAACTACACATTACTTTAGTCACCAGAGAAGTTTGGACAGTGTGTGCCCAGATACCACTTGGTGAGAAGAAGATTCTCCTCCTCTCCAGGCCCAGGTAATAAATAGATCCTCATCCCCAGGAGAAGGCATGGCTGTTTCACACAAGGGTAGAAGTGTGTGTGGAAACCAGAGATCCACCTGGGAGCCTTCTGGTTTCCCTTGCCCCATTGTAAGTGTGAGCAGAATCATCCAGCAATTCAGCCTGAGAGG
This sequence comes from Homo sapiens, assembly GCF_000001405.40. Lineage (NCBI taxonomy): Eukaryota > Metazoa > Chordata > Mammalia > Primates > Hominidae > Homo > Homo sapiens. The sequence continues at coordinate 30,003,010 of NC_000006.12, forward strand.
ATTTGATTTCCAAGGGCCCAGACCCGTCAGGGCAGAAGGTTTGAGTCACACTTGTGGGCAATCTCCCAAGGCCCTGCTCTTGTGTTCTGACATCCTCAGTACATTGGTGCTGAGGCCCTCTTCCCATGGGCTGTTCCCAACGACTGATGGGTCATACCAGTGACACTAAGGCAGGACATTCCTAGGAGACAGGGGACTCCTCTGATGGCCAATTGTAGCTCGAGGACTCCTCTATGGCCTTGCTCAGTGAAGTCCTCAGATGATGCAGGCCTAGGCTGACAACTGGACTGCAACCTTGTGAGAGGCCCTGAGCCAGAAGCACTCAGGGAAACCTCTCCTGGATTTCTGATCATTGGAAACTGTGGGAGATGAGGAATATTTGTTGTTCTGAGCTGCTAAGTTTTACATAATTTGTTATGCATAGTAAATAACTAATACATTTTCACAAGACAGGATGCATTATTACATGTTAATTTGCATTTGCTCTAAATTTATCATCATCATTATTATTATTTTTGAGACAGGGTCTCACTCTGTCACCCAGGCTGGAGTGCAGTGGCATGATCACCATGCACTGCAGTGTCGACCTCCTGGGCTCAAGGGATCCTCTGACCTTAGCCTCCTGAGTAGCTGGGACTATAGTCATGAACCACCATGCCAGGCTAATTTTCTAGTTTTTTTGTAGAGATGAGAGTTTCACCATGTTGCCCAGGCTGATCTTGAACTTCTGGAGTCAACAAGTCTGCCTTCCTCTGCCTTCCATAGTGCTAGGATGGCAGGCGTGAGCCACCACCCCTGCCTAACTTAATTATAAGACATTAAACATGTAACTTAGTTTTAAAAGGAAAGGAGAAGTTCCATGGCTGAAGAGGATGTATTTTATTATCGTTCACAATGATCACTTTACTTGAACTTCAATTTCCAACTGTGTCCCAATTAAACACAAAAGGAAGATTCATCCCTTGCTAGAGTGATTCTATGATGGCCCCAACAACCACCTCCTGGTCATTCACCTTCCCCCAGTTATTCAACCAACTCTAATGTAGGTGCTGCTGTGAAGGAATTTAGCAGACATAATAAAGGGGCTCAATTAGTTGACTTCAGGCTGGGTTTATGCTGCTTGGACTGTCCTAATCAGGAGAGTCCTTGAAAGGACTGGGTTCTTCCTGAGCATAGAGATTCACAGTGTGAGAGGGATTCAGCATGAGGGGTTTCCTCCACTGTGGGCTTTGAAAATGAAGGGGCTGTGTAGGAAACAACACTGGTGGGCACCAGGAATTGAGTACAGCCCTCCCTGTTCTCTACATTGACAGCCAGCAAGGAACAGGGACCTCAGTCTTAAAACTGCAAGAAAGCACATTCTGCCACCTCTGTATAAGCCTAAAGGAGGATTCAAAATGAAGACTCAGATTTGGGAAGCCTGGAACAGAGATTCCATCTACATCATGCCCAGATTTCTGACTAAGGTACTATAAACAGATAAATGGGTGTTTTTTGGCCAGGCGTGGTGGTGCACTCCTGTAATCCTAACATTTGAGGAGCTGACACAGGAGGATCACTTGCAGCCAGGAGTGTGAGACCAGCCCAGGTAATACAGTGAGACACTCGTCTCTACACTTTTTTTTTTAATTAGCTGGGTGTGGTGGCACTTGTCTGCAGTCCTGTCTACTCTGAAGACTGAGGCAGGAGGATTCCTTGAGCCCAGGAGTTTGAGGCTGCAGTGAGCCATGATCATGTGACTGCACTTCACGCTGGATGACAGTTTTTAGAGACTCTGTCTCTAAAAACAAATAAATGAATACAATAAATAAAAACAAATAAATAAATACAATAAATGGGTGTTGTTTAAAGCCAATGTTTGTGATAATTTTTTACACAGTCTTATAAAATTCATACACAGGCTCAACAGACTAATGGAATGAACTGATGAATTGATATATACACTAGTTACATAAAATAAAATCTTTCTGAACTTTTTCAGTGTTTTGCATTTTATAATTATCTGTGATGCAATTTAATATACTCATATTTCATTCATTCAGTCAACAAAAATTAATTTAGTCCCTACAATGAACCAGGTATCCCCTCATATGCTCACGTGCCTGACATTCTAGAAGCTTCACAAGACCAAGGTGGAGCCACTGGAGTGTTTTAGGTGGAGAAATGACACACTTTGACTCACATTAGCAGGACCACTGTGGAGAGAACAGTCACGTAGCAGGTAACGGGAGAGTGCCAGTGTCACAATTCAGGAGTGACAGTGTGATGGGGACTAAGGGGAGAGGAGGGGCTGAGTGATAAGAGGGACGGAGGGAAGGGCTGGAGAAGCAGTAGGTGAGGAAAAGGAGTAGAGGGATAGAATTCAAAAGCAGCACAACTCTTAGGTTTGAACACTTTTTTTAATGGTATTTCAATAGATCCATCTACAGAGCCTCGCAGGGTGTTACTTGCAGTTGGCCTTTAATACCTTAAGTGGGTCTGCTTAAAAACTAATTGTTTTTATGTTAATCAGGTTTTAAAAATACTAAGTGTTCCTAAGAAATATACACACCACTTAGATGTGGATACTTCCTAAAAACAGGCAGTGCATGAGCACTGGTGATGGACATTGTGACTGCATCGAGCGCTTGCAACTTTGAGGTGAATGAAGTCTGTACTGACTCCTGGTTGCAACACATAGGAACACAGTGGCTACTTTGTATTGAGGAGATGTCCTGGACTCACAGAAACTCAGGGCTATGGAATAAAGGTAAATTTAAAACACCACAAGCGGGAGTCACAGATACCTTGTTTGCAAAAGTGAAACTTAGGAGCTTTGTGAGTCCTGTTGTAATGCTTTTAGACACTTTATATATCAAGGGGCCAAAGTCACATGTTTTTACCGATTAGATTCCTGATCATTCAGGGGTTACCAAGATTCTGCTACCCACTGTAGTTAATACACAAAAAGCAAACTGGTCTCTATACTATCTCATGCACCCAGGCACAACTTTTCCAGATTTAAAGAAAAAGAAAAAAGAAATAAAAGAAAAAAACCTCTGTCTCTACACCTCCATTCCCAGGGAGAGCTCCCTCTCTGGCACCAAGCTCCCTGGGGTGAGTTTTCTTTTTGAAGAGTCCAGGGGAACAGGTAAGCAGCGGGGAAGCAGGGAGTCCATTTCAGGGACAGGAATTCCCGGATGAAAAGTGAAAGGAGAGGGACGGGGCCCAAGCTGAGGGTTTCTTCCTGGTTTCTCGGACAGCTCCTGGACCAAGACTCAGGGAACATTGAGACAGAGCGTTTGTCACAGGAGGAGCGGGGTCAGGGCGAAGTCCCAGAGCCCCAGGCATGGCTCTCAGGGTCTCAGGCCCCGAAGGCGGTGCATGGGCTGGGGAGGTGCAGCATTGGGGATTCCCCATCTCCGCAGAGTTTCTCTTCTCCCTCTCCCAGCCTGCGACGGGTCCTTCTTCCTGGACACTCACGACGCGGACCCAGTTCTCACTCCCACTGAGTGTCGGGTTTCTAGGGAAGCCAATCAGCGTCGCGCGGCCCCGGTTCTAAAGTCCCCACGCACCCACCGGGACTCGGAGTCTCCCCAGACGCCGACGATGGGGTCATGGCGCCCCGAACCCTCCTCCTGCTGCTCTCGGGGACCCTGGCCCTGGCCGAGACCTGGGCGGGTGAGTGCGGGGTCAGGAGGGAAACGGCCTCTGCCGTGAGGAGCGAAAGGTCCACCTGGCTGGGGCGCAGGACCCGGGGAGCCGCGCCGGGAGGAGGGTCGGGCGGGTCTCAGCCCCTCCTCGCCCCCAGGCTCCCACTCCATGAGGTATTTCAGCACCGCCGTTTCCTGGCCGGGCCGCGGGGAGCCCAGCTTCATTGCCGTGGGCTACGTGGACGACACGCAGTTCGTGCGGGTCGACAGTGACGCCGTGAGTCTGAGGATGAAGACGCGGGCGCGGTGGGTGGAGCAGGAGGGGCCGGAGTATTGGGACCTACAGACACTGGGCGCCAAGGCCCAGGCACAGACTGACCGAGTGAACCTGCGGACCCTGCTCCGCTACTACAACCAGAGCGAGGCGGGTGAGTGACCCCGGCCCGGGGCGCAGATCACTTACTCCCCGCTCCATGCCTCACGGACGGCCCTGGTCCCCTGAGTCTCCGGGTCCAAGATCGACCCCGAGGCTGCGGGACCTGCAGAGATCCTCGACCCGGGAGAGCCCCAGGCGCCTTTACCTGGTTTCATCTTCAGTTGAGGCCAAAATCTCCGCAGGTTGCTAGGGGCCGGGCCAGGGCTCGGTGGGCGGGGCTGACCGCGGGAACTGGGCCAGGGTATCACATCCTCCAGGGAATGTTTGGCTGCGACCTGGGGCCCGACGGGCGTCTCCTCCGCGGGTATGAGCAGTATGCCTACGACGGCAAGGATTACATCGCCCTGAACGAGGACCTGCGCTCCTGGACCGCCGCGGATACCGCGGCTCAGATTACCCAGCGCAAGTATGAGGCGGCCAATGTGGCTGAGCAAAGGAGAGCCTACCTGGAGGGCACCTGCATGGAGTGGCTCCGCAGACACCTGGAGAACGGGAAGGAGACGCTGCAGCGCGCGGGTACCAGGGGCCATGGGGAGCCTGCTCGATCTCCTGTAGATCTCCCGGGCTGGCCTCGCACAAGGAGGGGAAGAAAATGGAACCACCACCAGAATATCGCCCTCCCTCCTGTCCTGACGGAGAGGAATCCTCCTGGGTTTCCAGATCCTGTATCAGAGATTGACTCTGAGGGCCCACCCTGCTCTTCCTGGGACAATTAAGGGATGAAGTCTCTGAGGGAGTGGAGGGGAAGACAATCCCTGGAAGACTGATCCGCGGTCCCCTTTCACCCCACAGCAACCTTGGGCACCAGGACTTTTCCTCCCGGGCCTTGTTCTCTGCCTCACACTCAATGTGTCGGAGTCTGACTCCAGCTCCTCTGAGTCCCTTGGCCTCCACTCAGATCAGGACCAGAAGTCCCTGCTACCCTGCTCAGAGACTAGAACTTTCCAAGGAATAGGAGATTATCCCAGGCGCCTGTGTCCAGGCTGGTGTCTGGGCTCTGTGCTCCCTTCCCCACCCCAGGTGTCCTATTCATCAGGATGGTCACATGGGCGCTGCTGGGGTGTCCCATGAGGAATGCAAAGTGCCTGAGTTTTCCGACTCTTCCTTTCAGACCCCCCCCAAGACACACGTGACCCACCCCCCTCTCTGAACATGAGGCATAACGAGGTCCTGGGTTCTGGGCTTCTACCCTGCGGAGATCACATTGACCTGGCAGCGGGATGGGGAGGACCAGACCCAGGACATGGAGCTCGTGGAGACCAGGCCCACAGGGGATGGAACCTTCCAGAAGTGGGCGGTTGTGGTAGTGCCTTCTGGAGAGGAACAGAGATACACATGCCATGTGCAGCACAAGGGGCTGCCCAAGCCCCTCATCCTGAGATGGGGTAAGGAGAGAGATGGGGGCGGCCATGTCTCTTAGGGAAAGCAGGAGCCCCTCTGGAGACCTTTAGCAGGGTCGGGGCTGGGTCCTGGAGGTCAGAACCCTCACATTCCCCTCCTTTCCCAGAGCCCTCTCCCCAGCCCACCATCCCCATTGTGGGTATCATTGCTGGCCTGGTTCTCCTTGGAGCTGTGGTCACTGGAGCTGTGGTCACTGCTGTGATGTGGAGGAAGAAGAGCTCAGGTGGGGAAGGGGTGAGGAGTCGGGTTTGAGTTTTCTTGTCCCACTGGGGGTTTCAAGCTCCAGGTAGAAATGTGTTCTGCCTGGTTACCGGGAAGCACCATCCACATTCATGGGCCTACCCAGCCTGGGCCCTGTGTGCCAGCACTTACTCTTTTGTAAGCACCTGTGACAATGAAGGACAGATTTCTCACCTTGATGATTGTAGTGATGGGGATCTGACCCCAGTAATCACAGGTCAGGGGAAGGTCCCTGCTGAGGACAGACCTTAGGAGGGCAGTTGGTCCAGGACCCACATCTGCTTTCCTTGTTTTTCCTGATCCTGCCCTTGGTTTGCAGTCACACATTTCTGGAAACTTCTCAAGGTTCCAAGACTAGGAGGTTCCTCTAGGACCTCATGGCCCTGCTACCTTCCTGGCCTCTCACAGGACGTTTTCTTCCCGCAGATAGAAAAGGAGGGAGCTACTCTCAGGCTGCAAGTAAGTATGAAGGAGGCTGATCCCTGAGATCCTTGGGATATTGTGGTTGGGAGCCCATGGGGGAGCTCACCCACCCCACAATTCCTCCTCTAGCCACATCTCCTGTGGGATCTGACCAGGTTCTGTTTTTGTTCTACCCCAGGCAGCCAAAGTGCCCAGGGCTCTGATGTGTCTCTCACGGCTTGTAAAGGTGAGACCCTGGGGAGGCTGATGTGTGTGGGTTGTTGGGGTAACAGTGGATATAGCTGTGCTATGGGGTTTCTTTGACTTGGATGTATTCAGCACATGATGGGCTGTTGAAGGTGTGACCCCTCACTGTGAGTGATATGAATTTGTTCATGAATATTTTTTCTATAGTGTGAGACAGCTGCCTTGTGTGGGACTGAGAGGCAAGATTTGTTCATGCCTTCCCTTTGTGACTTCAAGAACCCTGACTTCTCTTTCTGCAAAGGCATCTGAATGTGTCTGTGTCCCTATAGGCATAATGTGAGGTGGTGGGGAGACCAGCCCACACCCGTGTCCACCATGACCCTGTTCCCCACACTGACCTACATTCCTTCCCCGATCACCTTTCCTGTTCCAGAGAAGTGGTGCTGGGATGTCTCCATCTCTGTCTCAACTTCATGGTGCACTGAGCTGTAACTTCTTACTTCCCTATTAAAATTAGAATCTGAGTATAAATTTACTTTTTTCAAATTATTTCCATGACGGGTTGATGGGTTAATTAAAGGAGAAGATTCCTAAAATTTGAGAGACAAAATAAATGGAAGACATGAGAACCTTCCAGAGTCCACGTGTTTCTTGTGCTGATTTGTTGCAGGGGAGGAGAGTAGATGGGGCTGTGCCCAGTGTGTGCTCAGGCCACCATGGGCTTTATGTGGTCACAGCTCACCTGGGTCATCTTTGCTGCTCCACTGTCCTTGGCCCTTCAGTAGAACCTTGTCCCACCAGGACCTGTGATCACAGGGACTTGGATGTCACCTAGGGTGGTCCCTACACATCGAAGTCCTTCCGGTATGAAGAGACAAATTTTCAGTCCCCTGTATCTTTTGCCCTCCTTCCAGGTCTCTTTCCTGGATTGTATTTTCCATCTTTTTCCCCAGCCTTCTTAAAGGAAGCAGATTCTGAAATTTGCAGAGAGGAGGGGTCCCATAGTTTCTCATCGTAGGTAACTTTCTGTTGGAACTCCTCTTCTGCTTTCCTACTCTTCTTCCTGCCTGAGTTGTAGTAATCCCAGTGCTGGCTCCAATCCAAACTCATGCATTTATAAAGCAGAGTCTGATTTAGATTTATATGGGGTTGGAAAATTGGACCCACAAGGCTAGGATTATCTTTCCTGAACAGAAAAATATGGCTGTGCGCTGCAGTGTGCAGGAGGGTTGGTGTGGGAGGAGGTGGGAAGGACACACAAGCAGCCCTGGTGAGAAAAGCACTGGCAGCACTGATGTTGGTGTGAGATGATGTTGTTCTTTAGCTACGTTAATAAAGATATTGCCTTTAGAATACAGAGGTGCTCTACAGTGATCATTCATTCAACTGACATTTGTTGTCTGCTAGGTATATGACTGTTTTTGCATTTAGAAAACATCATTAAAGTAAAAACAGAAAAATTTCTGGCCTTGTGGTGTATACGTTCTAGATGCAAGCTTGTCCAACCTGCAGCTCTCGGGCTGCGTGTGGCCCGGGACAGCTTTGAATGTAAGAAGTTTTTTTGCTTATCTGTGGTAGCAAATATCATGAAAATTATGCACGCACATGTTTTTCTTTTTTCTATTCTTTCTGCTCATCAGCTGTCATTAGTGTATTTTATGTGTGGCTCAAGACAATGCTTATTCTTCCCAACTGGCCCAGGGAAGCCAAAAAATTGGACACCTCTGTAGGCAGATGATAGATATAGTATAAGCAGAGTAGGAACAGAAAATGCTTGAGTTAGAAGGTGGCAAGTGCTGTGTGGCAGGTGATCCAGAGGGTGGGCTGTGGGGACAGGAAGGTGGCTGTTGTGCTGGGTGGTCAGCATGGGCCTTGTTGCAAATGTGACCTTGGAGTAAAGATTTGAGGGATGTGAGGAGTTGTCTACAAGGATGTCTGGGAAAGTTCTTTTCAGGCAGGGGAACCTTCAGTGCAGATGCACTAGGGCAGGAAATTGTCTGTGTTCCTGGAAGGAGGAAGAGGCCAGAAGGGCTGGACACAGAGAAACTGAAGTGAGGTCAAAGGTGTGGCTAGAGCAGGTAGCCCTGAAGGGTGTGGGAAGGGTGTTGACCTTTGCTCTGAATGACATGGGGAGGACAGTTTTGAAAAGTGGGACATGGTAGGGCTCATCCTTTGAAAGCTTCTTTCTGGCTGCTGTGCTGAGAACAGAATTGAGAGGTGGGGAACCAGTGATGCAGTGGGGAAAATGGTGGGAAAGGAGTACAGTATTCTAGGATGGACACGTTGCTTACCTTGACTAGGGTGTGAGCAGGGGAAATAGTGAGAAGTGAAGGGATTCTGGATGAATTTGAAGATGGACTCACAGCACTTGCTAATGGATGTGAGAAGAAGAATCAAGGACACCCACAGTATTGGACTGAGTGAGCAGAAGGGTGGAGCTGCTGTCAGTGGAGATAGGGAGACTCTGGCAGGAGTACACAGAGGAGAGGGCATCGCAGGCATTCAATGGAGGAGACATCTATGAGGAATGCAGGTGAGGGGCCCAGATGCCTCTGCAGCTACAGATTCATCATCCAATCACTCTCCTACTCCCACCACCCCTGTGTCTCAGAGCCAGAGCACTGATTCTCCCCTGGGCTGTGGGCACAGGTAGGTGAAAGTCAGGGAAGTTGTGGTCTGCTATTGGTTATAATAAGTCACAGATCATTATGCTTTCTCAGATAATTAAAGAAATAATAAGAGAATGTGTAATTAGGACACTTAGAAGACTACAATAATGCAAAGGTTTTTATTCATCTAAAGAAGGTAACATAAGAAAAATAGTTGAGCAAGAAAGAGATAATATTAGAAGGCAGCAAATGACAATGGACAGACTTAAACCCAATGAGGTCAATAATTACATTAAACATAATGGACTCAGACACTCCAATTACAAGACAAATAGTGCAGGGGGGTAAAAATAAATAACTAAATAAATAATCATGGGCTGTTTACAAAAGACATAATTTCAGTAGAAGGTAAAGAAAAGTTGAAAGTAAAAGGATAGAGAATACCAGACAAACATTCATGAAAGACCACATGGAGACGCCATTTAGAAAAATTACAGGATATGAGTCTCCTGAGACATAGAGTACACGTAGACAGCTCACAAGGTCTTTTTCCCTTTTTTCAGAGACAGGGTCTGTTGCCCAGGTTGAAATGCAATGGTGATATCATACCTTACTGTAACCTCAAACTCCTGGGCTGGAGCAATTCTCCTGCCTCAGCCTTCCGAGTAGCTAGGACCACAAGCCTGTGCCGCCACACCTGGCTATAATGTCTCATTTTCTCATTTGCTGTGGTGTGAACAAGGAAACAATACCATGCCATGTATTTGACTTGCAGCAGGCACACAACAAATGTCAGGTGAATTAAGAAATAAAACCACTTAGTAATCCAAGCCATATCCACATTTACATCTTACAGATGAGGAGCAACATCCCAGACAAGTAAAGTAAAATAAATTGATTTACATCATCCAGAGCAGAATCGAGAACACATTCCCTGTGCTAAAGGAATCAGAGCTCTACTAAGGGTCATAGCAGATATCATGCAAGTCACATATGTTAATTACTAGAACAGGAATTGATACATTTCAAGATATACTAAACAAAGGGTTTGGAAGGATTAACTGAATGCAGAAATAGAGGAAGAAAATGGATTTGTTTAAAAGATGGTTAGAATCTTTAAAGAAACAACATTTTTTTAAAGTGGCCTTATGTGGACCAAAGCAGAGATGAACTCAAGTGTCAGGTGGGAAAATGCCTAAGTGCAGCTTCTAGACCCAAGGGAGACCTAAAAATCCTGGGACATTTTCGGTTGTCACATGGGGATTGGTGGGAGGGGGTGAGTGGGGTGTTGCTGGCAAACCTCCCACAATGCACAGGACAGACCACTCCACAAGATTCTCTGTCCCAAATTGTTAATAGTGCTGCTGTTGAGAAACCCGCCCCAGAGGTAAATGCTGTAATGTCCTCACCATTTCACAGATTAAGAAACTGAGGCACCAGGGGGAGAAGTGTCAGTAAGACCTGAGCTGCAGGTTGAATCCAGGCCACTTGGCTACAGGGTCTTGGCTCCCCTGGTTAAGTCAGGGACCCAGTAGCCGACCACAAACAATCCCAGCTGCACGGTGCCTTCATGGTCTGTGGCGCCCCCTGGTGTTGACACTGGGCCTGTGGCCAAATGAGGCTTGAGGGAAAAGGAAAAAACAGGTTTGGGTAGGGGGATACTCTTTCAGGCTCTCCAGATTTCCAGCCACGACTTACGCTCAGAAAAAATAACGTCCACCTTAATTATCTCTCCAACCCTGTTTTTCCCTGTCCCGGCTAGTTCCCTCCCTTGACTCCATCAACATCGGCACCTGCCAGACGCCCACCACCCACCATGTAAGGAGTGAAAAGGCCCCAGGACTAAATGACAAGACGAGGTTCCACCCCAGCCATCCCTCCCCTCCTAGAGCTCTAGCTCTGTGCCTTTAGTGCTTAGGCTCTTAACCTGGGGTCCAGGAACCCACTTTCCTATGACACTGCGTGAAGAAGTGATGTTACACGCACACATGACTTCACTACAGGACATTGGATATTAATATTCATCAGATCAGCTAGAGGCCCAAGATACCACTCTTCTCCCAACAGTTTGTGATCCTCTGAATTAAAGAAAGGGTAGGGATTGAGGGAGGCCCTAACTCCAAATCTTCTACCACTTCTAGCGAAGTGCTGAGAAGAAGTGCAAGGTACTCAACCTGCTCTGGGGATACAGCAGGAAAGCAGAGTGTTTACGGATTTCACATTCCATCAAAGAAAATCCATTTTGACAAAATATCCAAGTCACTTTTCTAAGCCCCAGGCAGCAGTTCAAACAAATAACATCAAAAAAAACCAAAATCTTGGCCCAGGTGAAATCATTGAAGCTATAAAACTTTGTGAGACCTGTAGTTAGAGAGAAGGACAATTCAGTTTAGGGCTGCAGCAGAAAATTCCTATATCATATTGTGTTCTTCTTCATCATGAAGGTCCCCTGAAGGGACCTTCTCCCTTCAGCAGTGCATAGTGAGGCCATTTCCGTGCAAAAAGATAGAATCTCCTGGGATTCCTGATGTTTACACTTACTACTCACTCCTTCACTTTGTAGATGCCAACTTCACATTAGACATCTTTCAGTTAATTTCCTTACTCTGTCTAAGCAGAATATTTAAACTTCTTTCTGAAGCAGAAAACCAGGGACTGGTTATGTGAGCTATCACCCCACTCTGTGGCTCTCTTAAGCAATAAGCATAAGAGATTGTGGGCCAACAGAATTTGTAGCAAGGTAAACATAACCCTTCATTTCAGCCTATGTTTCAGCTTGTCTAGTGATGTTCCAGTCTTGCTCCAGTCTTAACATTTTAAAATTTATAATTTTACTTGAATATGATTTTATAAGAAGTCATATATATTCATTTCTGTTGAGTCTGTCAGTGAAAGCCTTCTCAAAACAACTGTGAAGTAAAGACAGGTAAATAAATGCATGGTGCTCCCATGTATTAATGCTCACTGCATCTTACAAATGTGTCAGCCCCACTGCAACAGATGGTGCATCAACAAATGGTGCTGGAAACCTGGATATCAACATGCAAAAGAATGATGCTGGAAAAAATTCATGTCCTTCCATTACACCCTTTTCAAAAATTAAGTCAGAATGACTCAAAGAACTAATCTTAAGAATTGAACCTGTAAAACCCTCAAGAAAATACTGAGGAAAATCTTATGGACATTAGAATTGGTAGTGGTTTCTTGGCTGGTGACCAATAGTACAAGTAATATAAGAAAAATGACAAATTAGAATGCATCAAAATTTAAAAACTTTTTTGCATCAAAGGACACTATTAAGAGAATCAAAAGAAAATGCACAGACCAGGAGGAAATATTTGCCAATCACATATCTGATAAAGAATTAATATCCAGAATATGTAAAGAACTACAATTCAACAATAGCAAAACAATCTCATTCAAAAATAAGTAAAAGACATGAATAGACAATTCTCCAAAGAAGATATACAATAAGGACATAAAAATAAGGAATGCTGGTCAGGCATGGTGGCTCATGCCTGTAATCCCAGTACTTTGGGAGGCCGAGGTGGGCGGATCACGAGGTCAAGAGATCAAGACCATCCCGGCCAACATGGTGAAACCCCGTCTGTACCAAAAAAATACAAATATTAGTTGGGCATGGTGGCAGGTACCTGTAGTCCCAGCTACTCAGGAGGCTGAGGTAGGAGAATCACTTGAACCTGGGAAGTGGAGGTTACAGCGAGCCGAGATTGTGCCACTGCACTCCAGCCTGGCAACAGAGCAAGACTCTGTTTCACAAAAAAAAAAAAAAAAGGAATGCCAATAAGGACATAAAAATATGGTAAACTTCACTAGGCCAAGTGTTGGTGAAGATATGGAGAAACTGGAACACTTGTACACTGCTGGTGAGAGTATACAGTGGTGCAGCCACCATGGAAAACAGAATAGTGATTCCTCAAGAAAGTAAAAATAGAATTACTATATGAGCCAACAATTCCACTTTTGGGCATACCCAAAAGCACTGAAAGCAGGAACTCACCCAGATATGTGTACACTCAGGCCCATAGCAGCACTATACCCAATATCCAAAAGGTGGAAGCAACCGAGTGTCCATCAGAGGATGACTGGATAAACAACCCACGGTGCACATAAGCATGGAATATTATTCAGCCTTAAAAGTGAATGAAATTCTAATTGGATGAGCCTTGAAAACACTATAAGTGAAATAAGCCAGAAATAAAAACAAATATGATATTTTACTTATATAAAGTAGCTAGAATAAGCAAATTCATAGAAACAGAAAATAGAATAGAGATTACCAGGGGCTGGGGGTAGGGAGAATGGGCAGTTATGGTTTAATGGGTACAGTTTCTGTTTGGGATGATGAAAATGTTCTGGAAATGGATATTGGCGGTGGTTACACAACATTGTAAATGTGCTTACTGCCACCAAATTGTACACTGAAAAAATGGTTAGAAGGTAAATTATATAGTATGCATGTTTTACCACAATTTACAAAAAATATATCAACACTAAATCCAATCACAGCTCTCATCGAGTTTTTTTATACTGGTGTTTCAACAAGCACATTGCCGCTGTGGAGGGGAGGGGTCCTTGGAGTTCTTATGCCACCATGTTCTTTGGTGTCACTTCTCAGCACAACTTTGGTGGTCAGAGCACAACTTGGTTTTATACATTTTAAGGGGACATGAGACAGTGATCAACATATGTAAGCTAAAGATTGATTCCGTCTGGAAAGGCGGGACAACTCGAAGCAAGGAGGGGGCTTCCAGGTCACAGATAGATGAGAGACAAATGGTTGCATTCTTTTGAGTTTCCGATTAGCCTTTCCAAATGAGGGAATCAGACATGTGTTTATCTCAGTGAGCAGAGGGGCGACTCTGAACAGATGGGAGGCAGGTTTACCCTAAGCAGTTCCCAGCTTGACTTTTCCCTTTAGCTTAGTAATTTTGGGGCCCCAAGATTTTATTTTCCTTTTACAGAACCATCAATACTTACAGAAAAAAAAAAACCCTGAATGTACACAAACCTCTATACCAAACTACCAATTTACAGAAAATACAGGTAATAGAAATACATTAAACCACACCTTGGCGTGCAATCCACAAAATGCAAACAATAGGAAACCTTACCATACAATATAAATTTCAAGGAGAAACCTATGGAACAAATGAGAACAAAAAACATATTTTTAAAGGTAAAACTAAACTATAATTTTGGATGATGAAAATATAAAGTCCAGCATAGGGAAGCAGTTCCTTTAGAATTTTAGTCACAATTAATGGAAGGGTACTGAAACCTGCTATTTCCCAGTTGAATAACAGGTCCTGGGGATATAGAAGGTCTTGCCACAAGTTGAATCCATAACTGCTGCTTTCCTGGTACCAGGGAGAACAGGTTTCCTATCAAGGACTGGGTAGGAGTGTTTGCCAGGCCTGTATCAGCTATTGCCCAAGTTTCCACTTTACAAAAGTGCCATGCATACATGCAACAACATAGTGCCTTCTCCATGCATCCCTTAAGAGATGAACTGCATGCTATCTTAGGGCCAGTACATTATGAGTCCAGTGCTGCCCCTATTGTGGAGCCCTCACAGGAGATGTCTCCAATGGTACATGAAGGCATGGCCCTCATTCCTGATAATGCTTGGTACTTAGATGCATTGAGCCAAGGTAACCCTGTGTATGGACAGTAGTAGCTGCACAACCACAGACAGTATCTGGTTTGAGATGGGAATGCAACAGAGCAGTCAATGGGCAGAACTCCAAGCTACATGGTTGGTTTGTACCCGTGAGCCACCACCTATAGTTCTCTGTACAGACAGTCTGGCAGTACTTAAGGGTCTTACAATTTGGCTTGCCCAAAGGGCCTGAGATGATTGGTATATAATTTAAAAATCCTTATGGGGAGCTGATATGTGGAAAGACATTTGGAAAAGTCTACAGGAACCCACTGTGGACCTAATTGCTTCAGCACACTGGTCAGATTCACCTCCCAGAAACATGGAGGCAGACATCCTAGCAAAAATTAGAATACTGAGCTAGTTGATTAGGTACATATCACAGTGGGGATTTCAGTGCATGAATGGGCTGCCAAATAGCAAAGGGAGCAGGATTGGCTCTCTGCTATGCAGATTTAGTGGTGGCGGTAGCAAACTGCTTAATTTGTTCCCGTCTGTACCTCTGCCACATCCCACATACACCTGGACATATACATAAGACAGCCACCCCTGTGACAGACTGGTAGATAGACTACATCAGACCCTTGCCAGTAATCTTGAGACGAAAGTATGCACTAACATGTGTATACACTGCCATGGGATTGTTGCAAGCTTTCCCTTGTAAGAGCAAACCAAACAGCCACCATCAGGGGCTTGGAGCAACTCAGTGTCATGTAAGGATACCCTCCACATATTGATAGCAATCGAGGCATGCATTTCACCAGACACGGTGTCCAAGACTGGATGCATGAAAGGGACATAGACTGGGTATTTCACTTACTGTATACTCCCCCAAGCAACAGGGTTGATTGAAAGGAAAAATGGTATTTTGAAGGCACAGTTTTGAGCACTCTCAAAATCCAATATCTTTCATAGTTAGACAAAGATTTTGCCTCAAGCCATTAGAAACCTTAATTTAGTTGAGACAAATATGGTGCTGGCACCACACCAATGACTCAGGACCACCACAGAGATGGATCCATTAACCATAATAGTAAAGAAAGTCCAACCAGATGCATCTCTGACCTGAGCAGATAAAAGGCCAATGGCAAAGGTTATTTAGAACTCCTCAAGATCTTGAGCCAGGGAGGAGACACTTGAATGGGGGTTGGACTAGCAACTTCCCCTATGTTGGATAGAGCATTTCTTTCCAGACAGCAAGGAATTCCCTACCAACTAAAGTGGTCTCCATTGATCCTGCTGAAGTCTGGGCCAAAACACTCCACATACCAATAAACTGGAACACAGTCCCTTTTAAGAAGCACCCTGGCTGGCCATTTGACATGGTCCTTTGCTGCCCCTGTAACCTTACACATAATACCAGCGCCTTTGCCCCTCAGGCAACATGTTTGGTGTGTACTCCCAGCCCACAATCCTATGTTCCTAATCAACAGAGATGGAGCTACCAGTAATTCTGTTTAATGGGGAAGAACTGCCCCACCAAATACCTACTAAACATTTTTAATTCCACCCATAGTCTTCTGTTCCTATTGTTGTTCTGCTCTATACCTCTTGGTTTGGTTCCTGAATAAACATGGTAAAGGGCATTTTTAATTCTGTGTCTTACACCTGGCATACATATCATCGCCTGTTGTTTGTGTTGTTGCTGTGGCCCCTGCTTAACAAGTAGAAAACAAATTGATAAAATGTGTCACTCACACCATCAAAATGTCACCCACAGCCCTCTCTGAAGGCTCAGGGACTATGGGGGAAATGTGAGTCCATGAGATTGTAAGAGCTGGATTAGAGGGCTGGGATGTGGAGAGAAAAGTGACTCCCTCTTGGATGCTAATTCTCTATGCTGACTTCTGATTAGCCCCAGTCCCAGGACTGACTCCTGATTCCCACTTTATTTACCATCCCTATTGTAAGAACATGTCAACCTTGATGTTATACAAATTCTAGGCTATGACACATTAGCATTCTTACCTGTTCTGGACAGTAGTAGCCTTTGTCTTGCACAGAGCATGTATACTCTTCCCCTGTGGTATATAAGCCCTGGGTGTGGGGGTAATAAGTGCAGAAACCTACCTGTCTTCCTGCCATCCAAGACCACGCTTCTGTCTGTAAGTTCCCCAATAAAACACTCTTTACTGACAACTAGATTTGTCTGTCTTGTTCCTTGGTTTATTGGCTCCTTTGGCATTTGGGGGGCACTTTGCATAGATGGCCCTTTCATGGAACAGAGGGTCTGTGTGGGGCTGGGAGCCCAAGTCAGCACTTGCAGTCAGAGCCTAGAACATGTGCTGAGGAGACAGAGCTAGACCTGTTAGCAGAGACAGACCTGTTAGCGGAGTGGATAGCTGGGCCAGCAGGTCTGAAGTAACGCTATGGAAGAGCAGGCCAGTAACAGCTGAAGAGCTTCAGAAACTCCCACTTCTAACAAGGTCACTTCCTCTAAGAGGGACTACTGTTGTATCATAGTACACAGCTGTCTCTGCCTGGCTGTCCTAGTAAATATGCAGCATTTGGGGGCATCCACACTACTGGAACAGTAGCCATGAGAAGAGTCCATTGTGCCAGCTTAATTGCACCCAACTGTACAATGAGAACATGGGGATCAGTGTGTTCTGCTACTTCTCTGCTTAGCATTCCTGATATACCTGCTTTACATAGGCACCATGTGGCACCGTGGTGTGTGCCTGTGCCACTTTGAATCACATTTGGGTATCTATTGGAAGGCTTCTTCGGGACTGTTGTGACACCAACTACACTATGGACTGATCCCTGTCAGAAGGTAACAAAGGGGCAAGGGACAGCATTTCCAGTCTAAGCCCTGGAATGTGCGTGGCATCAAACTGTTTTGCATTTGTGAGCAGGAATACAACTGCTGGACAACAGATATTCCATCAGCCAACAGAAACTGTGACTGGCTTTAAAGAAAATGGGCTTCCCTTGGTCTTGGGAACACAAGACTCAGCAGTATAGAAACAGAAATGGTTGCAGGTGGAGGAAGCACTTTCGCCGGAGTCAGGAAAGCATGAATAACACAAAATCTTCAGCTTTTCCTCCCTTCTCTCTCCTGAGCTTTCTGCACCTCTGCTGTAGCAGTGATGGCAGCAGTGTGGAGAACACAGCCTCAGGGAACAACCAAGGTCCAGGATCACTAGCAAAGGTTATGAGAAACTATGACTTCCTTTAGAAAAAAAAAAAAGGGAAATGAGAGTGCCCAAGGTCTTAGGAGAGGGCTGGTGCAGGCCTGGGGCGTAGTAAATTCTTTAGCTTGTCTAGATTCACCATGCCAAGTGGGGAGGTTGCTTGGGTCAGACTATATTAAAGGACAGCATCTCCACCCTCCCCTAGAGGTCTCAGAATGTCCACTGACTGTGGCTTTAGTGGTCCTTGAACAGAAATTTGGTAACATGAAGAGTAGCAGATGCTGGCATGGTAAGATTACAAATGTGTATCAGAAGAATTATTTTGTGGGTAACAGAAAAAACAACATATAAAGAAACAAGTTAATACCATGAGAATGTCATTAGCCAAACTCAGAATGTGGATCATTCTACAGGACAAGTAACCTGGCTTTTTTGGGGAAACAGAAGCATAGGAGAGCCAGGGTGACACCATTTTAAAGTCAACTCCATCTTTCAACTAGCAAGGCATATTCCTTGCCAGTCACAACCCATGGTCATAAGAGGTTTACAGCTGATTAAACAACTTAATAATGCCTGCAAGAACAAACGCCTATGACAGACAACAGAATGTCCACATGTCCTGACGTCACATTATAATATATGCTTTTAAGATTATTATAGTCATGCTTTGATATACTAACTAAAATGCCAAGGATAACTTTCTTTAAATCAATAGGTCCTAAATTTTGTCATGCTGTCAGAGCACCCACACATAGACATTTAACTTAGCTTTTATGTAGATTAAACCCCTACATTAGAAGAGTTTACAACAAAGATGGTGCATTCTTCCTTTTGCTTTCTGAGGACACCTACTCTGTATCTGAGTAACTTTCAATAAACTATCTCCTTCTCACTGCACTCTGTGACTCACCTTTAATTCCTTCCTGTGCAAGATCCAAGAATACTCTTTTGGGGTCGGGATCGGGACCTGTTTTTCTGGTAACAGTTTCTCCAACAAATCAAAGCCTTGAGAAAAAAAAAATAGGTAGGGTGGGTGGTATGGTATAGAAGAACAGAGAATAATGAGACATAAGAAGCAATTGCAATGTGTGGACCTTCTCTAGCTTCTGTTTCAGACAGACCAATTGAAAAAGACAAGACAGATATTTGAATATGCATTGAGTGTTTAGCAAAATTAGAGAACTGTTGTTAATTTTGTTAGTGTGAGAATAGCATGGCTTTATGTTTTTTAAAAACCCTATTCTGTGAAAGATGCATGCTGAACTATTTAACTGTGAAATTGTATGTAAAGGATTTGCTTTTACAATCCTCCAGAGATGAGTTTATAATGATATAAATGATGTGATAAATAAATCAATGGAGGAGAGGAGGCAAAATCTCTCCTGCAGAAGAACTCCAAATAAGGTAGGTAGATACTTTGTCCTTAAAGGAACAGCATTAACTCCCTCTTCTGGAAGTGTGAATTCTTGATATCATGTAATGAAAATGGTACCTCACTTGTGGCTTTCCTCCCCCCGAATCCATAACCTCTACTTATTATGAAAAAAAAAAAAAAACAAAAAAAAAACACCGAATTCCAATAGAGGAACATTCTATAAAATACCTAACTAGTATTCCTCAATAACGTCTAGGTCATCAAAAACAAGGAAAATCTGAGGAATTGTCACAGCCAAGAGGAGCCTAAGGAGGCATGACAACCCCATGTAATAGGGTATCTTGAATGGGACCTTGGAGTAGAAAAATATTATTAGGTAAAACTCAAGGACACCTGAGTAATGTATGACTTTTGGTTAAAAATAATGCATCAATATTGGTTCAATAATTGTAAGAAATGAACCATACTAATGTTAGATGTTAATAACAGGAGAAACAACTTCTCAATTTTCCTGTAGTTAAAACTGTTCTAGAACTGAAGTCTATTTTTTAAAATTCTCCTGGAAAAAAGTGGAAACATATGAAATATGATGGACAAATGTTAGTAATTATTGAATGTGATGATGGATAATGAGAATTCATTATATAATTCTGTTTTTGTGTATTTGAAGTTTTCTATAATGGAAAGTTTGAGGCTGGGCACAGTGGCTCAAACCTATAATCCCAGCACTTTGGGAGGCCAAGAGTTCAAGACCAGCCTGGGCAATGTAGTGAGACCCCATCTCTACCAAAAAACAGAAAAATTAGCCAGGTGTGGTGGGCTTGCACCTGTAGTCCTAGCTACTCAGGAGGCTGAGGTGAGAGGATCACTTGAGCCCAGAAGGCCAAGGCTGCAGTGAGCCATGATGTCATTGTACTCCAGTCTAGGTGACAGAGAGAAACCTTGTCTCCAAAAATAAAAAATAAAAAAAGTTTGAACAAGAAATAAAGAAATATGGAGATAAGGATAAGAAGAAGCTATTTAAAGCACTAGAGTAGCTGCTTTTTTAAATTATGGTTAAAAAAATATATAATAAAATTTACCATTTTGCCATTTTTAAGTGTATAGTTCTATGACATTAAGTATATTCATGCTGTGTAACCATCACCACCCTCCATCTCCAGAACTTTTTCATCTTCCCAAACTAAATGCTAGGTCTATTAAGCAACATCTCCTCACTCTCTCCTCCTCCCCAGCCCCTGATAACCTCCATTCTACATTCTGTCTATGAATCTTACTAAACTAGGTGAATCATGTAAGTGGATTCATACAATATTTTTCCTTTTCAGTCTGATTTATTTAATCTAGCTTCATGTCTTCAAGGTTCATACATAATACAGGAAAATAATTTCCTTCCTTCTTCTGAAAAATATTCCACTGTATGGATCTACCATACTTTGTTCATCCATCGATGGATGTATACTCTGTTGCTTCTACCTTTTGGCAGTTGTGAATAATGTTGTTATAAACATGATGTACAAATATCTGCTTGGTCTCTGCTTTAACTTCTTTTGGGTCTGTACCCAGAAGAGGAATTGCTGGATCATATGTCAATTCTATGTTTAATTTTTTGAAGAACAAAAAGTGGCCGCTTCTACAAAACAGAAATTTTCAGATTAGGAGATGTGGGACAGGGAAAAATTCCTGTCTCTGAAAAGTTAAGAGTTTTCACTATAAGCTTTGTAGAACCATTTTTAAATAATATATGATAAAAATGAAGTAAAGTATGCAATAAAACTCATCTTGTGCTAAGTACTGGAGATACATGGAGGGAGCCCTCAGTCCTCTGGGGGAAGAACCTGGTTATAGAACAGTGTGATCACAGGTGCAACACAGAGAAGACTCCAGGGGCAAGCACAGAAAATAGCCATCAAGGGAGATTCTTTGCACGCCATGCAGAAGTGCCCTACAGGAGGTGACGTGGGAGTGAAGGAGGAAAATATGACATTCTGAGTTGGAGAATTGGAAGATTAAACTTGGAATGATGTCAGCACTGAGATTCTGGGATCATATTGTACAACTGGCCCCATCTCAGCACTAACACTGTGAAATCTTACCTTTCTTATGTCTTCAAATTGTGGCCCTATATTTAGCTTCTATATCTTTCTTTGACTAAATCTCAAAACTAAAATTGGTCCTGATTCCAGGGGAGGTGTTTCTCTGACTCCTCTCTTTTGAATCTCATAGCCTGACATTTTCTCTTCATCTTGAAGACCATATTCAGGAGGGACCCTAGGAACTCTGTATCTCAGCATGTGAGGCTTCAGGCCAAGGGGTGCTAATTTGATTCTGAAAGATCTTATCTGCCTCCAGCGCCATAAGGTCCTGATGAAATGTCCAGCATCTTTGTGGAAATTCAAGTGTCTCCATACAGCATTATATGTCTTGGAGATTATGTATATGAAAAGCTTTACAGATAGGTGTGTCTCAGTGATGCTGTGCAGAGTAACCTGTGGCCTAAGTCAAGTCAGAAAATGCTTTTGACTCTATATTTCTCAAAAATGTAAGTCTTAAAATTTGGCTATGGATGGGAAAATATTACATAATTGAAAGGATAAATATAAGTATGCCAATCAGCCAAAAACACTGCAAATGTTTAATGCAGATTTAAGTTTTCCCTCAAAAACTGTTAATAAATTAATAGTGCAGCTTACAAATGATGAAAAGAGCTGAGACGTTTAAAAAAACTTTCCAAGTGTCAGGTCCTGGTACTTTACATTTATTCTACCTCCTAATCCTTATACTAGGTCAAAGCTCATTTTATGTCTTCAAGATTCAGATGTAACACTGGGAATGAGAAAGGTTAATATAAGTGATATGTCCAGGACTATACTTCTAGTAATTATAGCTCACTGATGGAGAGAACATTAAAATCTGTTTGGCCTTCACTTAAAAACAAATAATATTTGTGTTATAGAAGCAAGACCTTTTTAGTCACAAGTTAATAATTTTAAAGAAAAGATTCAACATGTAAATTTATCTGGAAAGGCCAGGGGTGAGGCTGCCTAGAGACATGATTAGATTCGGAGATACATTTGTCATCAGATCTCTCTGTACTTCTAAAGAAGATAGCCAATATCAGCTTATCAGCTCCAACTCCTCTCATATTATTCTACCTTAACAGCTTCAGCAGAAAAATAGACATCTTTCTCACAATGTTCATAAATAAAGAACCAGAGAAGATGACCTTTGGACCAATACCTGTTGTTATGGAGATGTGGTACAGTGTGGGAAACTCTGATTGGTCAGGGCTGGGTCATGTTATTTCCTCATCCCCTGGTCCATTATATTATTTCTTAAGTTATTTAAAGTCATGGCTACTATTTTTATTTATTTTAATTGACATAATTATACATATTGATATAGTACAGTGTGATATTTTGATACATGTATACAATGTGTAATAAGCAA
The DNA here is from genome assembly GCF_000001405.40 of Homo sapiens. Lineage (NCBI taxonomy): Eukaryota > Metazoa > Chordata > Mammalia > Primates > Hominidae > Homo > Homo sapiens. The sequence goes on from NC_000006.12 coordinate 30,025,582, forward strand.
ATAAGGGTATTTAGCCTATGCATCACATCAAACGTTTACCATTTCTTTGTGATGGAAACATTCAAAATCATATCAAAAAGATAATCCACCACAATCAAGTGGGTTTCATACCAGGGAAGAAGGGATGGTTGAACACACTCAAGTCAATAAATGTGACACACCACATAAACAGAATTAAAAACAAAAATCACATGATCATCTCAATAGATGCAAAAAAAACATTCAACAAAATCTGGCATCCTTTATGATTAAAGCTCTCAGCAAAATCGGCATACAAGGAACATACCTCAATGTAATCAAAGCCATCTATGAGAAACCCACAGCCAACATAATACTGAGTGGGGAAAAGCTGAAAGCATTCCCTCTGAGAACTGGAACAAGACAATGATGCCCACTCTCACCACTTCTCTTCAACACAGTCCTGAAAGTCCTAGCCAGAGCAGTCAGACAAGGGAAAGAAATAAAGGTCATCCAAATCGGTAAAGAGGAAGCCAAACTGTCACTGTTTGCTGATATGATTGTATACCTAGGAAACTCTAAAGACTCCTCCAAAAAGCTCCTAAAACTGATACAAAAATTCTGCAATATTTCTGGATACAAAATTAATGTACACAAATCAGTAGCTCTCCTATACTCCAACAGTGACCAGGCTGAGAATCAAAACAAGAACTCAATCCCTTTTACGACAGCTGTAAAAAAAAAAAAAAAAAAAACAAACTTAGAAATATACCTAGCCTAAGGAGGTGAAAGACCTCTACAAGGAAAACTACAAAACTCTGCTGAAAGAAATCACAGATGACACAAGCAAATGGAAACACATCCCATGCTCACGGATGGGTAGAATCAATATTGTGAAAATTACCATACTACCAAAAGAAATCTATAAATTCAATGCAATTCTCATCAAAATACCACGAACATTCTTCACAGAACTAGAAAAAAAATCTTAAAATTCATATAAAACCCAAAAAAAGCCTGCATAGCAAAAGCGAGACTAAGCAAAAAGAACAAATCTTGAGGCATCACATTACCTGATTTCAAACTATACTATAAGGCCAAAGTCACCAAAACAGCATGGTACTGGTATGAAAATGGGCCCATAGACCAATGGAACAAAATAGAGAACCCAGAAATGAACCCAAATACTTACAGCCAATTGTTCTTCAACAAAGCAAACAAAAACATAAAGTGGGGAAAGGACACCTTATTGAACAAATGGTGCTGGGATAATTGGCTAGCCACATGTAGGAGAATGAAACTGGATCCTCAACTCTCACCTTATACAAAAATCAACCAAGATGGATCAAGCACTTAAAACTAAGACCTGAAACTATACAAATTCTAGAAGATAATATTGAAAAAAACCTCCTAGACATTGGCTTAGGCAAGGATTTCATGACCAAGAACCCAAAAGCAAAATGCAACAAAAACAAAGATAAATAGCTGGGACCCAATGAAACTAAAGAGTGTTTGCACGGCAAAAGAACAGTCAGCAGAGTAAACAGACAACCCACAGAGTGGGAGAAAATCTTCACAATCTATGCATCTGACAAAGGACTAATATCCAGAATCTACAACAAACTCATACAAATTAGCAAGAAAAAGAACAAACAATCTCATCAAAAAGTGGGCTAAGGACATGAGTAGACAATTCTCAAAAGAAGATATACAGCTGGCCAACAAACATATGAAAAAATGCTCAACATCACTAATGATCAGGGAAACGTAAATCAAAACGCCAATGTGATACCACCTTATATCTGCAAGAATGGCCATAATCAAAAAATCAAAAAATAATAGATGTTGGCATGGATGTGGTGAACAGGGAACACTTCTTTTTTTTTTTTTTTTTTTTTTTTTTTGAGACGGAGTCTGGCTCTGTAGCCCAGGCTGGAGTGCAGTGGCGCAATCTCGGCTCACTGCAAGCTCCGCCTCCCAGGTTCACACCATTCTCCTGCCTCAGCCTCCCGAGTAGCTGGGACTACAGGCGTCACTGTGTTAGCCAGGATGGTCTCGATCTCCTGACCTCGTGATCCACCCTCCTCGGCCTCCCAAAGTGCTGGGATTACAGGCTGGAGCCACCGTGCCTGGCCTGAACAGAGAACACTTCTACACTGCTGATAGGAATGTAAACTAGTACAACCACTATGGAAAACAAGGTGGAGATTTTTTTAGAGAACTAAAAGTTGAACTACCATTTGATCCAGCAATCCCACAATCCCACAATGGGTATCTGCCCAGAGGAAAATAAGTCATTATATGAAAAAGATACTTGCACACACGTTTATAGCAGCACAATTCACAATTGCAAAAATGTGGAACCAACCCAAATGCCCATCAATCAATGAGTGGATAAAGAAACTACTCAGCCACAAAAAGGAATGAATTAATGGCATTCACAGCAACCTGGATGCGATTGAAGATTATTATTCCAAGTGAAGTAACTCAGGAATGGAAAACCAAACATCGTATGTTCTCACTCTTAAGTGGGAGCAAAACTATGAGGATACAAAGGCATAAGAATGACACAATGGACTCTGGGGACTCGGGGAAAGGGAGGGAAGAAGGTGAGGGACAAAAAGCTACAATTTGGGTGCAGTGTGTACTGCGTGGGTGATGGGTGCACATTTGCTCCTTTTAAAATGATACTATTATTATTTTGCTGTTGTTTGAGTTTCTTGTAAATTCTAGCTATTAATCCCTTATCAGATGAATACTTTGCAAATACTTTCATTCTCTAAGTTGCTGTTTTATCTCTGTTGATTGTTTTCATTGCTGTACAGGAAATTTTTAGTTTGATGTAGTCCCATTCATACATTTTTGCTTCTCTTGCCTGTGCTTTCAAGGTCTTAATCACAAAATCTTTCCTGCGTCCAACACTCTAAAGTGTTTTCTGCATGTTTTCTCCCAGTAGGTTCATAGTTTTGGGTCTTGCATTTAAGTCCTTAACTCATTTTCAGTTGATTTTTGTGAATGGTGAGAGATAGCAGTCTAGTTTCATACTTCCTAATATGGATATCCAGTTTCCCCAGCATCATTTATTGAAGAAACTGCCCTTTCCTCAGTATATGTTCTTGGTGATTTTGTTAAAAATAAATTGAGTGGCTGGGCACGGTGGCTCACGCCTGTAATCCCAGCACTTTGGGAGGCTGAGGCAGACGGATCACGAGGTCAGGAGTTTGAGACCAGCCTGACCAACATGGTGAAACCCCGTCTCTACTAAAATACAAAAATTAGCCAGGCGTGATGGCACACGACTGTCATTCCAGGCTGAGGCAGGAGAATCGCCTGAACTCAGTAGGTGGAGGTTGCAGTGAGCCGAGATCGCACCACTGCACTCCAGCCTGGGTGACAGAGCGAGACTCCGTCTCAAATTAAAAAAAAAGAAAAAAGAAATTAACTGTAAATATATGGATTTATTTCGGGGTTCTCTATTCTGTCTCATTGGTTTATGTGTCCGTTTTTATGCCAATACCTTGCTTGCCATTTTGGTTACTATAGCTGTATATTTTGAAGTCAGGTACTGTGATACTTCCAGCTTTGTTCTTTTTGCTCAAGATTGTTTTAGCTATTCAGGGTCTTTTGTGGTTCCATACAAATTTTAAGATTTCTTTTTCTATTTCTATAAAGAATGACATTGGTATTTTGATAGGTATTGCATTGAATCTGTAGATTGGTTTGGGTAGTATGGTCACTTTAACAATATTAATTCTCCCAATCCATGATAATGGAATATCTTTCAATTTTTTGTGTCCTTTTCTATTTGTTTCATTAGTATTTTATAGTTTTCATTACATACTTGGTTAAATTTATTCCCATGCTTTTTTATAGTTACTGTGAATGAGATTTCTTTCTTGATTTTTCATCATTTTGAGTTTGCCTCTATGGCCTTTATTGTGTTTAGGTACATTCCATCTATACCTAATTGGTTGGAAGTTTTTATCATGAAGTGATATTGAATTTTATCAAATGCTTTTTCTGCAGCTATAGAGATGATAATATTAGTTTTGTCTTTCATTCCACTAATATGCTCTATCATGTTTATTGATTTGTATGGAAAGTCTACAGTTTTTTTATGTTGATTTTATATTCTGTAAATTTACTAAATTTGTTTATCAGTTCTGAGAGTTTTTTGATGGAGTCTTTAGGTTTGTGTATAAATAAGATTATGTCATCTGCAAACAGCAACAATTTGACTTCCTCTTTTCCAATTTGGATGCCTTTTATTTCCTTCTCTTGCCTAATTGCTCTGGGTCGGACCAGTACTATGTGTTTTTGTTGTTGTCATTGCTGTAATCTTTTAAAATTTTCTATCCATTTCCATAGGAATCAGTCTAGTACTATGTTAAATTTGGTAAAAGCAGGCATCCTTATCTTGTTCCAATTCTTAGAGGGAAATCTTTCAACTTTTTTTCCATTATGTATGTTGTCAACTATCGAATTGTCATATGCAGCCTTTATTGTATTTAGGTACATTTCATCTATACCTAGTTGGTTGAGAGTTTTTAATCATGAAGTGATGTTGAATTTTACCAAATGCTTTTTCTGCATCTAGAGATGATCATTTTATTTTTGTCCTTCATTCTGTTGATATGATCTATCACGTTTATTGATTTGCAGATATGTAACCATTCTTGCATCCCTGGAACAAATCCCATTTGATCATGGCATATAATCTTTTTGATGTGTTGTGGATTTAGTTTGCTACTATTTTGTTAATTTTTGCATCTGTGTTTATCAGCGTGTAGTTTTTTTGTTGTTGTATCCTTCCCTGGTTTTGATAACAAGGTAATGCTTGCTTCCTAGAATAAATTTGAAAGAACTCCTTCCCCCTTCAATTTTTTGGAATAGTTTCAGATGAATTGGTGTCAGTCTCTCTTTAAATGTTTGGTGGAACTGAACAATGAAGGCATCCAGTACTGGGCTTTTCTTTGTTGGGAGACTTTTTATTCCTGATTCAAGCTCATTACTCATTATTGGTATGCTCAGGTTTTTAATTTCTTCTTGGTTCATTCTTGGTATATTTTATGTGTCCAGGTTAAACTTCAGTTGCCTTTATAATCTAATGAGAGCTATGGACCAAAATTTTGGGTAAAGCACTTTCCGTGGCAGTTAGATTTTTTAAAAAAACTTCTTTCATTGCCCCCACCTTTTTTGTTGTTGTTGTTTCAAGTGAGTTATGGGTTTCTTTTTAACTGAATTGTATAAGCAAAATATCTCCAAGTAGCCTTGAATTAGTAACAAATCAATCTTTTGTTTACCAGTCTTGTTTGCTTAATTAGCAAATGTGGGGAGGGAAGAATTTTAGCTGTTTTTTTTTCTTCACCTTTTTCTTTTTGGCTTTTGCATGGCACAAAAAACAAAATTTTTCTGTTGAACAGGGATACCTTCTATTATTGCTCTGAGATCAAGATTTTGACCTATTTGGTCTGAGAGCCTAACTTTTATAAACATTTATTTTTTTTTCTTTTATGTTACTAATTTTTCAATTAAGTGTTTCATTATTGTACACAGTTGTTAGGGAAACCTAAATTTATATTTATAAAAGGTGTCAGCCAGGTGCGGTGGTTCACGCCTGTAATCCCAGCACTTTGGGAGGCCGAGGCAGGCAGATCACAAGGTCAGGAGATTGAGACCATCCTGGCTAACACGGTGAAACCCCGTCTCTATCAAAAATACAAAAAATTAGCCGGGTGTGGTGGCGGGCACCTGTAGTCCCAGCTACTCAGGAAGCTGAGGCAGGAGAATGGTGTGAACCCGGGAGGCGGCGCTTGCAGTGAGCCCAGATCAGGCCACTGTACTCTAGCCTGGGGGACAGAGTGAGACCCCATCTCAAAAAAAAAAAAAAAAGGTGTCTAGGTGGTTGATTACCATGGAGCTATTGTAATCTGTAAAGCCATTAATTTCAAAGCCTTTAAGGCTGTTTTCTTTCCTTGACTGAAATGCCATAAGCAGTGAGTTTTATCTCAACACCTGTAGAAATGTCATCATGTTCAAAGTAGGCAGAAAAAAAAAGAGAGAGAGAGAGAGAACTTCTACATGTTAACTCTATAATTGCTGGTTTTTAAAAATAATGACCATTTCAGTTCTGAATTTTCCTTCATTTTGCCTATCTACTTATAAATGTGCACAAGAAAGTTAACATTGATTTTGAACATTTCAAACCAATTAATACATCATTGTATTTGTGTGACAACAAATTCCATACAGAAGCTCTTACAGCACTACTTTCAGATGAAAGCAAGTCTGGATTCATCGTAATAGATGGTAGTGGTGCACTTTTTGGCACCCTCCAAGGAAACACAAGAGAAGTCCTGCAAAAACTCACTGTGGATCTCCCAAAGAAACACGGTAAAGGTCAGTCAGCCTTGCGTTTTGCCTGTTTAAGAATGGAAAAGTGACCTAACAATGTTCAGAAAGTAGCAGAGACTGCTGTGCAGCTGTTTATTTCTGGGGACAAAGGGAAGGTGGCTGGTCTAGTTTTAGCTGGATCCGCTGACTTTAAAACTGAACTAAGTCAATCTGATACGTTTGATCAGCGGTTACAATCGAAAGTTTTAAAATTAGTTGATAGGCCGGGCGTGGTGGCTCATGCCTGTAATCCCAGCACTTTGGGAGGCCAAGGCGGGCGGATCACGAGGTCAGGAGATCGAGACCATCCTGGCTAACACGGTGAAACCCTGTGTCTACTAAAAATACAAAAACAAAATTAGCTGGGCGTGGTGGCGGGTGCCTGTGGTCCCAGCTACTTGGGAGGCTGAGGCAGGAGAATGGCGTGAACCTGGGAGGCGGAGCTTGCAGCGAGCCCAGATCACACCACTGCACTCCCGCCTGGGCAACACGGCAAGACTCAGTCTCAAAAAAAAGAAATTAGTTGATATATCCTATGGTGGTGAAAATGGATTCAACCAAGCTGTTGGGCTATCTACTGAAGTCCTCTCCAAAGTGAAATTTATTCAAAAGAAGAAATTAGTAGGGATACATTGATGAAATCAGCCAGGACACAGGCAGGTACTGTTTTGGTGTTGAAGATACACTAAAGGCTTTGGAAATGGGAGCTGTAGAAATTCTAATAGCCTATGAAAATCTGAATATAATGAGATATGTTCTTCATTGCCAAGGCACAAAAGAGGAGAAAATTCTCTAACTCCAGAGCAAGAACAGGATAAATCTCATTTCACAGACAAAGAGACCAGGCAGGAACATGCGCTTATCAAGAGCATGCCCCTGTTGAAATGGTTTGCTAACAACTATAAAAAAGTCGGAGCTACATTGGAAATTGTCACATATAAATCACAAGAAGGGTCTCAGTTTGTGAAAGGATTTGGTAGAATTGGAGGTCTCTTGTGGTACCAAGTGGATTTCCAAAGAATGGAATACCAAGGAGGAGACGATGAATTTTTTTACCTTGATGACTACTAGGTAGTCGACATGGGTCCGGCAAAACATGCCTCACTCTCCAGCATCCAACCCAAGGAGCATACTCATGATGGAATCCAAACAGATCCCTGCCTTACAATTGGAACATTTCCAGAACTTAATCCATGAGCACTGGATATTGAAAAGAAAACAGAAACAAAACCAGACCCAACCCTACACTTTGGTTTGTCACGGTGTCAGCGTAGCAGCCTACAACTAAGTTCCTAAATGCCACTTTGGACTAATTTAAAAAAGAATCCCAGTTTTTACTTTTACTCGATGGTGAAATTGGCTGCTCTTGTATTTTATTTAAAAAATGATTTTTTTAACCTTTATACAAATAAGCAAAAATACTTTAACTGCTGTAAACCTTCAAAAGTTAATAGAAGTGAGATCGTACTGCTTTCTTATTTTGATTGGAGAGAAATTAAATTGCTACATTTTGCAGTGACCCATTTACATGGCATTCTCAGCTTAGACTGCATAAGAAGAAATATATGTGGTGAAATGTTGGAACCATTTCTCTCTTGGTCTCTGTTTAATGATGAAAGAGTGAGCTAATAGGAGGCAATTTCAACTTCACTCCCTCACGCTACCCCTTCCCCCTCCAGACTGGCCGTTTCAAGGATGAAAATTGCATTGCAAAATCAAACTGACTCATGAAGCATTTGGGCCAGTGCACTGTTTACTTCCATCTGTTTGCAGACACATTTGTGCCCGGTGTTTGGGAGCTCTTTGTATCAATGTTCCGACAAGGGTCCCAATAACCTTAACCTACTCGAAACCAGTTTGGGATGGATATGATGGGGCTTCTGTGCTATTGCTGGGATTGGGAGAAATAAAACATGCAATTTAAGTGGAAGCAAAACAATTAAAAATAAAATAAATAAATCCATTGCCTGATTCCATGTCTCCCTCCAATTACCGCCCCATTTCTCTGACACTCCTTATAGAATAATTCCTTAGTCAATTGTCTCATGATGTTTTTAATATATCAAATGGATTTATGGACAGTGTTTCAAAAGCCAAATACTTCTACAAGGCTTGTTATGAACACAGATGTCCCCAATCTTTCATGTACACCATTTCCTGAATCCTAGAGGCAATCTACTTTATTCTGCCTAATTTTTTGATCGTTACATCTGTGCCTCCAAATAGTGTGTTATAGTGCCGTTTTGTTTTTCACTCTTATGTATCATCCTTAGTGTATAGCTCCCTTTCATATACCCCTCTCCTCTCAATATAGTTATTTTATAATTTTGGTTAGCTGGGTGTTCACTATTTATATTATTATGACCACAGAAATGCTATTCACAGCTAGACTAGGAAATGCTATTCACAATTAGATTAGGAAATGCTGTTCACAATTAGATTAGGAAATGCTATTCACAAGGATTATTTTCCTTCCTGGAATTGACTTTTTAATTTCCCTGGAATTAATAAATGTTTTATCCCTTCATGTGCTTAATTTCTGTTGTACTCATTATAAAATCTCTTCCAAATTTCCCTCCAAGGCCTCTGCTATAGTTTGAATGTGTTCCCCAAAGTTCATGTGTTGGAAACTTGATCCCCAATGCAGTGATATTGGAAAGTAAGGCCTAATAGAAGCTGTCTGAGTCATGAGCGCAGAGCCCTCATGAACAAATTAATATCATTATTATGGCAGTGAGCCCATAATAATAATATTGTCCTCTCTCTTGCCCTTGACCCACTTGCCATGTGAAGACACAGCAAGAAGGCTCTTGCCAAATGCTGGTGGCTTGATCTTGGATTCCTAGCCTCACAACTGAGAAAACAAATTTCTGTTCTTCATAACTGACCCAGACTATGGCATTCTGTTATAGCAGCATAAATGAACTAAGACAGTCTCCATGAATATATTCAACCATGCCCCGTGTTCTACCAACCTCATCTTTGTGAAGACACTTCCCTTGGTCCTGCCACACGTGGACTGGTGCATGCACATCTGGGCTGATTTCCAAGATCGTCTTCACCTCATCCTGGGCATCCCTCTGGCTCTCTCTTATGCTGGCTCTCCTATTGCCTGGATCCCATGTGTCCCCTTTTTTGGTTTTCTCCATCGTTTTTGTTTCTCATTTCATCTGTGTTCCTAAGGGAACATGGAAAGTAAAATCTGAAAGCCTAAGCTTCTGAAAATGTCTTCGGGCTACCCTAGCACTTATTCCAACCTGGACTTGGTATGGAATTCTGTATTGAAAACATTTTTCCTAGGAATTTCCATGACATTCCATCAACATTTTTTAGCTTCTAATGTTGTTTTTCTTGCCTTTTGATGTTTTTGGGATTTCTTCTTTTCCACCCACCTTCTAAAATTTCATTGTGATGTGTCTTGGTGTGGGTCTGTTTTCATCTACTATAGTAAGAACTTGGTTGGGGCCATTACAAGTTAAATTTTTGTCTGTAAACTTGGAGAAATTTTTTTATTTTAAATAATTTCTATCTTTCCATTCTTTTAGAATTTGTATTATTAAGTTGCAGGAAATCCTTGACTGATAGCCTAGTATTCGTATAGTTTTTCTGTCTTTCTTGACATTGTTTTTCCATTTTTAATATTTAGTGGTAGTACAAATTTACTCTTCCAAGTGATCTATTGAAATACTTATTTAAATGATCACTTTTTGATTTCCAAGAGTGCTTTTTGGTTCTCTGATTGTATATAATTTTATAAAATCCTATTCATCATTTATAAATGCCATATCTTATTATTTCTTTTAGGTATTATTGAGAATAGTGGTAGTGGACCTGTTAGATCTCCTGGTTATCTGCTTTCATGGTACCATGAACTTTTCTTCACCACACTTAGCTCAGCAGTAATTTTATATTTCTCTTTGTAAGTTCTGCTAAATGTGCATCTCCTTCATGACAGTGCAAACATCAAATTGCCAGCATCTTACTTTTGCTCTTCACTGTATCTTCAGGGTCTAGTAGATCACATGATTCATCAGAGGACTTGAAATACATGCTGAATGAGGAAATATAAGTGTGGTTAGGCAGGGAAATCAGACTTCCTTGATCAATTGCCCCTTGATGTTCTCCTGAGCACTGTATCTCATGACCTCCTGTCATAGAACATTCAGGGACATTGAAAGAGTTCACTGGCATGGGATACAGCGTCATATCCACCACCAGATGGACAGGGAATCAGTGAAAGATGATTCCATTAAGAGAAAATTCCCTGGGTCCACTCCACCCCCACCACCTGCTTAACCTCTCTGAGTCTCCCTTTCCCTGTCTATACAAAGATATCACATATCGGGCTTCTCATGGGTTTGCATTGAAGATCAAATTTGACTCTCTCAGTAAAACACATGGTATTATACCTTGAGGTATATTAAGTGTTCTGCTACTCATAGCTACTATCCCTATATTGATTACAGCATTTGGATTGTTTCAATCATTTTGCTTTTATAAACCAAAATTCAAGAAACATCCTTGAACATATATTTTTTAGAATGTGTGCAGTTATCTTCTTAGGAAAAATTCTTGAAAGAGAAATATATGCATTGAAATGTAAGTCCATTTATATTGTTAACATGTTTCGCAAAAGTCCCCTCTAGAAATTTATACCCCAGTGTTTTTTGTTGTTGTTTTGTTTTGTTTTGTTTTTGAGACAGAGTCTTGCTCTGTTTCCCAGGCTGGAGTGCGGTGGCACGATCTCGGCTCACTGTAAGCTCCGCCTCCTGGGTTCACACCATTCTCCTGCCTCAGCCTCCCAAGTAGCTGGGACTACAGGCGCCTGCCACCACGCCCAGCTAATTTTTTTTTTAATATTTTTAGTAGAGACGGGTTTCACCGTGTTAGCCAGGATGGTCTTGATCTCCTGACCTCGTGATCCACCTGCCTCGGCCTCCCAAAGTATACCCGTTTTTCATCAGCCTTCATGACAGTGTATTTTCCCTACCTCTGGATAATATGCTTATCATTTACTTTCACATATGCCAAACTGACAGATTTTAATTTTCATTCGCATTTCTAATGTCATGTTCTCATTTTTCCTCATATTCATTAATCAGAGTATATTGTCTGATATTTGATTTATTCTTTCCCATATTGCTTTCTAATATTATTATTTTTCTATTGGGATGACTTAAAAATGTTGAATTTGACTAAGAAAAAAAGCAGCTCTTGACTTCTGACACTGACAGTAGGTTTCAGTACTGTTAGAAGCTGTCCTACTGCTCAACACTAGGCCATATTATTCTTTTCTTGGACATAAACCATATTACACAACATCAGACAAGGACACTCTGGGAACATGATAAAACAAGACAAAACAGGGGCACTACATAATTTAGTATAAGCACAGACAAAAACCAAGGCACTGTGTACCTCACAAAATACCAAACCTCTCCCCCTGCTGGCTAATATGAGTGACGGCTGTTTCTTTACCAGCCACAACTTTATCCTTGCTCTGCTCTGCATTTATTATGGGTAAGATTTATTGAGACAGTCGTAGAAATGTTCCTGCTTTTTGACAACACCCCATCTACAGTCAACCCCTACCTCGTTAGCTCTCCCCAAAAACATCCACTAAAAGACCAAATCCTATATTGCATTTTTTCTAATATCCTCACGCTAAGATGGTGTGCATTCTCTCTTGTGACAATGAGTAATAAACCCCAGTTGTTCAGCTATAGATGTTCCTGGTGGTCTTTGGCTGAAAGACATTGAAATATGCTACCTTTTGTCTTTCCAATTATTTATGTGTCTTTGAATTTGATCACAGGCATATGTTTGTATATTTGTGAGTCTGTGGTTGACATAGAGAAGTTTTATTTTTTTATTTATGGCTTTTCATATTTGGGTCATGCTTACAGAATCCTTTTCTACCTCACAATTGTAAAACTTAACATCTATTTTCATCTAGGTACAGATGATATGAAGAGAGGGAAGTCCCAGAGTGAAGAGAAACACACAGATATGTTTGATTTGGGGAGAAAGCTGGGGGGAATGAGCAAGAAGCAAAGAGTTCTAAGGTGGAGTTTTAACATTTAAAACCTGGTCAGGTGTGGTGGCTCACGCCTGTAATCCTAGCACTTTTGGAGGGCAAGGTAGGCAGATCACTCGAGGTCAGGAGTTCAAGACCAGCCTGGCCAACATGGTGTATTCACCAAAAAATACAAAAACTAGCCAGGTGTGGTGGCGTGTGCCTGTAGGCCCAGCTACTTGGGAGGCTGAGGTGGAAGAATCACCTGAACCTGGGAGGCGGAGGTTGCAGTGAGCCATGATTGCCCAACTGCAATCCAGCCTGGGTGGCAGAATAAGACTCTATCTCAAAAATGAAAAAGTTTAAATCATTTGCTTATAATTTTAAAATATGTCTACAAAGCCTATAAGATATTTTATATGGCAACTTCAATAAATACTTTCTCTTGGGCTAAGTAATGACTTATATACCTCCTTGTGTTCACCAGGTTATAGAAAACAGTAACACCAAGAGTCTCAATGAAATATTGACAAGGATTAGCTCTGGTGATAAGCATTTTTGAAAATGTATGACCTTGAGTTGATAAATCATGTTTTGGTAATCTATACGTACACTCTAATTGTTAAAATACATATTGAACTTTCTTGGGCCTGCTGTATTTTAGGGATATGTCTAAGACCCACATAGCCAAATCCATGGGTTCTATGTGAAGGTAATTTTAATGTATTTCAATCTGGGAGTCACAAGGTATCTTTTTTTGTGGGGGAGATTGAAAACTAAGAGCACTCTAGATAAGCAAAATGGTAACTACTAGCTACACATGGCTATTTATATTTCAATTAATTGAATAAAACTTTTAAAAAATCAACTCTTTATCACACTAGCCACATTCCAAGTGCTCAATAACCACATGTAACTAGTGGCTCCCATATTGGACAGTGCAGATATAGATCAATTTCATCATCACAGAATGTTCTATTGAACAGCACTACTGCTATAGAGATTTTTATGCTCCTCCCAAAATAAAACCTAATCCCCAGTGAGATGATATTTGGAAGTGGGTTTGTTTTAGAGGAAGTGATTATGTCATGAGGTCAGAACTCCCATGAATTGAACTTGTACCCTTATAAAAGAGATTCTAGAAAGCTGTCTTGGCCCTTCTGCCATGGGAGGATGCAGTGAGAGGACAGCTATGAAGAAGCAGGCCCTCACCAGACACAGAGTTAGCTGACACCTTGATATTGGACCTCCCAGCCTCCAGCACTGTGAGAAATATCTTTCTTTTGTTTATAAGCCACCTAATCTAGGGTATTTTTGTTATAGCAGCCTGATGGATTAAGATAACTGCTCTTGGTGCTATGTGGGCCTCAAGTCAAGTGCATTAGACACATCTAAAATGAAAGGGTGACTGGTTGTGGTGACTTACGCCTGTAATCCCAGCACTTTGGGAGGCCAAAGCAGGAGGATCGCTTGAGCTCAGAAGTTTGAAACCAGCCTGGGGAACATAGCAAGATCCCATCTCTACAAAATATTTTTTAAAATTAGCTCTACAAAATATATAATTTTTAAAATTAGCTGGACATGCTGGCAAGTGCCTGTAGTTCCAACAGCTTAAGAGTCTGAGGTGGGAGGATGGCTTGAGCCCCCCGAGAGTTCGCCACTACAGTGAGCCATTATCATGCCACTGCACTCTAGCTTGGGTGACACTGTGAGACCCCATCTTGGAAAAAACAGAAATGAAAGGGCCAATATTATTTCTCATAGAGATTGCAAATTCAAAGTGGGTCAGGAGTGAAATCTCTATTTTGTGCTTTTAGGCGCAAACCATTCCCAGCTCCAAAATGGAAACACATTTGCCACCTCTGTTCCCAGACTAAGGACACTCTCTGCATCCAATTTACAGGTGATAGGTTCTCTTCTATAAGAGCCCAGGGCAAGGCAAACTTAGCGCTAGCTAAGTTTTGGGATGCAGGGAGTCCTGCTCGGGGAGAAAAATTTGGGAAAATGAAGAGGCAAAGGGGCCAGTCAAGAACTCTCCACAGCTTACCCAGAACAGGATTTCTCAAAGTGCAATCTGTGGAACCCTTGTGGGCTGCTGAAACCCCTTCATAGATCCACAAGGTTAAAAGTATTTTTATAATACAATGAAGACATTATTTGTACTAAAGTAAAACTTGACAAGAAGGGAGGCTATGGTACCAAACTGAAATAGTAGTTATTATATTCTTAACCACTTCTTAATTATAGAAGAAAAAACAGGTTTCACTTAAATATGTCCTGGTTGAAGTATCAAAGAATTATTAACTTTATTAAATCTCTATCCCAGAATCCACAGTTTAATATATCTTAAATGAGTAAGTGGGAAGTACGCATAAGGTATTTCTACTACATTCCAAATTAGGATGTTTGAGGCCAGGCGCAGTGGCTCCCACCTGCAATTAATTCTAGCACTGTGGGAGGCCTAGGCAGGTGGATCATTTGAGGTCAGGAGTTCAAGACCAGCTTGGCCAACATGGTGAAACCCTGTCTCTACTAAAAATACAAAATTAGCCAGGCATGGTGGTGCGCACCTGTAGTCCCAGCTACTAGGGAAACTGAGTCACAACAATCACTTGAACCCGGGAGGTGGAGGTTTCAGTGAGCCAAAATCATGCCACTGCACTCCAGCCTGGGTAACAGAGCGAGACCCTGTCTTAAAACGAAAACAAAAACAAATTAAAATGTTTGTGTCCACAAAATCATTTTGTGAGTTGTACTAGTCTATTTTTTATGGAATATCCTTTTTACTTGAAAGAATGAATGACAGAAATGATTATCATTTAGACTTGAATATTTGGCTGACACTTTCTCAAAAACGAACATAACCCTGTCCCTTCCACATAATCAACTGATGGTATTATTCCCAATGATAAAAGGCAAGCTCTCAAGAGAAAATTAGAATCCTGGGGAACTTGTATCCACCATCATAAGCCTGATGGCTTCCCAATACTTAACAATCTTTTCTGGTAATATCTGTGGTAATATTAAAAAATGTGATTTTTTGATAACTTGTAGTTAAATGTGTCAACACTGGAAGACATAATGTGGTGAAATTTTGTTTCTTTTTTTAAAAGTCATGTATTATACAAGAAGCATTCAATGTGGAAGTCGGACCTATATATTTTAATGTAACAGCATGTGAAATAGTTATTGATAGTTTCATGTTCCACATTACAAATAACCTTTAAGAAGCTAACACTTCTATCATTTTAGTGTAGTATCAAGGATGAACATCCAGTTTTCTAAAAATGTTATTAAAAACATTCCTGGCCTAGCGAGGTGACTTATACCTGTAATCCCAGCATTTTGGGAGGCCAAGGCAGGAGAATCATTTGAGCCTAGGAGTTCCACCCAGGAGTTCGAATGAGACCCCCATCTCTACAAAAAATAAACAAAATTAGCTGCGGTGGTGTTTCGTGCCTGTGGTCACAGCTGCTCATGAGGCTGAATTGGGAGGATCACTTGAGCCCAGGAATTCGAGGCTGCCGTGTGCTATGATCACACCACTACACTCAAGCCTGGGTGATAGCATGAGACCAAAAGAAACAAACAAACAAACAAAACCCCCCAACAAAACCCAAAACAAGAACAGCAACAAAAATATCATTGTGTGAGGATGGATTTTTTTTCATACACTTCAACCAAACATAACAGATTAACCAAAATAACAGATTAAATGAAGGAGAAGAAAATTCATTAATCTTCTAATGAGACACATAAGAAAAGGATTTACAAACATACAAAATGTAAAAAGATGCACTCTTCTCACTATACTGTTTACTTTGGGAAATACTGACTTTGCATAAAAATATTTCTAACATGCAATGCATTATTAATATTCTAAATGAATAAAATAATTTAAGTGATTTTAGTTTCTAATATGGTAAATATTAACGTATATAACTCACATAAAATTATCTTCAGAGTCCTCACTAATTCCTAAGAGCATGCAGAGATCTGAAACCAAAACGTTTGAGAAACGATGACGTAACTCCTAGCTCTGGATTAAGGGAGAATGTGTGACAAAGAGCATTTGGTATAGGAGGAGAAGGGCCAGGCCTTATCCTGTCTCTAGGACTGTGGCAAGGGCTTTGTGTGACCAGGTCAGCCTAGGCTCAGGCTTAGGTCTGGCCCTCAGCCCCCATCTTGTTCATTGTTTTGTTTTGACAGAAGACTATGCCTGTTCTTCTTCTTGTATCTGAGTTCTGGTCTCCAAGTCTCCAATCTCCTCTAGGACAGCCGTAGGAGTTACTTTTTCTGTCATTGTCCTCACAAGCCCTGGGGTGGCCCCTGCACACAGGAGTCTCTGTGGTATCAAGAGACCAATTTTTAGACCCACCCAGCTCTTGTCCTTCCAGGGCTGTTTCCTGGACTATTCTTCGCATCTTTTCCCCAATCTTTTTCAGGAAATCAAATTCTGGAATTAGAGATCATATCTCGGTTTCTCACCTTAGATAAACTCCTGTTAGGTTTCTAACAGGAATTTATTTTTGGCTCACCTACCCTCTCTCCCTGCCTTTGGCTGTAATAATCCTAGTGCTGGCTCAAATCCAAACTCATGGATGTCTAGACTCTAATTTAATTCACAGTTGGTTGGAAAATAGGGTCCATAAGCCTAGGATCATTTTTTTTTTCTGAAAAGGGAACTATAATTGTCTGCTGTGGTATATGAGGATTGGTGTGGGAGGGAGGCGAGAACAGCATTTGTGAGAAAAGTACAGGCAGCATTGATGTCAACATGAGTGGTTGTTTCACTGTAGCTGCCACAAAACAGCATGTGGTCTGCAGCTACATTAATAAAGATACTGTTTCTAGAATAGGGAGGTGCTGTACACTGGTCATTCATTTAGCCAATATTTGTTGAGTGCTGGCTGTATGAAATGCTAGTTTTACATCTGGAAACTAAAAACAGGCAAAAATTGCTGGCCTTGAGGGGCACATGTTTTAGTGGGAAAACACAGACTATGTACTATAAGCAGAGTAAATAAGGAAAGTGTTTCTGTCAAAAGGTGCTGAGGGGTGTGAGGCAGGTGATCCAGATTGTGGGTGTGTGGGGACAGGGAAGATGGCTGTTTTACTAGGGTGGTCTATGGTCTCACTGGGAATGTGACCTTAAGAGAAAAGATGAATTATCTATGAGGACGTCTGGGGCAGGTTCTTTCCAGGCAGGGGAACCCCCAGTGCAAAGGCACCAGAACAGGAGCACATCTGGGTTGTGGGAGGAGTTGAGGGGGCTCAGATAGCTGCAGCAGTCATTGATATAAGGTCAGAGATTTGGGGAGATCATGTAGGCTTGAGGATACTGGAAGGGTTCTGACTTTGCTCTGAGTGAGATGGGGGAGACACAAACAGCTGTCAGCAGAGTAGAGACTTGGCACATCTTTTAAAAGGATCATCCTGGCTGCTATGCTGAGAACAGAATTGAGAGATGAGGGGTGAGTGAGAAAGTGGGAAAACTGTAGGAAACTAGTGCAGTATTTCAGATTAGCAACTCTGGTTGCTTTGCCTGGGGTGTGAGCAGAGAAAAGAGTGGGAAGTGATTGGATTTCAGACACATTCTCAATATGGACTTCACAGTACTTCCTAATAGATTAAGTCTGGGGTATGAAAAAGAGGAGTCAAAGAGGAACCCCAAAATTTCAGACTGTGCAAGTAGAAAAATGAAGTTGTTGTCAGCACAGATGGGGAAAATTCTGAAAGGGGCATATTTGAGGAGGGGGCACTATAGGCATTCAATTTAGGAAATGTTGAATCTCAGATGTCAGACATTCAAGTGAGGTTGTTGTGTTGGCAGATGGATATGCAAGTTGGAAATGTAGGAGAAATGTCTGGGCTGGGAAAATAGATTTAGGAGTTAATGCCATATTAATGATATTTAAAGCATAGAGCATGCATGAGTCGCCAAGGGAAAGATGGCTATAGAAGAGAAAAAGGACATGGACTGAACCCTGGACCTTCAGTGCTAAGGGATTTCATCAGAACACACTCTGACAGCAGACTGCACAGTTCTAACACCACATCTAGAAAGTAAGTAAATCTGAGAATCTCAAATTTTAGTGTGCGTAGGAATCACCTGGACAACTTTCTAAGATTCAGGTGGTCTGGAGTTGAGAATGAGATTCTGTGTTTATAAAAAAGTTGAGGCAGACACTGATGGTCTTCAGATCACACTTTTAGTAGCAAGAATGTAGACCAGGATTCCCAGGTGGCTGTGCATCAGCCTCACCTGTGGCTTGTTATTCCTGGGATCCATGTTCCACTTCTGAGATGGTGGGTATGGGGAAAGGCCTGAGTATTTTTGTAAAAAATCTACAAGGAATCCTGGTGATCAGCCAGATTGGGAACCACTGAGGTCAGTGATCAACAGTGCCTAGGGTGGGAAAGGGTCTTAAGTCCACATTTAAATGCTATTTTTTCTAATTTAAACATAAAGGACTTCTATCTGTCTATCTATCTATCATCTATCTTCATTAGGCTGGTGTTTATTTTATTTTGGGAAGGTCTGTGAGAATAGGCTTAAAGCTACATAGCTAGAAGCAGCATCTATAATCCCATCCTAGGTGGAGTCTCACATAGGAATCACTGCCCCTGATGCTGGGCACAGATGTCACTGTTCATACCAATGACACTCTAAAGCTAGACACTGGACCTTGCAGATAGAACTGCTATCACGACTGCTCCTGGCAACTGGACATTGCTGCTGCAACTCACACCACACTTACTAAAATGTGTGCACAGTACCAGCTTATGTCACCAGGCTGAGTCAGAATCCAGCAAGTGGTTATCTGCCTGGTGGAACCTAAGCCTCATCCCATATCCAGCTGCCAGAATATTTGGAAAAGTGAGTTTTTCTTTCGTGGAAGAAGTTGGTGTCTGCTTCCTACAATGACTCTTTAAGTATGAAATTCTTTAAGTATGAAATCATACTCTTTAAGTATGAAATTCTCCCTAACATGGAGAGGGTTCAGGTGCTGGGACACAGGAAGATAGAGTGGAAAAAGAATGAAAAAAAAAGTCAATTCCTAGAGCAGTAATCTGAGACTAGAACCTTATCTGGTATATCATAGACACTTGGGTTTTGCTGAATGAATCAGTGACTAATTAATTACAACTTTCAATTTATTTCCTTGATAGTCTGTTATGAAGTACAACTTTTTCCTGATCAGTTTATACTCAGATAAGTAGAGTGGCACTGTGGGATGGTGAAATGATTGCTCAAAACTTATCTCTTGTTAGGATTTTTTAAAATCTAGATGTCTAAGACTTCAGAGGACCTGTGTATACACTAAGATTTTATACTAATATTTATATTTCTTTGTATATGCACATATTTTCTGGAAAGAATATCTGTGACATTTATGTTTTTGTAACCCTATTTTAGGAAACCCTCTCTCAAACCACATTTTCCCTCTGCTCTCATACCACAACAATCATCAACACAGAAGACTTCTGTGACCAAAGATGTGGGGGTTTTTCCCCACACACCAAGCAGTGGACACCAGCTGGGTATCCTCCAGTTCAATGTCAACACTGTCTACCTGGAGATAGCATCATATCCCACAGATTGGGGGCTTAGTCCCCAAGACTACTCCACATCAGACACCAATCGCAGAAGTTCCCACCACCCACTCTGGGCTTCACTAATTTGCTGGAGTAGCTCACAGAATTCAGGGAAACATTTATGTTTACTAGTTTATTATAAAGGATATTACAAAGGATACAGATGAAAATACGTGTAGGGTGAGGTATCAGGGAAGGAGCATGGAGCTTCCATGCCCTTCCTGGGCACACCAACCTCCAAAAACCTCCACTTGTTCAGCTACCTGGAAGCTCCCTGAACCCAGTTCTCCTGGGTTTTTATGGAAGCTTCGTGACACCAGCATTCCTTCTCCCAATGTATAGTGTGGGACCCTCTCCAGAGAGGGTCTTAAGACCCATAATCAGAAAGGCAGAAGATTAGAGTCCTGCCTTGGGGCAGGTGAAATGAGGCCAGAAGAGAGATTCTGATTCCTGAGGCCTGCCGAGGCCGAACACACCCAATATTATTACAAAAGACCGAAACAAGGGAATATAGGAGCTAGGAACCAGGAACTGTGGCCAAAAACCAATCTATAACACCACACACCCCCACTGTCTTAGTCCACTCAGGCTGCTATAACAGAATACCTTAGACTGGGTGGCTTATAAACAACATAAAAGTATTTCTCACAGTTATGGAGGCTGGTAAGTCCAAGAGCAAGGTGTTGGTTAATTTCATGTCTGATGAAGGCCCCTTTCCTGTTTCATAAACGTATATCTTCTCCAAGTGGCCTCACATGGCAGAAAGGTGAAGAGAACTGCCTGGGGTCTTTCTGATAAAGGCAGTGATCCCATTCATGGGGGCTCTGCATTCATAACCTAATCACCTCCAAAAGGCCCCACCTCTAAGTATCATCACACTGGGGATTAAGTTTTAAACATAGGAATTTGGGTGGGGGATTGGAGACACAAACATTCAGTCTAGAGCATCCATAAAAGTCTAAAAAAGTATCCATGCTACTCAAACTCTGATCTATGAATAGCTGATATCAAACCATTTCTTCACAAACTCTCCCAAAAAGGAGAAAGGAACACTGCCCAACATATTCTATAAGGTATGTTCTATAAGGCTGGTACCAAAAGCAGACAAAACAATCACAAAAAAACTACAGATCGCTATTCATGAATATAGATGTGAAAATCTTCAAGAAAATACTAGCAAACAACCCAGCAATGTACAAAAATAATTATACACCATGACAAAGTGAGATTTATCCTAGGAATGCAAGATGGGTTTAATATCCAAAAATCAATTAATGTAATATATTATATCAATAGAATAAAAACCCACAATTATCTCAATAGATGCAGAAAAAGGTTTTGATCAAATTCGATACTCTTTCATAATAGAAACAGTCAACAGGTGGGCACATTGGCATGTGTCTATAGTCCCAGCTACTCAAGGAGACTGAGGAAAGAGAATCACTTGAGGCCAGAAGTTCGAGGGCATCTTGGGCGATGTGTTGAGACCATGTTACTTTAAAAAAAAAAGAGTCAACAAACTGGGAATTGAAAGGAACTTTCTCAGCCGGATAAAGGGCATCTATAAAAAAGCTACAGCTAACATCATACTCGTATTAGTCCATTTATGCATTGCTTTAAAGAAATACATGAAACTGGATAATTTATAAAGAAAAGAGGTTTAATTGGCTAAAGGTTCTGCAGGCTATACAGGTTTCTGCTCCTGGGGAGGCCTCAGGAAACACAATAATGGTGGAAGGTGAATGGGAAGTTAGTACATCTTACATGGCTGAAGCAGGAAGAAGAGAGAAGGGGGAGGTGGCACACATGTTTAAAAAGCCAAATCTCACTACAAAATCTCAACGAAAATTCACTATCATGAGAACAGCAAGGGGGAAGTCCACCCCCATGACCCAATCACCTCCCACCACACCCTTCCTCCAACACTGGGGACTACAGTTTGACATAAGATTTGGGCGGGTACACAAATCCAAACCACATCAATATTTAATGGTGAAAGACTGGTTGCTTTCCTCCTAAGATCAGCAATTAAAACAAGAATATCCACTCCCACTATGTCTATTCAACATTACCAAAGGTTCTAGCTAAGATAATTAGACAAGAAAAAAGCAATAAAGTATATTCAGATTGGAAAGAAAGAAGTAAAACTATATTCACAGATGACATGATCTTTTATATAAAAAAATGCTAAATGATCCATTAAAGAGCTATTAGAACTACTAACTTCAGCAAGGATAAAGGATATAACACCAGTATACAAAAATCAATTGTATTTCTAAACCCTTGCAATGACAAATCCAGAAATGAAATTAAGAAAACAATTCCATTTGTAATAGCTTTAAAGGAACAAAATACTTAGAAGCAAATTTAACAAAAGAAGTGCAACTCAAACATCAATGAAAGAAATTAAAAATCTAAATAAATGGGGTAAAGTTCATGGATTAGATTTAATATAACTCAATGATTATATTTCCAAACTGATAGATTCAGCACAATCCCTATCAGATTCCTAAATGACTTCTTCGTAGAAATTTGCAAACTAATTGTAAATTTATAAAGAAATTAAAGGGACGCAGACTATGCAAACAATCTTGAAAAAAAGAACAAAGGGCCAGGCACAGTGGCTCATGCCTGTAATCAATCGCAGCACTTTGGGAGGCCGAGGCAGGAGGATTGCTTGAGGCCAGAAGTTCAAGACCAGCCTGGGCAACACAGCAAGATCCTGTCTCTACAAAAAATAAAAATTAGCGGGGCATGGTGGTACACACCTGTCATCCCAGCTACTTGGGAGGCTGAGGCA
The DNA here is from genome assembly GCF_000001405.40 of Homo sapiens. Classification (NCBI taxonomy): domain Eukaryota; kingdom Metazoa; phylum Chordata; class Mammalia; order Primates; family Hominidae; genus Homo; species Homo sapiens. Next base: position 30,048,348 of record NC_000006.12, read on the forward strand.
GGGGGATTGCTTTAGCCTAGAAGGTTGAGGCTGCAGTGAGCCATGATTATGCCACTGCACTACAGCGTGGGTTACAGGGTAAGAAACTGTCTCTAAAAAATAAAAAGAAGGAAGAAAAGAACAAAGTAGAACTCATTCTTTCCAGTTTCAAAACATCGCATAAAGTAATGGTAATCAAGACAGTGTGGTACTTGCATAAGATAGACATAGATCAATAGAATAGAACTGAAATTCAGAAATAAAACCATGTGTCTACTGTCAACTGATTTTCAGCAAGGGTGCTGAGCACATTCAACGGGGGAAAGCACAGTCTTTTCAACAAATGGTACTGGGGAAACTTGATAGCCACATACAAAATGATGGAGTGGACCTTATGGTGGTTGAAGTGTGTACTCCGAAAGGTTTGTCTAAGACCTGACCACCAGTACCTGTGAACGTGAACTTATTTAGAAATGGTGTCTTTGTATATGAAATTAAGTTCAGGTTCCCAAGAAAAGATCATCCTGGATTTAGGGTGGGACCTAAATCTAGTGACTGGTGTCTTAATAAAAGAGAAGGAGATATGACATAAACAGAGAAGAGACACAGGCAAGAATGCCATGTGAAGATGAAGGCAAAGATTTCAGTGATGTATCTCCAAGCCAATGGAGCAACAACTACCAACAGCTACCAGAAGTTAGGAAAGAATCATGGAATGAACTTTCCCCCAGAGCCTCCAGAAGAAACTAATCCTGCCAACACCTGGATTTCAAACTTCTGGCCTCCAGAACTGTGACAGAATACATGTTTGCTGTTTTAAGCCATCAAATCTTGGCAATGTGTTACACAAGGTCTAAGAAACTAATACAGGCCTTTACTTCACACTATATACAAAAATAAGCTCAAAATGGAAGAAAGATCTAAATGTTAGTGGTGAAATTACAAAATTCTTGGAGGAAAACCTAGGTGATAAATCTTTATGAACTGGCCGGGTGCGGTGGCTCATGCCTGTAATCCCAGCACTTTGGGAGGCCGAGGCAGGTGGATCACAAGGTCAGGAGTTTGAGACCAGCCTGACCAACATGGTGAAACTCCGTCTCTACTAAAAATATAAAAATTAGCCGGGTGTGGTGGTGCACACCTATAATCCCAGCTACTCAGAAGGCTGAGGCAGGAGAATGGCTTGAACCCAGGAGGCAGAGGTTGCAGTGAGCCGAGATCACACCACTCCACTCCAGCCTGGGCAACAGAGTGAGACTCCGTCTCAAATATATATATATATATATATATATATATATATTTATGAACTCAGGTTGGACAATGGATTCTTAGATATTATGCCAAAGCACAAACAAAAGATATTAGATAATATTGAGAAAAATTAGATGTCATCAAAATTAAAATGTTTATGCTTCAAAGGACACTATCAAGAAAGTGATCCACAATATATACATATATCAAAACATCACATTGTACCCCATGTGTATTATTTACTAATTAACAGTAAACATTTAGATCAAAAAATTAAAATAGTTTTAAAAATTAAGAATTTTTTTAAAAGTGAAAAAAACCCACAGGAAAGGAGAAAAGATTTGCAAATCATACATTTAACAAGAGATGTTTCTAGAATATATAACAATCTCCTACAACTTAATTGCAAAACACACATAATCCCAATTTTAAAATGAGCAAAGGAGTCCGAGCGCAGTGGCTCACGCCTGTAATCTCAGCACTTTGGGAGGCTGAAGTGGGTGGATCACTTGAGGTCAGGAGTTCGAGATCAGCCTCACCAACATGGTAAAACCCTGCCTCCACTAAAAATACAAAATTAGCTGGGTGTGGTGGCACACACCTGTAGTCCCAGCTACTTGGGAGGCTGGGACACAAGAATCGCTTGAACCCAAGAGACGGGGGTTGCAGTAAGCCAAGATCGCACCACTCCACTCCAGCCTGGATGACAGAGCAAGACTCCGTCTCTAAATAAATAAATAAAAATAGAATGAGCAAAAGATATGAACAGTCATTTCCCTAAAGAAGATATACAAATAGCCAATAAGTTCATAAAAAAGATGATCGACATTATTAGGGAAATGCAATTTAAAACCACAGTGAAGGCTGGGCATGGTGGCTCACACCTGTAATTCCAGCACTTTGGGAGGCCAAGGTGGGTGGATCGCAAGGTCAGGAGTTCCAGACCAGCCTGGCCAACATGGTGAAACCCCATCTCTACTAAAAATAGAAAAAATTAGCTGGGCATGGTGGCAGGTACCTGTAATCCCAGCTACTTGGGAGGCTGAGGCAGGAGAATTGCTTGAACCTGGGAGGCAGAGGTTGCAGTGAGCCGAGACCACACCACTGCACTCCAGCCTGGGCAACAGAGCGAGACTCTGTCTAAAACACACACACGCACGCGCGCACAAACACACACACACACACACACGAGATACCACTTCCCAGCCAAAGAATGGCTAGAATCAAAACATCAGATAATAAGTATTGTTAAGGATATGCAGGAATGAGAACCCTCAGACACTGCTGGCAGGAATGTGTAATTATGTAGTCACTTTGGAAGGAGTCAGGCTGTGGCTCAACTGATTAAAAATGAAGATACCATACGACTCACCCATTCTTAGGTATATGTCCAAGAGAAATAAAAATGTGTCACACAAAAATTTGTAAATGAACATTCATAGATGCATTATTTGTATTAGCCAAAAGACAGAAACAATCCAGATGTCTATAAACCGATAAATAAACAAATGTGATACATCTATGGAATACAGTATTATTTGGCCATAAAAAGCAATGAAATACTGATACATGCTATAATATAAATGACACTTGGAAACATTAAGTGAAAGAAACTAGTCACAAAAGACCATATATGATTATATTTACATATGAATTTTCCAAAATAGGCAAATCCATACAGGTAGGACATAGATTAACTCTTGCTTAGGGTTTGGGGTGATGGGGAAGGGGGAATAAGAGAGTAATAGCTATAGGGCATGGGGTTTCTTTTTCAGGCGATGATAATATTCTAAAATTGAATGCAGTGATGGTTGCACATATTTGGGAATATACTTTAAAACTTTGATTGCATACATACTTTATTTTTTTCCAGATTTATTGAAGTATAATTGACAAATAAAAATTGTACAGTGTGACTTTTTATTTGTACATAATATTTGCACATATTTATGGGGTACATGTGATATTTTGATACACACATAGTATCTAATAATGAAGTTAGGGTACATAGGATATCCGTCACCTCAAGCATTTATTTCTCTGTGTTGGGAACATTACAAGTCTTCTAGCTATTTTGAAATACACAATATATTGTTGTTAATTATAGTCACCCTACTGTGCTATCAAACACTAGAACTTATTCCTTCTATCTGACTGTACGTTCGTACCCATTAACCTACCTCTCTTCATCACCCCCCTCACACACCCACAAACACACACACACACACACACACACCCTTCCCAGCCTCTGGATACTATCTTTCTGCTGTTTACCTCGATTAGATCAACCTTTTAAAGCTCGCACATGAGTGAGAACATGCAATATTTGTCTTTCTGTGCCTGGCTTATTTCATTTAATATCAGAACCTCCAGTTCTGTCCATGTTAGTGGAAATGACAAGATTCCATTCTTTTTATAGCTAAATAGTATTCCATTGTGTATATATGCCGTATCTTTTTAATCCATTCATCCATTGATGGACAGTTAGGTTGATTCCCTGTCTTTGCTATTGTAAATAGTACCACAGTAAACATGGGGGTGCCAGTATCCCTTTGATGTATCGATTTCCTTACCTTTGGATAAATACCCAGTGGTGGTATTGCTGGATCACACAGATCTATTTTCAGTTTTCTAAGAAATCTCCATACTGTTTTCCATAGTGGCTGTACTAATTCACCTTCCCACCAACCGTGTGTAAGAGTTTGTCTTTATATCCTAGCTACCATTTTTGTCTTTTTAATAATAGCTATTCTAGCTAGGGTAAGATGATATATTATTGTGGTTTGCTTTAAATTTCCCTGATAATTAGTGATGTTGAGCATCTTTTTCACATACATGTTGGCCATTTGTATTTCTTAAGAAATTTCTATTCAGATCCCTTGACCATTTTTAAGGGGATTTTTTTTTTTTTTTTACTGTTGAATTGTGTTCCTTGTACACTCTGGATATTAGTCCCCTGTTGGATAATTTGAAAATATTGTTCCCATCTACAGTTGGTCTCTTCACTCTGTTGTTTTCTTTGCTGTGCAGATTTTTAGTTTAATATAGTCCCACCTGCCTATTTTTTGTTGTTGTTGCCTATGCTTTTGATGTCTTAACCATAAAATCTTTGCCTAGACCAATGTTCTTGAGCATTTCCCCTATATTCTCTTTTAGTAGTTTCATAGTTTCGGATCTATCATTTAAGCCTTTAATCCATTTTTGGTTGATTTTTTAATATGGTAAGAGATATGAGCCTAGCTGCAATCTTCTGCATATGGATATCCAGTTTTCCCAGCACCATTTATTGAAAAGGGTGTCCTTTCTTGGTGCCTTTGTTGAAAGTCAGTTGGCTGTAAGTATATGAAATTATTTCTGGGTTCTCTATTCTTTCCATTGGTCTATGTGTCTGTTTTAGGCCGGTACCATGATGATTTGGTTTCTACTATAACAGTTACAAAGCTATTACTATAGCTTAACTATTGGATGGGGCTCTTTTGTGGTTCCATATGAATTTTTTTTATTTTTGAGATAGGGTCTCACTTTGTCACCCAGGCTGCAACACAGTGGCGCAATACCAGCTCACTGCAGCCTTAACCTCCTGAGGTTCAAGCGATCCTCCTGCCTCAGCCCCCTAAGTAGCTGGGACTACATGCACATGCCACCACACCCAGCTAATTTTTGTAATTTTTGTAGACATTTCACCAGGAACAAATAGAAAACTTGAACAGACCAACAATGAGTAATAAGACTGAATCAGTAATTAAAAGTGTCTCAATAAAGAAAAGCCCAGGACCAGATGGCTTTCCTGTCAAATTCTACCATACATACAAAGAAAAATTAATACCAATACTTCTCAAAATATTTAAAAAAAACTGAAGAGGAAGGAATTATTCTTAACTCATTTTATGAAGCCTGCATTGCCCTGATACCAAAAGCAGAGAAGAATACAAAAAAAAAAGAAAATTACAGGCCAATCTTCCTAGTGAAAATATACACAAAAATCCTGAACAAAATTTTAGCAAACTGAATCCAACAACATATCAAAAATATACCACAATTAATTGGGATTCATCCCAGGGATACAAGAGTGGTTCAACACACACAAATCAACAGACATTAACATTTTTTAATCTTATTTGAAAAGGTGGATAAAACTGAATTTGGAATTGGAAGATTTGTTTTGGGTCCCCACTCTGCCATTTCCAAACTCAGTACTCTATCAGAACTAAGTCACAGGGTGCTTGAGGGCTCAGAAGCTTTTGTCCAGCAGACAAGAAGGAACTGTTATTACACAGCCTTTGACCCTCTAGGGACTCCAGCAACCTCGTACTGAAAGGAGACTCCTTGTCTCCTTCTCTGGGGACCCTTTTGTTCAGAAATAAAACTTTCGTGCTGCAGGTGCCTTGAGGAGACGACATGTGGGTGATCTTTTCTAGAAGGCAGTGGAGTGAAAGTTTTGGGAAAAGTGACAGAAAGAGAAACAAATCCTGTACTGGAAGCTCACTGAAAACCAACTAAGTAAACAAATATTTTAGTACCTCAACTGAAATATAAGCATAAACAGAGGTTGACTATGATTGTACCTGGACAAGATGAGTAAAAAGCTAAAGTGGTCTGTTATCAGCTATTTATGTATTTTGGGCCTGTCTCCAGCAGTTAACAAATGTCCTTTCTTTCAACAAATATCTATTAAGAGGCTAACATGTGCCAGACTCTACAGAACAGGCTTACAGGCATAATGCCACAAAGGAACAGAAATCTAACAGGCTTCAAGATCAGGCCTGTCAAATAAATGTACCACAATTTATATATCATACATATATCTAGTACACAGTCACCAGAACATAAGATTAAACATGTTAATGTTTATCTAAGTATCATTTTTAAAAGAAAAATAAAACAAAAACTGGAAACAACTAAATGACATCAACAGAATATATAATTAAGTTGTGGCATATTCATGTCATGGAAATGAACTACAGTGTCACACATCAACATGGATGAATCCAAAAATAATAATGAGCAAAAGTAGTCAGTCATATACAGTATAATTCTATTTATATAAAGGCTATAAATAAGCAACTGTTAGGGATACACAGACAGTAAAATCTATAAAAGCTAGGTGACAGTTATACAAAATTCAGGATAGTGGTTGCCTCTGGCTGCAGGGGAGAGAGATATGAATGAGAGCATACGAGGCTCCTGGGATGTAGTAATGTTCCATTTCTCAGTCTGAGCAACGGGCACCTGGACATTTATTATTGTTCTTCTAAATATACATTTTCATTTGTGTATTGTATATTCTATTTCACATTAAAAAGAAAAAAGACCAAAAAAAAAACATTAAGTGTGACTCAAGATTTAAGCAGACACAGTGCAAAGAAATGAAAAGGTGGATATAATTTGAGGTAGATGATGGATGCAGGTTTGGACAAACTGAGTTCCTGAAACATAGACTTTTATTCTTAGCCGTATTAGGTGTGAAATTGCCCTGAGAGCACCAGTTGCTTTTATGCTAGATTTGGAGGGGAAAGAGGGCAGTTGAACTCAGCAATTTATGTGTCCAGCACTGAAAACCTTCATGGTAAACAATTACTAATAGGTTATATGTTAGGTTACTTTTCAGTCCCACTCAGCTCAAAGGGCTTGTCATTACCCTACTGATTTGCACTTCTAAGTCTTCTGCCTGTTGCATTCTGATGATCCATTTCTATGCAAAACATAGAATCTAAAGCTGAGACATAGCAATAGAGGACCAGAGAACAGACACAGCAACGAAGTTTCCATGAGGCAAATCAGGAGGGTAGGAATGAGATTTTGATGTGCATCCTGGCCAAATTCCAGAACTAGCAAAGAGAGGTCAGTTCCTAATTCCAATCAAAGCAAATTCAGTCATCTTATTTTCACACAGAAGTGGTCTACATTGATTTTTAAATCTCTTTAAGGGATTAGGGAGCCTCTGAAATGCAAAGGAAACTAAACTGATAGTAATGTAAAATGAACAGTGACCTATCATACCAGCAAACACTGTCAAAAACAGAAAGCTAATGGTGGGACTGGAATCTAGAACACAGAAGTTATGTTTATCCAGTGCTACACTGTGCAACAGGGTAGTCACTTGCCACATGTGGCAATTTAAATTTAAATGAAATTCAATTAAACATTCCATTCCACAGCTGCACCAGCCACATTTTAAATGCCTCAACAGCCACGTGTAGCAAGGGCTACTGTACTGAGGAGCACAGACACAGAACATTTGTATCAGTGGCTGACCTAGCAGTATCCAGGGTAAAGGGTGTTCTGCTAGTAAAGCAAGGTGGGCATCAGAATTATCACAACTTAAGCATAATATTCCTGAGGGCATCTATTTCCATTTATTTGCTTCTCTGCTTACCAACTCTGAACCCCTGCTTTCCCAACTTTCTGGTATCTGGGAAGAAAATAAACTGACTAGAAAACACAAATTTCATTCTGCTTGACAACTGTAATTCTCACTAAATTTATAAATTTGCTTTCTGATTTATCAATGAGCGCCAAAAACATGAGTTTGAGAAAGGCTGAGTTTGATTATCCCTGAGTGGATCCAAGCATTAGGAAGGTCTTGCTTAAGTGGGTGATAGGAAGTGACAAAAAAAGCTGGAAGAAACATGACAGACTATAATACTCCCTTCCCTAACCTTCCTCCTTTTCACCCTGCTCACCTGGGCCAGGTTAGAATCCGTCCTTTGTAAAGCACCCTGTACCTTTCTATTGTAACCTTTATTTACTACATTATCTGTTTATAGAGTGATCTATGCCATTAGTTGAAAATTATTCAAGGGCAGAGACTTCTCTTTATTCACCTTCAGTAACTAACATAATGCCTAGCATGTAGGAGGCTCTCAAAATTAAGTTTCTCATTCAAATAAATTGTACAGAGCAAGTTACACTTTTAGGGGCTGGCTAGTAGTTATCTGATGAAGGTATGATATTAAAGACCATATACTAAACTATAGCAATCTCATCAAAATAACCTTGGAGGGCTGGGAACAGGGAGAATAAGAGAAGAAGATTAGAACAATTCTTTATTCACCACCATTGCCCAACCCCGGTCTTTCCAAGTGGGGAAACTAACATTTATGAAACAACTAATACATACCTACACTTCACAAAAAAAACAGTCCTTCCATAAATGCCATCAAATATTATTGCCATTTTAAAGATGAGGACACTGAACACTAGAAAGGATATGCAACTTGAACAAATGCAAGTCAACTAAAAAAGTTAAGCTAATTTTCAAGTGCAGAACTATCTATCTGTATCTGATACAAATGGGAATATTCACTGAACCCTGGAGAGAACGAGCATTTGAAAAAAAAAAGGGTTCACTTAAGAGATATGATTTTATCATAACAGCATTGAAACTTTAATCTCTTATTTTTCCTATTTGACTTCTTAAAAAGGGTGGCATTGCCAAGAATTTTCTTTGATATGGTTTCACAATTGTATTCACCTTCTCTCCATTCTGAGACTTATCCATAAGAATACTCACTTTAATCCGACTTCTACTGCATGGTTGGAAAAGAAGATACGCAATAACTCTTTCAAACTCCTTTATCTCTTTTACTCTCTCATGCTTCTCATATGTAAGTAGCTGGCTCTGGCTTCTTCTCAAGATTCTCTCCTTGAGTCTTTGTTCTGCAAGTTCTCTCCCTCGAATCATGCGTTCCTGGTGATCCTTAGTCTGCATCTGTTCCCTCTCATTTACCTGCTTTCTTCTCTGTGCGTTCTGGATGCCATGCCCTTCTGGCATAATTTTTGGTAATTTTGTTTCATTGGGGGGTTGTAGTACTTGTCTAAATGGTTTGTTCTTAAATTCTCCAGCCTTTCCTGTTTGATGTATGTGCCTTTCTATGTGTTTCATCTCTCTCTCAGGTACCAAACAGTACTGTTTTAGTCCTTCTACGCTCTGGGTTGTTTTCTCCTCCATTTTTTTCTAGATTTCATTGCCTGTCTCTTCTTTCATCATTTCCACTATTATTTTATTATAATAAGACTCTGCTTTGGCAAGCCAGTAGTCAAGAGAAACAGCTTGCTCCCTACAGAGTATTTCACACTCCTCCTGATATTTCTGCATTATCAACTGTCTTGCTGCTGTTGTATGCACACCACCTAGATTCTGTCAAAGTGAAGTCAGAAATTTATAATGTGATCATCTTTTTCCTTTGAACACATTTAAACAGGAGCCAAGCCCACCCTCCCTAATGACACCAGGAAAAGCTACATGCTCTTTACTTTAGCTTAGTTGTTATTTTATTCCCATCACTCCCAGGTGAGCCTGGGAGCTCTGAAAGTATTAAGTACTCACCACCACAAATCAGTAACTAGGTTTAAAAATGTATGGTGTTGGAAGTTTCCAAAAATGATACTTTGTTTTGCAACTGTGGATATAGCTGGGTAACATTTGCCAGTGTAGACATACTACCTGAATGTGTCACTTGGGCAGAAGGATTTTAAACCTAAGATTCCTTCTCTGTGTAGTTCCAAACTGTATGATGTGAAGATAATTTACTTACCAAGATCTTTTTTTCCAGTGGAGACTGCTGACCTGCAGCAATCCTAGGATCTTTAGATGATGTACCCCAGGCCAATCTGGAAGATAAAAAAGGCAAGGTAGATTCAAATGTAGGAGGTGTCAGAACAAATCTGCTAATAGGGAGGACTACAGCAGGGCCATTTCCCCCATGGGAAACCACTGCATTCCTATGGTAGAAAATAATGAATGCTCTTTTAATAAGAGGATCTTTCCTTTCATATGAACAAGCATACTTTTCCTGTGGACTCAGCGTGAACCACTGTGAATCTCGTATTGGGGATTGTGAGTGGGAAGAGACATGCTCCTTGGTGAGGTGTTGTCCAAGTACATCTATGTCAGTCTGCTCAGTCCTCAAGCCTCCTTTGTGTTCTGAGACGATTGTAGGTTCTAGTTTTCTAGACGATTCTAGGTTTCTAGTTTTCTCTTCCTGCAGTTTCTTGATCCGGGCCCTCTCTGACTCTATCAGCACATACAGCATTTCTGCCCTCTAATCTTTTGTTCTGAAATTCTGTTATTTGACTGCTCAGCCCTCTGCTTGCCTGACTAACAATGCCAATCATCCTTCACTCTAAATCCATTATGAGACTATTCCCTGTTGAACCCCTCAGGATGGCAATTTGTGGTTACTCTGGGTTTATTTATAGAGGAGGCTGATGGCAACACAAATGAAAACTATCATCTTTTATGTGTCATCCCTGGTCTAGCCTGAGTTTACTGTGATGTCGTATTTAAGCCACTGAGGATGCCTGGCATTTCCTCTGTATGTCTTTTATACCATTTAGAGTTCAAAGGATGGTCTTTACAGTCTGACAGAGCTAGATCTGAAATCTAATTCTACCACTTCCTAGGTGTGTGACTCAGGGCAAGTAACTTCTGTCAGCTTTCTCATCTATAAAATGGAGATGTAAGACAAAAATCTGCCTCTCAGGGTTATAAAGAACAAATATGAATTAGATGTAAAGAGCTTGGTAAGTTCTCAATAAATTCTATCTATCTGTCCTTCACAGGTCAAGCTCCTGATTATAAAGTCTTTCCAGTCTACTCTGTCAGTGATCTTCCCTTCCTCTAAATACTTGACATATTTTAATTCTACAACTCATTTGAAAATTAATCGTGGTTTACACTGTGATATCTGTATTCACATATCACTTTTAACATTTTGATGCTGAAATTTAGGCTCATAAGGAATGAAAACTGTAATTTATATCTACAAATATGATGCCTCTATATTGTTGGAAAGGATCTGATATCAAATATTTGGTCTCACTGACCTCTTAGGAACATTCTTATTTGTCTACGTAAGCTTATTTTGAGATTGTAAACGTATGATCATCTTACTTTTACTTCTCTGTACATGGCTTCTAGCACAATACTTAACATTAGAGTCTGTGATCCCAAGTTCTCAAAATTAATGATTTGCTGATTGCTGATGATCCTTGACACATAATATCTGAGCATCTTTTTTAAATATCTGCCATAACATTGTATCTATTTTTATTAAGCCATTTCCCAGTCTTCCTTGAAGTTTACAGATATGTTTCCTTTATATGCATGTTCTGGGCTCTCACATTTTGTACCTACTAGCACAGTTTTATTATATTCTAATTATTCATTCATGTTCCTTGAGGTCAGAGAACACAGATTTCAACTTTGCAGGCTCAGCCTCAGCTCAAAACCTGGCATAGTTGCTCAATAAATCTTTACTGATTAGACTGTGAGCTTTTGTTGGGAAAAGGATATGCCTTTTAATGCTTTGTTCCTTTACTGCAATTCACAGGGGATGTTGGCTGTTTTTCAAATTAAAAACAGAAAACTGAGGAGGGTAGAATTTCAAGTTCCATTTTCAAAGGAGACACACAGATAAGT